>NC_000010.11:97870368-98173398 GCF_000001405.40 Homo sapiens | reverse complement strand
CAGAACAAAGAGCAGGAGCTGAGGTCTAAAGTGATCAGTGAGAGAAAGCAGTCAAGGAAGCTGGCTATGGCTAGGGATGGTACCAGGACAGGCAACATGAGCACAGAGCTACACTAAGAGGCTCTCTCAGAAGGCTCAATGTTCCTGCAAAAGAACCAGGAAGACATGGTACACAACCAATTATTCAGAGCCTAACTGTCCATTTTAGGGATCATCCATTTTCTTGCTTCGAATTTTTTACCCATTTCCCCATCTACATTTTCTTTCCTTTCATATTAGCACCACCAAAGAGAGAAGAAAGAAATAAGAGAATGAAAATTCCATTTCTGCAACCTAACAATCTAGGTAAAAATTTTGATTTAAGAAAAACAAGAATTTATATAAAATGAAATCAGTAAATTACCTTTACCTCATCCCTAAGTACCACAATGACAGAATTACTGTAAGTACCCAGAGTGTTAAGCAAAAAAATTCCCCACCGAAAGGGTCTGCTCAACTTGTAAAATTTTTAGTCTGGAGCTGAAAGACTATTTCTGTCTACTTGTCATCCCAAGTTTAGTCAAATTTTGTATGGGAAGTAAGCTTGGGCTACAGCCTCATACTGAATACATACTAGGCTGGCAGTGACGGGAAGGAGACTGCACTTGCTGCCACATCCCGCCAAACCCCAGTGCTGTGCTTTGTGGTCAGACTCAGGCCAGGGCTGCAATTGTTGGTTAGAAAGTATTTCAGAGTTACGGCTGCCTGTTCCGCTAAATCTCATTTCATCCTACTGATGGATGGATGGACAGATGGCTGCCTGGTGAAAGCAGCATTATCAGCCAGCTTCTATGGAGCCTCCAGATGATGGATAGCCCTCTTTCTACTTTCTCCAAACCACCATCGATCCAAGCCATATTTCAGCGGTCAGAAGCCCAGTAATATTAAGACACACAATCAAGTTAAGTTACTTGCAGTGTAAACCTCTAGAACAGAAATCCTAACACCTCAGCTTTGCTGTCATGAACCACGCTAAAAATGTTACAGTTTCATTCTTTCTAGCTGCTAACCCAATGAATTCCAACAGCTCAAGCCCAAAGGGAATAGCTGGGCTCCATTCCTAGCAGCTACTTGAAAAGCTAGTTTGCCTGCCAAATTTTTTACTAGCCAGTTCATTTCTGTGAAATGAACTCTGCAGCAGTAGTGAGCGGATCTGTGAATACGTGTATATCCCGTGGAGTGTAAAGCTATTAGAATCATCAAACAACCTAGAGTTTGTCAGTGATATAATCACTAGCCTCAAACATGTGTAGAGCCTTAGACATACCAAATAGACCTTTTCTACCAACACCAAGGATAGCGATTAAAACTAGGACAGATTAAAATTATCTTTTGAACATAATCCTAAAATGTTGTTTCTACCCAGTCAGCCTGACTGGCTTCTACTCTCTTGCATACATATTAAACATAATAGTAAGTACTAATCCTTGCCTGCTTTCACAAGCACACTTCTGAGTCCATTTGCTCTATCACATTCTAGACACTCATCTCAGCTTGTCTACCGTGCCTTTCCTTGTTCCTTCCATCTTATCATCCTGAGCTCTCAGACAGCAACTTGGACTTGTATAATCGAATGTTGTGTCAAAGTTATTTCCACTGGTGTGGCTGGAAGAAATGGATTCTGACTCCAGCTTCATGACATAGGTTCCCAGAACCTACATGCTCTCTTTTGCTAAGCTTACTTATCCCCAAATGACTTCTTCTCATAATGTTTCACTATTAACTATACCCGAAATCAGCTTGGCCTGGCTCCTCCTAGTCTTGGCCCCTCTTGATTGAACCACTGCTATCCTGAGCCTATATTCACAGAGAATTAGTTTGTATTTGTTTATGGGGCCAAAAAAATGCCACGGTGGAGCAGTAACTGTCTTTCTATTTGATGTCATGATAGTTTACTTCTTTAATATCTATGCCTTAACAACATCTAGAGCTCTGTTTCTATCAAAAAAGAACATGCTATTGTTTAAAGATACTACTTTATTAAAGTGTTGTATTAAGAATAGCACTGCCCTTCAAATAAACATTAAAGAATTTTTACAGAGCCTTGGAATTAGACTTACCGAAAGGGATTGTATAGGTCAGAATTCAACATCCTAGTTTTTCAGATAAAGATACTGAGAATTCAAAATTGTAATGTCTGTGGTTACACAGATATTAAGTGGCAATGCAAGACTGGAACCTTGGTTACAATTATAAGGGCTGTGCTCACGCTACTATATTTCTCAGACATTCTGTTTTCATCCTTGGAATTTCAGAGAGAGTGAAGGCAATGAGGGTTAAGTGTTGTGTGCATGCCTATGTGTTTTGGGGAAGGAAGGTGGCCACAAATAATTAAGTGTGGTGACCTATATACTATTGTGCTTCCCATCAAGGTTGCCCATAGGTCATCTGAAAGCTATTCACTATCTTACAGAACAAAATTGGATGAATAGCTGACAATTAGATACCTCTATTCCTTTCTTCTCCTTTCTTTAGTATCTGCCCCAGCCCTACCCAGAAAGTTTTAGAAAGATAATAAGTGAAAGCAGAATCAGAGAGCAAGAGGCTCTATGACTTAACCTAAATGAACAGAGGGTCAATGTGTCCTCTTCATTTCCAAGAATGCCACATTCTGGTCAAATACAGAGCACAACTTCAATGACTGGACTTCACCCTCTGGTGGCCAAAATGTGTCACTACTACATTTCCCAGTTTCTAAGCCACCTGCATACCTATCTTCAAATCTTATAGCTGAAGCCAGGCACAGTGGCTCACGCAGGCAATCCCAGCACTCTGGGAAGCCGAGGTGGGAGTACTGCCTGAGGCCAGGAGTTCAAGACCAGCCTGGGCAACTTAGCAAGACTCTGTCTCTAAAAAATTAAAACAAGATAAAAAATTAGCTGGGAACGGTAGCACATACCTGTAACCCTCACTACTTGGAAGGCTGAGAGGGAGGGAGACTGCTTGAGCCCATGAATTTGAGGGTGCAGTGAACTATGATTGTGACACTGTACTCCAGCCTGGGTGACAGAGCAAGACCCAGTCTCAAAACAAACCAACAAAAAGCTTATAGCTGAAAAGAGCCTTTGAAAATCATCTGGTTGAGGGATTTATCTAAGACTATTAGAGTGGTAGTAACTAAGACCAGAACCCAGATTGTCTATCAACTAAACTAGCAGTTTTACCACCATTATAGCAGTATTATCAGTTTTCCACCGAGTATATGCTCACAATATATGCTGAGCAAAGTTTAATCAGGAAGTTAATTGTGCTGAAGAAATAATCACATAATGCACATCAAATCCAAATATATTATCCACACTAATACTCATTACCATTAAGGATAAATGATCAGGGTGATTTTTCCATCCCATTCCCCCAAAAATGTGCCTCATACACTGGACAAGACTTCTACTGTGACTATTCTTGGCACAAGAAAAAAACTTCAAACAATTCCCAAAAAAAAGCACTCACTCCAAAAAAAAAAAAAAAAAAAGGTTGTGTTAGGTGAGTAATAAGGAATGACAATTCTTCGAGCTGTTAGTTTTACATATTCCCTAAGCTCATATAAAGGCTGATTTATTTGCATTAAGCAAATACATTTTAGAATAACTAGTTTTGTACACTCATTTGCAAAGCTATCTTAAACCAAGACAAAGATTCTTATCTTTCATTTTAAAAAGTCTTTTTATAGTTTCTACTTAGTTAAGAAAGAACTATTAAGCCATGCCCAAGAGAACAATGACATATTTTTCAAAATCTGCCGCGATGAACCATGTCTAATTGTGTTTTCTGTTTCATTACAGTTTAGGCCCTACAAGCAAAAGTGAAGTAGTGGTAGAGCAGTGATTTAGTAGTAGTAGAGGAAGAGAAAGAAGAATAATCAGCTACCATTTACAGAGTGCTTACTACATGACAGGGACTGTGGTAAACATTGTATATACATTATCTCATTTGGTTCCAACTATAGTACTAAGAGATAGCTATGATTATCCCAATTTTATATAGGAGAAATCTGAAGCTTAAATAACTAAAGATCACACAACTTCTAAGTGTTGGTTAGGATTTCAAAGTCCCTGCACTTAACTACTAGACTAGACTGCCTGATATTCAGCAGAATGGTCTCACAATGATGCATTAGTTTCATAAATATTCACAATTTGCTTAGAATCCATGTAACTGCAAAACAACCAAAAAGAGTTCAAAGACTGCTGCCGTAAAAGGAGAAAACCAAGTAAGATAAGAATGAAAGATCTTTAATGCTTTCATGGCATGCCTATTTCCAATAACCTTCCAGACTTAAAAAGGCTGACAATAATTCACTGTTGTCTCTGAAACTTCCTCATTCACCTTGCCTCACCCTCAAAAGCCATATGGTAAAGAACCTCACCAGGTGTCAGGAGAGGAACACCCTCTCTTCTATTCCGCATAAGAATAATCTCTATACTTCTTCCTACCAACTCCTCCAAGCATTTGAAAATGCTGCCCTTCTCTACTTTCCTTCTCCAGAGGCACATTTCAACATGGGACCACCAACCAGTGAAACTGGTAACACAGTTCTCACCCTGGCAGAAGCTCAAAGTAGAATGTAGAGTATACGTTCAAATCTTGGGTCTAAAACAGAAGAAACCTGTACATCAAATACCAACTGCAGATGGTATTTTCAGATGCAATCTTAAACAGAATATAATACAGTATTTTAATATTAGTCTGCCTCTGCCTTGGACATTTATATTTACTGCCTCTGCCTCTCTGCCTGCAGCTGGACAAAGAATACAGCTTGCACAACTGGAAGAAACATTTCATGAAAAAACTGAGTATCAAGACAACAAAAGATACAAGATACATGATTCCAGTAGGATCTTGGAGGTCCCAAAATATATAAATAAACTGGCATGAAAAGGTCTTTCTCACGACATAACACAATTCATGCCCCCAGCTTATTTTATACTACACTGGCTATAGTCGTCATGCATCAGCACCAACTGATTTCACGCTTTATAGGCTGGGAAACAGTCCGCAGCTTAGTCTTTTTCACACTCCACTGACAAGGTAACCACACAGCTCACCGACTTAACTGCTCCAAGTTTAATGTTAGCACCTATTATTGACCACCTCAAAAGGCAGTCAGATAAAAGCTTTAATATACCGAACAATGGCAATATAATATGTAATACAAAGGTAGAGAGAAAAGTTTGCTTCCTACTCTGCATATGTAACTGGCGGTAGGGGGCAGGGAGAGAAGAAAAAAACTCCCTCTTAAAACTTCTTTCCCTCAATACACATCTGGAGGTTGGTCTGCTTCTACAGTTATTTGAAATTAGTTCCTCTCCTGGGTCTATTCTGGGTTTAACTGACATCCTATAGTTGACAATAAAGGAGCTCAAATGGATAAAGCTTTGGGGGCTTTACCTCAACCTTGACATGCATTAAACTTGATTTCTTTTCCTCTTTAAGATTCACAGAGTAAAGCTAATAAACCACTGGGTAAATTTTGAAAGTAGAAGCCACCAGACTCAATCTCAGCTAAGTGTCATATATGTTATCTCATTTTATCCCAACTACAATACTAAGAGGTAGCTATTATTATCCCAACTTTACAGATGAAAAATCTGAAACTTAAGTTACTTAAGATTACACAGTTTCCAAGTGCTGGATAGGATTTCAAAGTCCGTGGATTGGATTTCAAAGTCCCTGCATCTAACTACTACTGTAAGACTAAAACACATATCTTCTAAAAATTATGTTGGGGTAAAAATGCATAGCCCAGAATGCTAGTCTGGCTACAGCCAAAGGTTCATTGTAGCAAAGCTATTTATTTTGTATGTATGTTTGTAAAAATGCATAGCACAGAACAGTTTAATTTTTAAAATACCAAATCACAGTAACAACAAAAATGAATACTTATAAATGAGGTAGAGTCTGTCTGTTAGAGAAATAGCTACAGCTCCGTATCTATCACCTCCCTCCTTGGAGCTATACCAGCAGGTGTGAAATGTGCCTGGTGAGAAACTGAGAAACCAAAAGCAAGTTTCAGGCAAAGAAAACATTAACAAGTTAATAAATTTAAGAGTTTCTCTTCTATGCAGTTTCAAAGTTTATTCATTAGAGTTCCAAGAATAACAAATAATTACAATACAGTAAAATCTTCAAAGCAACGTTACTTTAAGGAACAGAATGCCTGTACACAGGGCTACAGAAGGCTTTCAAGAAGAATCATGTCCTGAACGAACATGGCTCAGGTATTTAAACTGAATTCTTATCTAGTATTCTTATGATACAAAGAGAAAGATAATTGTTAAAGATGGGTAAAAGCTAACAATAGGCAATGGCATTTTTTTTTTACCATCAAATACTTATTAAGTGCACATATTGTATTGACATCACTGCTGGGGTAGTAGAAATTATAAAGTAGGGGTCAGGCGCGGTGGCTCACGCCTGTAATCCCAGCACTTTGGGAGGCTGAGGTGGGCAGATCAGGAGGTCAGGAGATCGAGACCATCCTGGCTAACACGGTGAAACCCCATTTCTACTAAAAATACAAAAAATTAGCCAGGCATGGTGGCACGCACCTGTAGTCCCAGCTACTCGGGAGGCTGAGGCAGGAGAATCGCTTGAACCTGGGAGGCAGAAGTTGCAGTAAGCCGAGAGAGTAAAAATGAAGCTTCCCCTTAAGATGTCTCTACCTAATTGGAAAGATTGTTTTAATGTTGTTTTAAGGGAATATATGTCTCTAACTACCAAATAAAGAGAAAAGCAGTAAATGATAGAAACCAGAGGAGAAAAATATCACTAAGGGCTTGGAATGGGTGAGGAAAATGTCATAAAGTGGGTGGAACTGAGGCTAGGCCTTTAGAAACAGATTTAGAAGTTCAGACACAGAACTGAGGGGAGATATTACAAGTGGAAAGAATAGACTCAACATGTGAAGACGCAAAAAGTCAGAGTGTTATTTTGGAGACTTACAGAAACTGGTTGTCTTAGTTCATGCTGCTATAACAAAGTACCACAGACTGGGTGGCTTAAAAACAACAAAAATTTCTCACAATTCTAATAGCTAGAAGTCCAAGATCAGGGTGCCAGCATGGCCTGGTTCCGGAGCAGGCCCTCTTCCAGGTTGCAGTAGGTTGATTTCCCATTGTATTCTCATACAGCAGAAACAGAGCAAGCTAGCTCCCTGGCTTCTTCTTGGTTTGTTTGTTTGATTTTTGAGACAGAGTTTTCACTCTTGCTGCCCAGACTGCAGTGCAATGGTACAGTCCTAGCTCACTGCAACCTCCACCTCCGGGTTCAAGTGATTCTCCTGCCTCAGCTTCCCAAGCAGCTGGGATTACAGGCATGTGCCACCAGGCCAGCTAATTTTTTGTATTTAGTAGAGATGGGGTTTCACCATGTTGGTCAGGCTGGTTTCGAACTCCTGACCTCAGGTGAGCCACCCGCCTTGGCCTCCCAAAGTGCTGGGATTACAGGCATGAGCCATCGCACCTGGTCCCTGGCTTCTTCCTATAGGGGAAGCCATGTCATTCATGAGGGCTCCACCTTCATGACTAAATTACATCCCAAAGGCCCCACCTCCAACACCATCACATTGGGGACCAGATTTCAACATATGAGTTTAGGGGGAACACAAACATTCAGTCCCCAATATTAGTCTGGCTACAGCCAAAGGTTCATTGTAGCAAAGCTATTTACTTTGTATAACTATTCTCATACTGAAAGAAAGAACTGAACCATAACTTGCCCACATTAAATTCCACTCCACAATCCAAATAATATCCAGAAATTCTTGTCTTTGATGTCTGACAATGCTTGCTATAAAAACAGTAACAGCGGATAGCATACGTATCAAATCAATCCAATAAATAAATAACAAGATGTACATTTGTCTGAGATAAAGGCCTAGCCATTGTGGATCTAAATATGGTAACTGGCCTTACTACTACTATAATAATTCCTGGAAAAGATAAGCCCTATCCCCATTACCCTTACCTTTATAGTTTCATTTCCTGGTATGATGTGGTATTTCTAGTCTCCTCAAAAGTTTTAATTCCATCCAACCCATACTTTCATCAATAGAACATAGAACCTTACAGGGTTTTTTGTTATTTGATTTTTTGAGACAGAGTCTCATTCTGTCGCCCAGGCTGGAAGTGCACTGGCGCAATCTCAGCTCACTGCAACATCCGCCTGCCTGGCTCAAGCAAGGAATAGCTTGTCTCAGCCTCCAGAATAGCTGGGATTACAGGCGTACACCACCATGCCCAGCTAATATTTTATATTTATAGTAGAGACAGGGTTTCCCTGTGTTGGCCAGGCTGGTCTCGAACTCCTGGCCTCAAGTGATCTGCCCACCTGGGCCTCCCAAAGTGCTGGGATTACGGGGGTGAGCTGCCATGCCCAGGCAACTTTACAGTTTTGATGACAGAATCAATAACACCTTGAAAGGAAAGGTGAAATACACTATTTCCACCCCACCTTCTAGCTGTTTATTTCACAGCTGTATTAGCAGAACCCAACAACTAAAACACCTTCCATTCAAATTGCCCACAAAACTTAGAAACTGCTCTGCTCTTCTCTCACTTCTTCCCCTCCCCACCTCCTCTAACTTACACACAACCACCTCACTCTGCTGTCCATCTTCCCCAACTGCTGCCCAACAATTCACAGGCTGTCACAGATTGTCAGCACTGCATCTGGGGACTTGAGAAGTACTCTTGTGGGACAGCACAGTGTGTTAGTACAGCATTTTCCCAGACACAGTGTCACTCTTTATAGCCAGCTGCAAATTAGTTTCTTCTTAAAAAAAAAAATAATACTCCTAATAAGACAGGTACAAGGAGATTTCAAATAACCAAGATTAAAACTCACTTTGATTTGCTCTGAGATGTAGGCCTTTTCAGTCATCCACAATGAAATCCTATGCTTCTACTCACATGAGCCATGCAAAACATCCAGAAATACCTAAGACAGTATTCTGATGCTGACAAAAGCAAGAAGACTAAGAAAAAACAAATCTAAGGATAATCTTGTTCCTCTCTTTTTTCTGTGCCTATAGTTCCTCATCCCTGGATTCTATTTGAGACTAATTTGTTTGAACTCAGCTCTCAACATCAACATTTATTTCTCACTGTGTTTAGCTGCACAAAACTATTTAAGAGAAAATTCGGCAAATCACCATTATCATGTCATAGTTTCCATCCAATTTTTGCAATGTGCGTCAGCAGCACATGAGTATATTTATCTTCTGACGGTTGCTGTGACCAACCCTCTGGTTACCCCTAAAGCTATCACCCTGCACATCGGCTGGCCCATCGTCACTGGCTACACAGGAGAGTCAGAAGCTGGAATATACTCAAAAGATCATCATTAGATGTGAGTAAGAAAGCCTCTCACAAAACAGCAGGTCATATCAACTTACTAAATCTTCCTTGAAAAAAAAATTTTTTTAACTGACAACAAATACTTATAGGGTAATATTTAAAAGTTAAAATCAGCTATCTTTTTTCATTTCTAAGTTATTTAATAACATTATTCATTCTGTTTTATAATACTTTACTATTTAAATGACCATCTATTCTTCCTGAATCAGTTAATCAAACCCTTAAAATAACACTGCATCTTTGCTGCTCACTATATGAATTACAGGGAAGCCAGGACTTGACAAGAAGGATGTTAACTCTCAGCTGTTACAGTGGAAAGAGACAGAGCAAAGCTAGTGATCCAACTTTGAAAACGAATCCCAATATTTAAACAGCCCCTGTTCTCCTCTCTACTACAAACAATAAAATTAAGACAGATAGTAAATAGAAGTAAGAAAATCTTCAAAAGACCCTATACCTTTCAGGAAACTGCCATTTTCAAACTTGTTTTACATGACAGTTACAAAATAAAATGATAACTGAAGAAACAAAATACAAGCAAACAAATCTTTAGAGTAAACAGACAGTATTTCTATAAAATATGCATAAGTAAAGGCAACTTACCATGTAAGTAACATTTATTTTCTTAGTAATAAAACTCTACAACATGCCGATAGACTGTCTCTGAAGGCAAACTGTGTAAAAGTTCCTTTCTGACAGCAGCCTCACCTGAAAAATAGTAATAATAAGTTATTTTTATAAAAATACACAGTTATTTCTTTGACACCTGTCTAGGCACTTAACTTTCATTGTCTCACTTTGTAAATCTAAGAGTTTAACACAGTGATTTGCCATAGAATGTGCAATGAAGACACACATACAAAAGCACTTTTTAGAAGCTCATCAACCAAATGGAATAAGGAAATGCCATCTTCTGTCATTCTCAGACCTGAGGACAGGAAAGTCTACTGACTGTCAACAAAAAAAAGAGATAAGACACAAAATAATAAAAATCACAAAAAGAGGCCAGGCGTGGTGGCTCATACCTGTAATCCCAGCACTTTGGGAAGCCGAGGCAGGCAGACCACTTGAGCTCAGGATTTCGACACCAGCCTGGACAACATGGCAAAACTCCGTCTCTACAAAAAATATAGAAATCAGCCAAGCATGGTAGCATGCACCTGTACTCCCAGCTACTCAAGAGGCTGAGGTGGGAACATTGCTTGAGCCCAGCAGGTCGAGGCTGCAGTAAGCTGTGATGGCACCACTGCACTCCAACCTGGGTGACAGAATGAGATCCTATCTCAAACACACACACACACAGAGACACACACACACACACACACACAAACACACACACACGAACAGATGTTCAACTTCTAGTCATCACTACAGTTTTAATACATGGGATAGCTTACAGAACATGGTGGATACTCAGTAAGTATATGCTGGCCAGCTGAATGGTAGATGGATAAAAAATAAAACTCATCAGTTAGCAAAGAAATGCAATATAAACATATTTTGTTTTGCTATCAAACTGGCAAATATTAAAAAAGAGCAATAAGGTTCTGTTTTGCTGAATGTCAACAGAATAGGGCTCAAACACAGTGTTAGTGGAGGTATACATTTTATTAATATGGAAAGCTGTTAACAATATGTTTCAGAAACTTTTATGTGTCAAAAGACCTTTGATGAGGCAATTCTCCTTTGATAAATTTATCATAAGGAAGTAACTAGACTTCTACAAGGATATTTACTTATTCCAGAACTGTTTACAATAGTGAAAAATTTTAAATAACTTTAATGTCCACCAATATCAGCCAGGTTAAATAAATTATGGTACATCCACACTGTAGAAAATCATGCAGACATACAAAAGAAAGATCTACAAGGCATATTATTGAGCTGAAAAAAAAAAGGAGAATTTATCGAGGAGTTAAATACGAAGAAAACTTTAAAACATTCCTGAAAGACACAAAAGTAGATCTGAACAAATGGAAAGATATTCTTTGTTCTTGGACAGAAATCTCAGCACAAAACAACAGCATTAAAAAGTCAGTCTTCCATGTTAATTTATAAATTTAACATAACCCCAATAAAAACACCTGCAAGCTTTTTCATTGAGACAGAAAAGCTGATACTAAAGTTCAACAGAAAAACAGACATGCAAGAATAGTCAGGAAAACACTAAAAATTTTAAAAGCTAGCCCTTGATATACTATTAAGCCTCTATAATTGAAAGTGTGTGATAATGGCACAGAAATAGAAAGTCCAGAAGTAAACCAAATGGAAATTTCATATATGATAAAGGTAGCATATCAAAGAACACTGGGGCAAAATTCGTCTTTTTATTCATTTTTAAAGAAACCGTACCTCCAAATGGATCAAGGATCCAAATTAACAACTAAAACTACAGAAGTATTAGAAGAAAACACAGGTGAGTTATTTACCATGGGTCCAAGGAAAGCCTCTAAATTTAATCCAAAATTCAGATAAAACAAAAAACTCTAAAACTGGACTACATAAAGGTCTAAACATTCATACCTACGCACAAACACTACAAACTGGGAGAAAATATTTGTAACATACATCACCAGTAAAGAGCTAATATTCCTAATATATTAAAAACTCCTAACAACTGAGAAAGGGGAGGGGACCAAAAACCTGATGGAAAAATGAAGATATATTTCACACAAAAAGATATAAAAATGACCCTTAAACATATGAAAAGATGTTCAACTTCACTAATAACAAGAGAAACAAACATTAAAACTATATTGAGATACTATTTCTTACCTATCAAGTTAGCAAAAATTAAAAAGTATGCCAACACACTCTGATGATGAGGTTGTGGGGAAACTAACCCTCTCATACCCTGCTGATGGGAATTCAAATTCGTACAACCTCTGCAGAAAGGGATTTAGCAATATTTAAGAAAACTACATATGCTTTTAACTTTTGGCCCAACCATTCCATTTTGAAAATTTACCCAAAAATACACCTCCAACATACCAAAATACATATGGACAAAGTTGCAGCACTTTTTGTAAATTCAAAATATTAGAAACAGCATAAGAGTACAAAAGAGTATCTATAGTATGCTACCTTTTGTGTAAGAATGAAAGACAAATTAGAAAATGTGCATCTATCTCCTCAATCCTGAGGGGGGAAAAACACATGAAGGATAACTGGTGGAATCATGAGATTGGTAACCTACAGAGGTCAGGTTAGAGTGTGAAGGACAGAAGGAATGGGTGACAGTGCCCTGAGTATAAACATTTTTGTAGAGTTCTGACTTTTGGAAACATGTTGATGTTTCACATACTGAAGAATAAATAAGATCAATTAGGATCAAGTGAAAAAGACAGAATACAAACAGAAATAAATGAAGTACACTGTATTTCAAATGAGTAACATAACCCCAGGGAGAAGGGAAAGAATGTTAGAGAAGGAAAATTAATCCAAGTAACTTTTGAACACGGTTTTTATATCAGCACATTCTAATAGAAATATAATGGAGCCACATATGTAATTTAATATTTTCTAGTAGCCACATTAAAGTGAAATTAATTTTATTAATATATTTTATCTAATACACTTAAAATATTTCAACACATAATCAACATAAACTATTATTAAAATATCAGTGAGATATCTCATATTTATTTTGTAGTAAGTTTTCAAATCCAATGTACATTTTACACTTGTAACACATCTCTATTCATGTGGCTAGTAGCTACCCTATTATTACACAGCACAGATTTAGACTACCTGCCCTTAGGCTAAACGAAAAACACTATAAACAAACATTGAATTCTACTTACGAGGTATCTTTTAAGTGGTGGTATGAGTTAACAATTCTTAAACTATTTTCTTATATTCTAGAGTTGAACCAATAAGCAAAAATATGAGTAATAGGGCCAGGTTTCTCATTGTTGGAAAACAGAGCTATAAATAAGGAATGAGGAAAGGAAAGAATAAACCCTGTAGTGTTGGGTCAGAATCTGAGGTATCTGTATAAACTCACTGCTTTTAATAAAGATGTACTAGTGTGTGCACACATACAAACACACACATTTCCTCCTCTCACATATACCTATTTCCCAGATGTCAGCTGAGAAGGCCTAGAAGCAATAACAGTTGCAACCAGGACATCTAGAGTCCAGACTGTGGCTTTTAAAGTCATTATTAAAAGGAACCAGGGCTCTGAGAAGAAATTCCTTATTCCAAGGCTGGGGCTGGGAACATGCAAGATGAGCCTAGAATACATGCTCAAAGAATGACAGGGGCATGTCAAAAGAACTGAAGGGGCTCCTACTGGCCAAGTCAGGGACAGTGTCAAAATAAATAAAGTACTATTATAAATAAGTGTAGAAGGAATAATGGAATTAGAATATCACCAATTAAGGACCATTATGAAAATTAGGCAGAAATCACCAATGGATACTAAAATTAGTGAGCAAAAGTTCAAGGAGTAACAAGATGTTTACAACAAATGGATACTAAAATTAGTGAGTGAAAGTTCAAACAGTGACAGGATATTTACCAAGTATCTACGTATTTTTACACAAAATACTTTAAAATTACAAAGGGACTGTGACTATGAATAGAAAGAGAATATAATGCCACTAAGCTATACACTTAAAAATGGTTAAACATAAAAATAAATGATGTATATTTTACCACAAAAAAATTACAAAAGGAAAAACAGTAACAATCAAGTGATCCAAAATCATATTACCAGTATTTGAACATCTTGTGCCTCCTGATATGATGTAAAAGCATAACAATACTTTGCGGTATTCCTGCCAAAAATGAATAACCTTAATTAAACCATGAGAAAACATCAGATGAACCCAAACTGCACATGTTCTACAAAATAACTGTCTTGCAGTCTTTGGAAATATCAATGTTGGCTGGATGCAGTGGCTCACACCTGTAATCCCAACACTTTTTGGAAGGCCAAGGCAAGAGGATCACTTGAGCCCAGGAGTCTGAGACCAGCCTGGGCAACACAGGGAGAATCTGTCTCTACAAAAAATAAGAAATTAGCCAGGTGTGGTGGTGCATGCCTGTAGTGCCAGCTACTCAGGAGGCTCAGGCAGGAGGATTGCTTGAGCCCAGGAGTTCAAGGCTGCAGTGAGCCATGATCACACCACTGTACTCCAGCCTGGGCAACAGTGAGACCCCCATCTCCAAAAAAAAAAAAAAGTCAATGTCATGAAAAAAACAGGAACTGCACCAGATTAAAGGAAACTAGAGATATGACAACTGAGTGCACTCATGACCTGGAATTTTCTTTTGCTATAAAGTACAATGGGCCAATGAGTAAAATCTGAATGTCTGTAGGTTACTTAATTAATATTAAATCAACGTTAATTTCCTGATTTTAACAACTATACTGTGGCTTATATACAAGAATGTCCTTGTTTTTAGAAAGTGCACACTTAACTATTTAGGTATAAAAGGGAGTAAGATCTACATTTTACTCTCACGAGAGAGAAATAAGAAAGGGAATGCAGTAAAATGTTAACATTTTGGGTATTTGGGTGAACTCTCTGTACCACTCTCGGAATTTTTCTGTGGTCTGAAATAATGTCAACATAAATTAAACAGAAAAACAAAGATGTCAGTCAGCACAGTGCCTGGCACATAATGTACAATCAAGTAAATGGGAGTTAGATATTATTAATGAGAATATAATCTCTAGGATTCTGTGCAAAAAAATTCTCGACTCAAGAGCCATTTATGGTTGGAAAAAATGGGGGAAGGAACAAAATAATGCATATAGTATGCCCCATTTAAACATACGTCCACAAATACATAGGCAAATGCATAAACAAAGACTAGAAAAATATATACACTGATCTGTTAATAGTGGGCAGCTCTGGGTAGTGTAATTAAAGTGATTCTTATTTTCTTCCTCATGTTTATCAGCGTATTCTAGTTTTCTTACAATACAGACGTAACATTTTTGTGGGTTTTCCAATGATGATTTTTAGAAATTAAAGGAATAGCTCACAATCAAGGAAGGTATAACTATTCCTTTTCTGTAGCAGTGCCCTCTCTGCAGACCTATGCTTAGTTACTGCATTTCAGCAACATATTCTCTTCCTCTACCTTTCACATATCAGAAGTATAATAATCATGTAATACTATTGTAATATTATTTCACATAAGAATATCCAGTTAGTCTTATAGCTGTTTTTGTGTTAAAAGAATGGAATACACCTACACATATAATTTTGCTTCTCTCCAAAAATTCTACTGAAATAAGTCAATTTGTTTTGTCTTAAAACATAAATCCACAAGGATAGACAGCAGAGAAGAGAAAAAAAGTAACAAAGCTTTGGAAGTTATATATTGATGAATGCTCAATGTGTAGCAGAACTTAAAAAGCCAAATTCCAAACCAGCAGTAGAGAAAGCTGCCACTCAACCCAATTTACCATCAGAAATCCTCATGAGAGTCAGGGACTGGCCATACCAACTCTGGAACTGGAAGTGAAATGCCGGGAGGGCACTGGGTGAAAGGAGCGATCCTGAGATCCCCTCCTCCTCTGTGAAAGAAAGTTTGGGATTATCTCTAAAATGCAGAATAGACCATCTATGGATCAGGGGCTGACTGGAAGTGCAGTGGTCTTTAAAATTGGGTGATTAAGTAAGCATATTGAACCTAAAATCTATCGCCCCACCCCCATTCCATACACCAGGTCCCAGAAAAATGCCAACTGTTCTATACTGAAAGGTACCCACAAGCACCCAGGACAGTGGATAAAAATAAACACAGACCCACACCAAAGCACATCACTGTGAAACTTCAGAACACTGGGGACAAAGCAGAGATCTAACAAGTTTCCAGTGAAAAGATCCAAATGAAAGAAGAGGGTTCACATTGGCTTAAGACTTCTCAAAAGCAACAAAGGATGAGGAGAAAAAAGAAACTATGCCTTCAAAATTCTGAAGAAAAATATTTCCAATCTAGAATTTACACTTACCCAAACTATATTAATCAAATGTGAAAATAGAAACCAAAAATATTTTCAGACATGGAAAGGCTCAAAAAATTATCTACCATGTACGGTTTCCTAGAAAGTTACTAGAAGATTGAGAATTTTAAAGTTCTTACAAATTTAGGAAAGACTGAGTGTTTGTAACTATAGTAAAAAGTTACCAAAGACTACTTACACCCATTCGATTGTAAAAACAACTTACTTTTCTTTTACAAGCCAATCAGTGTTAGCTTAGCCCCTTACTTCTGAAAGTCAGTCAATTTAAAGTTAGGAAGAAAGTCACTACCATAAAATACCCAAGTGCCAACCAATCAACAACGGTCTCACCCACGTAATCATTCCTCTATAGATTATGTTAATCTGCTTCTGCTGCCTCTTAAAATTTTCTAATCCCTGAGCACCACACTCCCCCAAAACACTATATAAAACTAGCAATTTGCTTTGTTCCAGGACATTGTGCCCATTAGATATTTTAGATAGTGATGGTCTCATCATCCTTTGACAACAAACAAGGAAACAAACCAAAGGAAAGAAGAGATGAGATATGGAAAACAAGATATCCAACACAAGAGAGAAGTGAAGGAATACCAGCGAATGGGACTCTAGGATGGTAACTGTGCACCAGCAGCAGAAGGCAACCAATCCAGATTGAAGCTATGTGAGAGGGCAGGCATGCTGAAGGCTGTCATCCTCATGCTCTCTGGCATGGTACCATCTTTTGAATCCAACACAACTACTAGAGGATGTGATCCACCTAAGCAAGAGGTAAATGAAGTCTGAAGAAGATATGAGTTCTAACGATATTCGGAGAACCAAACCCAGGAGAGAAAAATCTAAGGATAACAACAAGTGGAAATCATACCAGGAAAACAGCAATGCAGCAGGTGCAGGCTTCAATAGTAGGACACTGGAAGTCTCTAGAAGAGAAATTTCCAAGAATTAAAAAAAAAAAAAAAATTCAAACTGACAGATTACTGTGATTGACCTTGTGGAAAACTGCACCGAGGGGCTATTTAAGACACTATCAGCAAATAAAATTTGCACAGGCATAGTAATGTAAATATAACATTAACTATTAGACTTAACCAAATATTTTAATATAACTAAATTAAGAAGCTAGGGAGAAGCAGCAGTGGAGATGGTATTTAATAACACTAAAACTTTCTCTACCATAATAGAAACTCCAAATATAATGAAAAAAAAAAAACCAGTAAATCAAAAGATAGCATTGTACATACATTATTTTTAAATACAGAGATATGTTGATGCCAGAAGAAATAGCTTAAGGAGTTGAAAGTAGTTACTTTTAGGGAGAGGACTAGAGAGAGTGGGGAGTGGTGGGACAAAAATGACTCACTATATTTTGTTATAAATCCTTTTTTTTTCCACTATTGGACTTTTTAAAACATGTTTATTTTAAACTCTACATCTATTGATAAAATATTTTAAATTATTTTTAAAAAGCCAAATAGCAACATATAAACTTAATTGTTCATCATTCAAAAACATGTCTAAAGAAAACATTTTCAACCGAAAGGGACAGAACATCCTACAGAAAAAGTTTCCTTTTTGTTAGAAGATCTTTATATTTCTAATAGTGAAAGAGCACAAACACACAAAATATAGAAGCTTCAAAAATAAAAAAAATTTAAGCAAATAATTACCAATTGAGTAGACAGTAAAGATTCAGGAATTGTAATACTAGAAAGATTATAGGTCTGACCTTACTTACAAATTCATTAATGATCAGGAGACAGTGCAAATAACACATTTAATTAAATCTGCTCATTTATCTATTTTAGGAAGTATAATTAACAGCAGTGAGACAGAGTAGTAATATAAAAGGACAGAGACAGATTAAAAACATTGGCCAAAAAAACAACCAAATTGGAGAGTATTTCCAAATAGAAGACTGGGTAAAATTACAGGCTTAAAACAACAGAAGAGGGTTATCAGCAGCTTATTTACCATCAGTTTTACTTCACACTGTTGTCACATGAAATAATTTTGGCCAACACTAATGTTAAATGGGGGGATGTATACACACACATGCACATAAACACATACATACGTATATATACGGATATTTTTTTCTTTATGAGAAACTGATAATCCTAATTAAGCAAGGATTCATGAAGAGATTACATCCTAAAAACAACATCCTGTTGATGCAATTTGACAAGAGTGAATTTGTACTCATAGTTCAGTAATTATAAAAACTCTATCAAGAATAATCAATAATGAATTAAACTGTCCTAAAGACAATTAACTGTTATCTACCCTGTATTCTTCATCTAGCTACACTGGGATTATTCTCACTGTTCCTGCTCTTTATTTGAACGGCCAGGCACTGACCATTCAAAATAAAGTCTACATTTCCCAGCCTCTCCAGCAGCAAGGTGTGGCTATGTGGCTAAGTTTGACCAATGGAATATGAGCAAAAGTAGTATACACGGAACTCCCTAATCCAAAATCTATAATGCTACAAAATCTAAAATGTTCTGAGTGTCAACATGATGCCACAAGTAAAAAATTCCAAACCTGATCTCATGTGACAGGTTGCAGTCACAATGCAGGTACCCAACACATAGTTTATTCAGTGTCCCCAAGGAAAGAAAGACCCTCCCAGCTGCCATCAGCTGCAATATATATCTGCACACACCAGATTCCTCCATACAAGCATGCCCACAAAGGGTAATAAAATGACACGTGTACACGCTGGATACACCAATGGGAGGCTCCCCACAATGCCTCACATGGGGCTAAGATGTACTGCCTTACTATTACTCACTATGCTCTTTCTTCCTTTTTTTTTTTTTTTTTTTTTGCTTATTCTCTGCTCTGTAGTATAACGATATGGTTGAAAGTATCAAAAAGGCCTGCATGATATCCACAGAGTAATGCAAACATTCCAAAATGTGAAAACAATGTGAAACCGTTCTCTGGATCTAAGCATATTGATAAGGGATACTCAACCTGTAATATAACTTCCAGGAAGTATCCTTAAAGGAAGTGAGATGTGTCCTTCTCTTTCTCCTTCTGATGATTGCAATGTATGTGAAAAAGCTGAAGCTAGTAGCTCTCTTAGACCCTAAAGTGTCTTTGGAAAATAATAGAATCTGAACACAGTGGGGAAACGTGACACCACGGCAAACCACGTGAGTCCTAAACTGACTACTTCTGGAATTTCTTTTTTTTTTTTTTTTGATGTAAAACAGTTTATTCTTTAAGTGCAGGAGTGTGTAACTCAATCCTTACTTGGCATGACCTTAGATCCTGTTTATAATTTGGTATCTTATTGCCACAAACAGTCCATTCTGTCTGTCTTATGATCACTGTTTCAACATTAAGGCTGGTCAGCTGTTGTGTCTAAACTTCTTTTTTTTTTTTTTTTTTTTTTAATTGATCATTCTTGGGTGTTTCTCGCAGAGGGGGATTTGGCAGGGTCATAGGACAATACTGGAGGGAAGGTCAGCAGACAAACAAGTGAACAAAGGTCTCTGGTTTTCTTAGGCAGAGGACCCTGCGGCCTTCCGCAGTGTTTGTGTCCCTGGGTACTTGAGATTAGGGAGTGGTGATGACTCTTTAACGAGTCTGCTGCCTTCAAACATCTGTTTAACAAAGCACATGTTGCACCGCCCTTAATCCATTTAACCCTGAGTGGACACAGCACATGTTTCAGAGAGCACAGGGTTGGGGGTAAGGTCATAGATCAACAGCATCCCAAGGCAGAAGAATTTTTCTTAGTACAGAACAAAATGAAGTCTCCCATGTCTACTTCTTTCTACACAGACACAGCAACAATCTGAATTCTCTATCTTCTCCCCACCTTTCCCCCTTTTCTATTCCACAAAACCGCCATTGTCATCATGGCCCGTTCTCAATGAGCTGTTGGGTACACCTCCCAGATGGGGTGGTGGCCGGGTATAGGGGCTCCTCACTTCCCAGAAGGGGCGGCCGGGCAGAGGCGCCCCCCACCTCCCGGACGGGGCGGCGGCCGGGCGGAGGCGGGCCCCCACCTCCCTCCCGGACAGGGCGGCTGGCTGGGTGGGGGCTGACCCCCCACCTCTCTCCCGGACAGGGCGACTGGCCGGGCAGGGGCTGACCCCCCTCCTCCCTCCCGGACGGGGTGGCTGCCGGGCGGAGACGCTCCTCACTTCCCAGACGGGGCGGCTGCCGGGTGGAGGGGCTCCTCACTTCTCAGACGGGGCGGCTGCCGGGCGGAGGGGCTCCTCACTTCTCAGACGGGGCGGCTGCCAGGCGGAGGGGCTCCTCACTTCTCAGACGGGGCGGCCCAGCAGAGACGCTCCTCACCTCCCAGACGGGGTCGCGGCCGGGCAGAGGCGCTCCTCACATCCCAGACGGGGTGGCGGGGCAGAGGCGCTCCCCGCATCTCAGACTATGGGCGGCTGGGCAGAGACGCTCCTCACTTCCTAGACGGGATGGCGGCCGGGAAGAGGCGCTCCTCACTTCCCAGACTGGGCGGCCGGGCAGAGACGCTCCTCACTTCCTAGACGGGATGGCGGCCGGGAAGAGGCGCTCCTCACTTCCCAGATTGGGCAGCCGAGCAGAGGGGCTCCTCACATCCCAGACGATGGGCGGCCAGGCAGAGACGCTCCTCACTTCCCAGACGGGGTGGCGGCCGGGCAGAGGCTGCAATCTCAGCACTTTGGGAGGCCAAGGCAGGCGGCTGGGAGGTGGAGGTCGTAGCTAGCCGAGATGGCGCCACTGCACTCCAGCCTGGGCAACATTGAGCACTGAGTGAACAAGACTCCGTCTGCAATCCCGGCACCTCGGGAGGCCGAGGCTGGCGGACCACTCGCGGTTAGGAGCTGGAGACCAGCCCGGCCAACACAGCGAAACCCCGTCTCCACCAAAAAAATATGAAAACCAGTCAGGCGTGGCGGCGCGCGCCTGCAATCGCAGGCACTCGGCAGGCTGAGGCAGGAGAATCAGGCAGGGAGGTTGCAGTGAGCCGAGATGGCAGCAGTACAGTCCAGCTTCGGCTCGGCATCAGAGGGAGACCGTGGAAAGAGGGCGAGGGAGACCGTGGAAAGAGAGGGAGAGGGAGACCGTGGGGAGAGGGAGAGGGAGAGAGAGAGAGCGAGCTGGAATTTCTTACTCAACAGACATGAACTTCTATCACATTTAAGTCTCTGGTACTTGGTTGCAACTAAATCTAATCCCAATTCATATAACCTCTACACTAACATATGTGCCTTGTTTTCCTTTTTTCTCTAAACAATCTCCCTCTACTCTTTTACTGGCTCCTTTTCTGCCTCCTGCACCCTTACTATGGGTATTCCCTAATTCTTCATCCTTAGTCTTTTCTGCTCTTCTCTAAGGTTTAGGCCAAACAGTCTTAAAAAACATATCTCTATGTCTCATCTATTGAGCTCCAATTTTATATTCAGCTGCCTATCATTCCACTAGCATGCGACATAATTATATAGGAACATAACTAATTTTTAAAACAAAATAGATAAACAGACAAAGTGGTGGTAGAAACAATAATAGTAGTTGCGGTGGTGGTAATAAATAGCTAATATTTACTGAGCTCTTAGTATTTGCCAGCCACTGTTCTCAGAGCCAATCCTCACAACAATCCTACAAAGTAGAGTATTATCACCACCTCCATTTTACAAATGAGGAAATGAGGCCCAGACAAATTAAATAAATTGCTCAAGACACAATGCACTAAAGAGATCATTCAAACCTAGGTCTCCAGAACCCAGCCTCTTAACCAGCGCACACTAGACCTTCTTCCAAAGTACTATCACACATTCTTCCAGTTCCAAAATGGCAGCGTAGAAGCAAGCTGGCTTCACTCAACTGCCCCATAGAAAACCAAAAACAAATACAAAGTGCTGAGATTATCACAAGCAATATCCCAGAATTCAAAAATGAGGAGGAGACAGTTTCAGGGCCATGGAGAAGTGAGAAAATCTAAGCAGGAAAGGAAAACCGAACTTCCATAACCATGATGCCCCTTTCACCAACATGCTCAGCACCAAGAATGCAGAAAATTTCCCCCCGACTCACAATCACTACACCGGAAAAAGAGAATAAGGTGGACAACCAGCTTCCCACCATCGTAGGATCTCTGGCAGGAGACCTGTCTCTGCCTCAAATTACAGGCAGTTTTGGGAGTATGTAAAGGAAGAAGTATCCCTGAGGACAGCCAGAGACAAAGAGGGGAGGGGGGACTACTGTTCCCAGCCCTAGAAACTCTGCTCTGTGACTCAGCCAAACGAGATGCCAAATCAAAACAGCTGTTCAGCAGCACCACGCTGTAGGAGGTTCATTCCACAAGTCACCTGGGCATGAACCCATAGCCAGCCTTCTCACACTACTGGAATATCTCCTGTGGGATGCCTCCCATGCAGGAGGGGCAGCATACTGATTGGTTACTAGAACCGAGGCAAACCTGGGCTTAAGGTGACAGCTGGTGCCGAAAAGGAGGCAGCAATCTAGCAGGAAAAAAAAAAAGAAAAAGAAAATCAAGAGATGTATTACAAAGAATCACTAAGCAAACACATAATAAAAACCAAAACAAGTAGATCCAAACATGGGAGCTTGAAAAACAGAAAACAAGGCCAAAAGAAAAGACTGGAACAAAGAACTATCCTTCAATGCAAATATACAGATGCACATCCACAAGAAACAACAGCAAACAGGGAGCCAAGGCCTCCTCTAACAGCAAAGTGAGGAACCAACTGTCCCTAGCAAGACAGCAATTTGGGAACCCTCCAACCAAGAATTCAAAAATAGCCATTTTAAGTGAATTCAGTGATCACCAAGATAACACAGAAAAGCAATTCAGAAACAGATTGGAGAAATTTAACAAAGAGATTGAAATAGTATAAGAAATCAAATATTGGAACTCAGAAATACATTTGCTGAACTGAAAAAGTCATTAGAGGCTCTCAACAGCAGAAAGGATCACACAGAGGAAAGAATCAGTGAACTCAAGAGGCTATTTGAAGATACACAATTAAAGGAGAAAAAAGACCAGCGCTGCCAAGTATAAAAAGCAAATGTTAATAGATCTAAAGGGAGAGATAGACTGCAATACAGTAACAATAGGGGTCTTCAACACTCCACTCTCAGTAAAGGACAGATCATCCAGACAAAAAAACATCAACAAAGAAACATCAGAGTTAAACTACACACTAGAAGAAATCAGCCTGACATTTCTAGAACATCCCACCCAAGTGCCACAGAACACACATGCTTTTCATCCAGACATGGAACATTCTCCAGAACAGACTATATCTTTGAACAAATTCAAAAAAGCAGAAATCATGTGAAGTATCTTTTCTGACTACAATGGAACAAAATTAAAAATCAATAACAAGAAGTAGTTCAGGAAACACACAGATGCATGGAAATTAAGCAACATCTGAATGATCAATGAAGAAATTAAGAAGGAAATTTAAATATTTCTTGAAACAACTAAAAATGGAACTGTAACACACCACAATCTATAGAATACAGCAAAAGCAGCGGTAAGAGGGAAGTTATAGCAATAAATGCCTACATCAAAAAAGCAGAAAGACTTCAAATAATCTAATAACGTGCCTCAAAGAACTAGAAAAGAACAAACCTAGCCCAAAATTAGTAGAAGGAAAGAAATAATAAAGATCAGAGCAGAAATAAATAGAATTTAGACTACGGAAAACCAATGAAATAAAAAGTTGGTTTTTTGAAAAGAGAAACAAAATCGACAAAACTTCAGCTAAACTAAGAAAAAAGTGAAGACCCAAATAAAATCAGAAATGAAAAGGAGACAAAACAAGTGAGACCAAGTGAGACCATAAACACAAAGAATCATTAGAGACTATTATTAACATCTATATGCCAACAAATTGGAAAACCTGGAAGAAATGGATAAATTCCTGGACACATACAACCTATCAAGATTGAACCATGAAGAAACAGAAAAACTCAACAAACCAATAAGAAATAGCCAGATTGAAGCCGTAATAAAAAGTCTCCCATTAAAGAAAAGCTCAGGACCTGATGGCTTCACTGGTGAATTCTACCAGACATTCAAAGAATACCAATTCTGCTCATACTCTTCCAGAAAACTGAAGGAGAGGGAATACTTCCCAACTCATTCTACACAGCCAGCATTACCCTGATTCCAAAACCAGTCAAGGACACAACAAAAAAAGAAAACTATGGGCCAGTATCACTAATGAACATAGACGTAAAAATACTAGAAGATCAAATTCAACAACACATTAAAAAGATAATTCCCCATGATCAAGTGGGATTCATCCCAGGGAGGCAAAGATGGTTCAACATATGCAAATCAATAAACATGACACATTACATTAACAGAACCAAGAACAAAAAACCCTATGATCACTTTTATAGATGCTGAAAAAGCATTCAATAAAATCTAATATCCCTTTATGATAAAAACCCTCAGCACATTGGGTATAGAAGGAATATACAAAATAATAAAGGCTATATATGACAAACCCACAGCTAATACCACACTGAATAGGGAAAAACTGAAAGCCTTTCCTCTAAAATCTGGAACAAGACAAGGATGCCCACATTTACCACTTTTATTCAACATAATACTGGAAGTTCTGGCCAGAGCAATAAGGCAAGAGAAAGAAATACAGGGCACCAAATTGGAAAGGAGGAAGTCCAATTGTCCCTCTTTACAGACAAAACGATTTATATACAGAAAAACCTAAAGATTCCACCAAAAAATTCTTAGAACTGATAAATTCAGTAAAGTTGTAGGACACAAAAATCAACATACAAAAATCAGTAGATTTATATATGCCAATAGAAAAGAATCTGAAAGAGAATTCAAGGAAGCAATCCCATTTGCAATAGCTACAAAGAATCAATTTAACCAAAGAAGTGAAAGATCTATACAAGGAACATTATAAAACACTGATGAAGGAAACAGAAATTGATACCAAAAAATGGAAAGATATTCCATGCTCATGAATTAGAGGGAGTAACACAGTTAAAATGACAATACTACCCAAAGCAATGTACAGATTCAATGCAATCTCTATCAAAATACCAATGACATTCTTCATAGAAACAGAAAAACAATCAAAAAAATTATACAGAATCATAAAAGAACCTGAATAGCCAAAGCAATCCTGAGCAAAAAGAAGAAAACTGGAGGTATCACACTATCTGACTTCAAATTACACTACAAAACTCTGATAACCACATCAATATGGTACTGGCATTAAAACAGACACATAGACCAATGGGACAAAATAGAGAATCCAAATATAAATCCATACATTTACAGCCAATTTATTTTTGACAAAGGCACCAAGAACATAAAATGGGGAAAGAAGAGTCTCTTCAACAAATGGTGCTGGAAAAACTGGATAACTATACTGAGAATGATGAAACTAGGACCTATGTTTCACTGTACACAAAAATCAAATCAAAATGGATTAAAGACTTACATGTAAGGCCTGAAACCATCAAATTATTAGAAGAAAACATTGAGGAATTGCTCCAGGACATTGATCTAGGCAAAGATTTTTTGTGTAAGACCTCAAAAGCACATGCAACCCAGGCAAAATAGACAAATGGGACTACATCAAGCTACAAAGTTTCTGCACAGTAAAGGAAACAATCAAAGTAAAGAGATAACCCACAGAATGGAGAAAATACTTGCAAACTATCCATCTGGCAAAGGATTAATAACAAGAATATACAAGGAGTTCAAACAACTCAACAGCAAAAGAACAAACAAATCAGATTGATTTAAAAACAGGCAAAAGATCTGAATAGATGTTTCAAAAGATGACATTCAAACGGCCAACAGGTATATGAAAAAAATGTTCAACATCACTATTTATCAGAGAAATACAAATCAAAAACCACAATGAGATCTAATCTCACGCCAGTTAAAATGGCTTTTATAAAAAAGGCAGGGCATAACAGATGCTGGTGAGGATATGGAGAAAGGGGAACTCTCCTACACTGTTGGAGGGAATGTAAATTAATAGAGCCACTATGGGGAACAGTATGGAGGCTCCTCAAAAAATGAAAAATAGAGTCATCATATGATCCAGCAATTCCACTACTGGATATATATCCAAAAGAAAGGAAATCAATATATTAAAGAGACATCTGCACTTCCATGTTATTTTTTCACAGCACTATTCACTATATCCAAAATATGAAATCAACCTAAGTGTCCATCAATAGATACATGTAAGAAGAAAAAGTGGTACATATACACAGTGGAATATTATTCAGTCATGAAGAAGAATGAAATTGGGAGTCTCTCTGAATCTATTCTGGTTCAGAAGGTTGCCCTGATAAAAATAATTTAAAAGTAAAACAAAAAATGTTTTAAAGAATGATATCCTGTCATTTGCAGCAACATAAATGGAACTAGAGGTCATTGTGTTAAGTAAAACAAGCCAAGCTCAGAAAGACAAATATCATGTGTTCTCACTTATACATGGGATCTGAAAAGTGGATCTCTTGAAGATAGAATGCAGATTGGTGGGTACCAGAAGCCAAGAAGGGGTGGGGATGGGGAAGATAAAAAGAGGTTGATTAATGGGTACAAACATACAATTTGATAGAAGAAATACGACCTAGTGTTTGATAGATCAGTAGGATGACTAAAGTTTACAATAATTACATATTTCAACTGTTTTTAACAAAACAAAAGACAACTGTGTAAGGTGACGGATATCCCTACTTACTCTTATTAGATCTTTACAAATTATATAAATTTATTATCACATGTCCCCCCCACCAAAAAAATGGGTGAATTGTATAGTATGCAAATTATTTGTCAACAGAGCTGTAACCAAAAAAGATGCTATCACAGCTTAAGACTTTTTAATGTCCCCAACAATCACAATAATTATTAAAATATCCTCCATAGTAATAAATTTGATGTTTCTGCAGATTAATTTTTAGAAACTGCCAATTATTACTTAGAAATATGTATGGTAAATAGATGGGTGACCAAGTAAGATCATATTCTTTTGGGGACAAGGGATATGACCATCAAGTCATGAAAATGGTTTTCTTTTTTTTTTTGAGATGGAGTCTCGCTCTGTCTCCCAGGCTGGAGTGCAGTGGAGTGATCTTGGCTCACTGCAACCTCCGCCTCCAGGGTTCAAGTGATTCTCCTGCCTCAGCCTCCCGAGTAGCTGGGATCACAGGCATGCACCACCACACCCACCTAATTTTTGTATACTTAGTACAGACAGGGTTCCATCATGTTGGCCAGGATGGTCTCGATCTCCTGACCTCGTGATCCGCTGCCTCAGCCTCCCAAAGTGCTGGGATTACAGGCGTGGGCCACCGCGCCCAGCGAGAATGGTTTTCTTATGTGGCTCTACAGGTTCTAAAAGCAGTTTCAAAAGACAAATTCCAAAGAACATTTATTTGCTAGAATAAATGCATGTCCCCAAAAACATTACTTTAAAAGGGGCAGCATTCATTTAGATTAATCAATTTTTAAAGCACCAGACTTTTAAAACTACCACTTAAATAACCTAATGCCTAAAACTGAATATATTAGAAACTGAACTCGTTACCTTTCTCCAAGACCTATCTGAGATCCTTTCCCAATGCCACTATCAATGACACAGTACACTTCATATGTCAGGCTCAAAATTTTGCGGTATTCTGACTCCGATTTCTAACCCCATATCTTACTCTTCTTCTTCCACAAGAGATATCATGTTTTCTATTTTTACATTATTCCTACTTCTGTTTCCACATTATTCCACAGTACAATTGAAATACTGTACTCTTCAGCAATTCCCTCTACTTGAGCTTATCAAACATACAAAGTTGCCAAGGCAGCCTTAGTCAAACACTGTTTTCATTATATGACTCTCAACAGAAGTCCTGTCACCTATTGGATCAAATTTAAGTTTTTCAGCCTAGCCTTCAATATTGTCCCTTAATTCTTCTTCATTATCCCCACACACATATAAACTTAACAAATCCTATCTCCTTACTACTCATCAGTAAAAATCATTCTATTTGTGGAGTACTGTTAAGATCACTTGTTTGTCTCACTCAGTTCACATACTGTACTCATTCTTGCTCCCAACTTCACACCATTCCCTCCAGAGTTTTCTTCTGTCCCCTCCAGTCAATTTGTTACTCTTTCATTTCATTCAAGATCCTTCTCCTCCATTAGGCCTAAATAACCTGACATAAATACTGCTGTATTTTGCACTCCTCAACTTAGAGATCATTCAGTAGCAGAACCAGAAGAATCTCAAAGATAGACCAGACTAGGACTTCTTTTGCGTATGAATAATGTTCTAAGCAGAGGGTTAACTTTCATAAGATTGTTGTGTCAATACTTTGGAAATCTGACAGCTGACACATGGAAGCCCAGAGGTATCCTATAACTTGCCCTAGTTTTCAGTTTGGCAAGGACAAAGCCAGAATTTGAACCCCAGTCTCCTAGGTTCCCATCCAAAACGAAGACAAATCTAAAGATTACTGCCCAGGCTGGGCACGGTGGCTCACGCCTATAATCCCAGCACTTTGGGAGGCGGAGGTGGGCAGATCACAAGGTCAGGAGTTTGAGACCAGCCTGGCCAACATGGTGAAACCCCATCTCTACTACAAATACAAAAATTAGCCAGGTGTGGTGGTGCGCCCCTGTAATCCCAGCTACTCGGAAAGCTGAGGCAGGAGAATTGCTTGAACCTGGGAGGCGGAGGTTGCAGTGAGCTGAGATCACATCACTACACTCCAGCTCTGGTGACAGAGCAAGACTCCATCTCGGGAATGAATGAATGAATGCATAAATAAATAAATAAATAAATATTACTGCCCAGTAATATAACTCATGCTACATTCCACATTTTTGTTTTTGTAGAGATGGGTCTCACTAAATCACCCTGGCTGCTCTCAAACTCCTGAGCTCAAGCAATCTTCTTGCTTCGGACCCCCCACAAAATGCTGGGATTACTGAGCCACTGCCCCGACCCACTATATATTTTTTAAAGCAGGACACAAAGTTTATATATAACAGCAAGAGATTACAATTTAAGTATGTGTGTGTGCTACGGTAATAGACACACAGAAAACAGAATAGGGTAATAAACCCCAATGTTAACAGTTACTTCAAGGTGGTGAAAATATGGTTGTATTTTCCAAATCCTCTATAATGAATACATATGAACTATTAATATGTTTAATTACAAAGTAATGCCCTAGACCCTGGTTGGAATAGTTTATAATGTACGGTCATATACTGAATTTATGACAGTAGTAATAACTCAAAAAGTTAAAACTACATGACATTATGAAGTCAAAGATACATTCCTCAACCCTGATTTTAATGTTTTCTCTCCACTGAGGGGGCAAACTGCAAGTTAATAAACTGCAGCCAAGATCTTATCCTAATTTTTGAAGCACTGTCCTTCACCAAAGTGTTAGAAGCAATGAAAAGTTTCAGGATACCCAAGGAAGCAAACAAGAAACATGGTACAAAAAAGAAATACTATGGCAAAAAGGCAAAGAACAGCAATGTCACAGTGACTAATACTGGAGGAAAAAACCAAGAACTACATGGCTCCTGGGGCTTGTCAACTCCAGTACTTAATTTAAATCAGTGGTTCTCACACGAAGGATCAAGAGGCATAAAAAGTCACTAGAAATTCTGAACGTATTGAGAGATGGTCACAAGTTTGAAACAGTTACGTGTGATGGTAAGAGAGAATTACTGATCATATAAACAAATCAAGACTATTTCTTTTCCTTCTGGATCTTCTCCTGAAATGAAAGCACAAAAGTTCTGGGAAGATTCATGTGATAAAAAAGTTCAGAACTACCAAAACAAGCTAATAATCTCATCTTTTCCTAACACTAAGTTTTTAACTGCAGTCCAAAATCCCTAATCCAAAACTTGTGGGACCAGACAAGATTCAGAAATCAGAAATTTTCAGATTTAGAAAAGGTTAATATGGTAAATGTTCCATATGTCACAAAATATTCCAACCAGAATCAAACACATTAGTATTTCTTCTTCTTCTGTTTTTTTTTTGTTTTGTTTTGTTTTGTTTGTTTGTTTTTTTTTGGAGACAGAGTCTTACTCTGTGGCCCAGGCCAGAGTGCAGTGGCATAACCTCAGCTCACTATAATCTCTGCCTCCCAGGTTCAAACGATTCTCCTGCCTCAGCCTCCTGAGTAGCTGGGACTACAGGCACATGTCGCCAGACCTGGCTAATTTTTGTATTTTTAGTGGAGACAGGGTTTTGCCATGTTGGCCAGGCTAGTCTCAAATTCCTGACCTCAAGTTATCTGCCCGCCTCAGCCTCCCAAAGTGTTGAGATTACAGGTATGAGCCACCGTACCCGGCCTACTTTTTTTTTTTTGAGACAGAGTCTCACTCTGTCGCCCAGACTGGAGTGCAGTGATGCAATCTCCACTCATTGCAACCTCCACCTCCTGGGCTCATGTGATTCTCATGCCTCAGCCACTCTAGTAGCTGGGACTACAGACACATGCCACCATGCCCAGCTAATTTTTGTATTTTTAGTAGAGACAGGATTTCCCCACATTGGCCGGGCTGGTCTCGAACTCCTGGCCTTAAGTGATCCACTCGCCTCAGCCTCCCAAAGTGTTGGGATTACAGGTACAAAAAAAGAAAAGAAAGAGAGAGAGAAAAAAAGAAAGAAATGAACCTGGAACTGATTACATCTCAGAGGTGAGATCATGAGTTGATTTTGTTTATTTCCTGATTTTCTAAACTGTCTGCAGTGAACATGCATATCGTTTATAAAACAAGACTTGTTTTAGTAAATGGGGTTGAGGCAAGACCCAAGTATAGAAATTGACCAACTTGCAAATTCAGTTAAAAAGAAATAATAAGATCTTGTTCAGAGCTTAAAAGCCAAGAAAATAATTTAAAATTGCTTTAGGTTTAAAAGTTTTTACAAGTTTAGTACAAATTTTTTAACAAAATAACACCATCAGCAGTAGGGAAAAACCCTTACTTTCAATAGAACATTTATTCATTGACATTTAAAAAGTGATACTGTTTTATTAACTCATTTTTTAACTTGCTACCTCCCACCCCCACAATGTTTTTCTTACAGTGACTCTGACACTCCTGTGAGAAGCAGATCCCATGTAACTGTCACTCTCTCCTTGAATCTGGCAAGCTTGTGATACTACAGAACTTCTAAGGCTTGGTCACAAAAAGTAATGCAGTTTCCACCTGGTTCTCTCTAGATGTTCACTCTTAGAAAACAGCCACCACCATGCTGCAAAGAAGCTCAAATTAGCCTATCTGGGTAGGTAGGTGTTCTGAGGGACAATCAACATCAATCACCAGCCATGTGAGTGAAGAAGCCTCCAGGTTCTAAGTACCAGCCATAAAGTCACCACCAGCTTTTGAATCTTCCCAGCTAAGGCTTAAGCAAGCCATCTGTGCAGAAACTGTCCTGTCTGAATTCCAACAGATCCATAGCACAATAAAATGGTTGTTTTACACCATTATGTTTTGGAATGGCTTGCTACAAACACAACAAAAGGTAACCAGAAAAAAAGTGCCCTTTCCCAGTTTGGTAGCTTTACATTACACACATACACACCACCCCTAAAATCAAGTTTTTCTCAACTTTAAGGAAGGTCCAATCCAATGTGCAATTTGGCAGACCTGTTTAAATAAGACAGTTTCTACTTAGGAGGCTTAACAATTCATCTCATATATACCCTGAATACCTATGATATGTAAGATACTTTCCTAGATTCCTAAGACACAAAGATGAATAACATATAGTCTGTAGTTAAAAGTTTACAATCTAGGAAGAGAATAAAATGGGTACACACTAGTTTATGAAAGTACCTAAGTGCCAAAATAGGATTATAAAGTTAACTCTGCCACAAATAGTTACAGCATCATTTTGGACTTATAAACAGCTTTTGGGTCCTTCAGGAAAGTAGATGGGCTTTAGTAAATGCCTAGAAAAAGAAGACTGGGAAAAAAAAAACATGAAAAATGTGGGCCTCATTATGTTATGTTTAGATTGTGAGATTATGAGTGTTTTCTGTTCTCCTTTTAAATTTCCTGTATTTGCCATGTTTTCTATAGTAAGTTATATATTAGATTTTTTGAGGAAAAAATTAATATTAATCTTAATTTTTTTAAAAATGTGTTTAAACTACACTGAGAGGTCACGTAAGTAGTTAACAGGTAATACATAAATTGACTTGATATTTGCATGCTGAATATGCAAAATAAACTTAGTATTTAAGGAAAAATGTTAGTGTAATAAAAATTTCATGTTACTTGATTTACTATTAATATCTGTTTATTTTCCCTTTCCTAGCCAACTATAAATATTTACATGTTCTTCTCAAATAACAGACAAAAATCCAATAAGCTCTCCATCTTACTCATGACATTCACTCTTTCTGTCTCCCTCCCTGTATCTGTCTGTCCCTCATTTCTAACTCTGCCCGTCTGTCTACATCTCTGATTACCCTGCTTTCTAACTCTGCCTAGGTGACTGTCCCTCTCTGTTTTTGACTTCTCTGTCTCTGACTGACCCTCCTCTCTCTCTGCCTATTGCATGTGTCTCTATGACTCTGTGTGTAGGTGTCTTTGAGCTCCTCTCTTGGATTCTGCCTTTCCGTCTCTCCCCCAGTTATCCACCTCATTTTTAATACATCCTTGCTGTTTACTTTTCCTTTTAATATTTATAAACAAGCAGAGTTGGTTTTATTAACCCTATTTTAAAGACAAGAAAACAGAAACAGGACGACTGGCATACAATTTGAGAAATCAGGATGTAAATCCAACTGCTTCCCTTCTTTCTTTAATAGTCTTCTGGCATTCCATGGCAAAGAACTTGAAACAGCACAACTGCAAGCCAATATGAACACTACAGGCATTCAGATTCTTTTCTAAGAGACAAATGTGATATTAAGGAGTGCTACACACCTTTTGCCCACATTATTCACTCTGCACAGGTTAAATGGTCATGAACTGTCAGCCATTTGCCTATCCCAGAAATCCGTATCCTCATGTTCAGTTTGACCCATGTTATTTGGAAACCTCACGATACTAGATACTAGAATCTGTTTTCCAACAGTGCTTCTCTGCTTCTGTTTTTATCCCTAGTCCCAATCCAGCTATATCTGGCATTAAAAAAAAAGATACAAGAAGGACAACAAATATTAATAAAACTGAAGGGTGAATTTGAAGAATGAAAAACTATACAGAAGGCTAGCATGAGACAGTGAAAAATGGACACCACAGACTCGAAGCAATTGGTCCATGTTTTATTAAGAGAAAAGAAAATTCTCTCCAAATGCAGGCTTACTGCTGCTAAGTAACACCCTATAACTTTTCCTCTATCTAATGCTTTGACAACTGGAATTTCTCTGTAATTCAATAAGCTCTTAGGAGTTCCCCAAGCTTCATCCATCCTGCTGGGCTCATTACTGGATAATTCTAAATGTTTTCTGCACTAGCGAAGAGCACATTTCCTCGTGGGTAGCACAACAGAAGGAGGGTACTCTTTCAAGGCATGAATAGCCTAGCTCCATTTCTTCTCACTTCTCCTATAGGTGAGAAGTCTACAACAAATATAATTCAACAACTAAAAGAAATGTCTAAATTATAAGCTTAGGTTACTGGGGTTGTCAAAGATCATCCTACAGGTCACGAGTTTTATACATAGTGTGACGGCTAATCATATATTTATATAAGCTAATGAAAAATCTATACTTTTGCTTCTGGCACTAGTTCATTTACTTATGTCTAATGAGTTGCATTAGGGCCAAATAAAAAATATACCAGTCTTTTCATTCATTCTGGTGAGATATTTGTGAATAGTTAGCTTATGGAGCTAATGAGGACAAGGTCACAGACTCAAACTCCATGCTGGCCAATTAGCTTTGCTGTGTGTTTCTAGGTTCCATGGTCACAGTCAACAACCTTAACCTTGGCTAAGAAACACACTGATCATTGAAGCATTAGGGGAATGAATATAGATGTATCAACAAAATCCATACCTTTCAGAAAAAAAATAAAAATTAAAAATAGTAATAACAACACCACCCCAATCTTTAATATTATACTAAACCTGGCTAATATGTGCCTCATTCGAATAATCTTTAATCTTCTCAACCATGCAGGGTTAGTCTAATCTGTCTTCCAGATGATGAGAAACTGAATTCAGAATGATCATATGAACCAAAGTTACATCTAGTGAGCCTGGATTCAGACCTTGGTCTGTCTTGACTCCAAAGCATAGGTTATTGCCACAATGCTACATGGCCTCTCCAGAGTGCACCTCAGTGACCTAGGACAATCAACAAAATGTTCCTATTCAGAACTATTCAGCACACTCATTACTGAGCATCCACTATACATACTCACACACTATAGATGAGAATTAGCATACCTTCCAAAAATTCCTTTTAAGTAAAAAACAGTCAAGGAACAAAAGTGTTTAATTGATTTTTTTTTTTTAATAAAGATGAAGTCTCACTTTGTTGCCCAGGCTGGTCTTGAACTCTTGGCCTCAAATGAGCCTACCTCAGAGGATCTCAAAATGCTGAAAGTACAAGAGTGAGCTACCAGGCCCAGCCAAAAGTGTTTAAGATTAAAACATAAAGGAAAAATTAACACATTATAGCATACAAAGTAGATTTTAATGGAAGTGACTTTCTATTGTCATAGCTTTGTATACAAGTCTGGTGTGAAAAAATAGTTATCTTGCTGATTCATAACTAAAGGTAAGAAAGAAGCTGGCAAAACATAGCACAGGCATACCACATCAAAAAAGAGAGTAAAGGAAACATTTCCTAAGCATCTGAATCTGCAGATATCTGGTAGTCAACATGGCACTTGAAGGAAGTAAAAAATATATACTTCAATTCTAAACTCCAAGACTTTGCCTTGACCAACAAACCATTTTTCTCTATAAGGCTTTCCTCCTTGGTTTTTCTCAACTCTCACTCCCTGCAGATACATACATACCAATGCCATCATTAGCATCAGTCACTAAGAAATGCCATCTTGAAAAAATGAAGGTCACCAAGTCTCCCAGACCCTATCCAATAAGCTTAAATTTTAAAGTCTAATAGTCTGGCTTAAAAAAAATAAAAATAAAAATAAGGCAGGAAGACAAAACTGTTCCATAAACGTCTATCCTAGTCAATATCTGAGTCATAAAGATAGATAATTGCTCTGCTACAAGCTACAATGTACAGAATTGCATTCTTACTACAGGTTGTAAATGAAGCACCAGTTCAATTTCAACAAACTAGGTACAAAGCAACATTTGGAATCTCTAGAAAAACAGAAACACAGCAAAGCCCAATAACCTTGCACAACAGCATTTTAGGAACCTCTAAAGTTGAAAAAAAATCTAATATAATTTTTATATAAAATGCAATTGCTAAAAAACAAACTGCAATCTGACAACTTCTATTTACAGTATTTTTTAAAGTTTGTGAATTAAGGATGACTATCCTCATTTTACAGATAAATGGAATTTCAGGAAAATACCTAAAATTATCATCATCACTATTATCATAATCATCAATAACAACAGCAACAAAATAATGAGAACTTTATTTGTACCCAGCACTAGTAAGCCATTTATGGTCACATCTCATTTCATCTTTGTAGACACCTTGTGACATAATGCCATTTACCTCCATTTGAGAGATTAGGAAACAGGCTCAGAGAAGTCAACTAATTTGCCCAAAATCAAAAACTACAGGTTGAGAATCCCTAATCGGAAAATCCGAAATCCAAAATGCTTACAAACTTTTTTTTTTTTGAGACGGGAGTCTTGCTCTGTCGCCAGGCTGGAGCACAGTGGTGTGATCTCGGCTCACTGCAACCTCAGCCTCCCGAGTTCAAGCGATTCCCCTACCTCAGGCTCCTGAGGACATGGGACTACAGGCGCACGCCACCACGCCCAGCTAATTTTTTTTGTATTTTAGTAGAGATGGGGTTTCACCATGTTGGCCAGGATGGTCTCGACCTCCTGACCTCGTGATCTGCCCACGTCGGCCTCCCAAAGTGCCAGGATTACAGACGTGCGCCACCGCGCCCAGCCCCAAAAACTTTTGACACCACCAGTGGAAAATTCCACACCCGACCTTATGTGACAGGTCTTAGTAAAAATTCAATCCAAACTTAGTGTTATGCCCAACAGAGTCTCAATCTATCGGCCAGGCTAGAGTGCAGTGGCCCAATCTCTGCTCACTGCAACTTCCACCTCCAGGACTCAAGCGATTCTCGCGCCTCAGCCTCCCGAGTAGCTGGGACTACAGGCGTGCACCACTACACCTGGTTAATTTTTTGTACTTTTAATAGAGATGGGGTTTCATTATGTTGCCCAGGCTGGTCTTGAACTCCTGAGCTCAGGCAATCTGCCTGCCTCAGCCTCCCAAAGCGCTAGGATTACAGGCGTGAGGCACCGCGTCTGGACACAAATTATTAAATTATTAAAAATACTATATAAAATTACCTTTAGGCTATGTATATAAGGTATATATGAAACCTAAATCAATTTCATGTTTAGATTGGGGTCCCATCCCAAAGATATCTAACTATGTATATGCAAATATACCAAAATCTGAAATTTGAAACACTCTGGTACCAAGCATTTCAGATAAGGATACTCCAACCTGTAGTAAGACACAGCACCAGGACTTGAACTCAAATTTGCTCGAATTTGTACACTAAGCTAATGCAACTTACTGTCATCCTCTCTTGTTTTTTGGACCATTTTCAAGTATTCTTCAATCAATAAATTCAGAATAAACACAGACTAAAAATACCTAACTACACTTTCTTACCCCTTTAAAAATTAATCGCAGAGGTCGGGCACAGTGGGCACAGTGTCAAACGCCTGTAATACCAACACTTTGGGAGGTCGAGGCGGGAGGATCATTTGAGCCCAGGAGTTAGACCAATCTGGGCGACATAGTGAAATCCTGATTCTACCCAAAAAAAAAAAAAAAACTGATTGCAGAATTAGCATTCTCTGTAAGGGGAAAAATAAGACAATAAGCAACTTGCTTAGTCTCAAAGCTTAATGTCAAAAAAAATTAAACAGATGGGATATTTGGCTATTTATATTCTGAATTTCAACTGTGACACAAGACACAAGACCTGCTGGGGACAGGTATTAGTTGTAGTACAACCATATCTGAGGAACGTTTACTGCTTTATGCTTGTACCTGTGTGATACTGAAGGAAGGTTATAACAGCAAGAGATAGTTGTGTGTGCTGAGGAAGAAGAGTCTAAATTCTGGTGGGCCTTAAAATCCAGATGAAGTTTTAAATTGACTCCACAGGTGGTAACGCCCTAAGGTCACCTCTTCACTAGGAACCTGGCATAAAAACATCTGTATGGTTCAGATTCGTTTCCAAAGACACTTTCCCCCTATTTATTAACTAATTTGATCTTCGTATAGACATGAACCTGGTTTTAAAACTCAACTGACCTAGACTGGAGACTGGGGGATGGCAAGGTTATACCCGAAACATACTTTAGAGTTCAAAGCTTTCGCAGGAATATCACTTCTGCTGAAGCCCACAACCCTGGAAGGCCGCAGGGCAAAGAACATTAACCCCACTTTTCAGACAACGAAACCGAGGCTGCGCTAAACAGACTACTGTACAAAAGATCACAGGTCCAGCCAAGTGGCGGACTGAGACTTCCCCCAGGATATCAGACTCCAAATCCTGTGCTCCTTCCCGTACACAACTGAGAGGGGGCTGCACTCACAAACTTTAAAGATCGGACTTGGGGTTTTTCGCAGGCCTGCCAAGAAAAAGCAGGAAGTACATGCTCCTTTATAGATTGCTCACTCCCAGCCCGTAGCCCGGGGCTCCCGGGCAGCGGAGGAGGCTCAAAGGCGAGGCTCGAAGCGAAGCCCGGAAACCGCCGGCAGCCCTGGGGGCCCACGGCCCCGCAGCCCCGAGGGGGTAACCAGGGACCCCGCTCAATACCTGTTGAAACCCAGAAAAAGCACGTCCTTTCCGCCAGGATCATTTGGGGCGAGCGCCCAAAGCGAGCACGAGCCCCAGTGAGTGCAAAAGAGCCCCGGGAGGGTCCCTCTCAACCGCGGGCCCGCAGGGGTCAGAAGGCGGGAGCTTCCCAGTAACCTCCGCCCCAGGCAGGGGGCGGCCCCTCGCGTCACATGAGGAAAAAAAATACCAGCAACAAACGACGGAATGGAAGTCTTGTCCCGGGCTGTGAAGGGAGAAGTGGGGATTAAAAATCCTAGCTTGAGGTACAGAGGGAGGGGATACGGGGCTGGTTGTTACCGGCGCGCTGTTGCTCTCCGCTTCCGCCGTCTCCGCGAAGCTCTATCTCTTCCGCTCGCGCCGCTGGGGCGCGCGTCAGGCCTCGGCTCCGCCCCCAACGCCGTGGGGCCTTCTGGGGGTTGTAGTTTCCGCGAGGCCCGGCCGCGCCCACTGAGTTCAGGTCACGTAGGGGAGAAGCTGGCAAAATGGCGAGTGCCGGAGAGCATTTCTGCTCCTGTCCCTTCAACCCTTCCTCATTCCTCTCGGCTATATACGTGCGCAAATCTCCTTACATTCCACTCAATTATACCATCTCACTTCCTCCGTTCACAGCCAAGTTTTTTGAAAAAGATAATCTACACTGTCTCTACTTGCTCATCTGTGTTCACTCCTCATCGCAGCTTCCGCCCCCATGGAAAATGCCTTGTTGTCATAAGTGTCCTTGTTGCCAAACTCATTGGAGGTATTTCCGGACTCATCTAACTCAAGCTTTAGTCATTTGACGCTATTGGGCATTATCACTTATTTTCTATGACACTATCCAGGTTTTCCTTCTCTGAATTCATTCTACTTTGTTTCCTCTAACTTACCTCTAAAATATTGGTGTTTTCCAGAGTTCTTAAAATTGGGGTGGGAGAGGGGACACTCCAGTCCCTTCTCACCTGAGCTCATTGTTTGTATTCCCAACTTCCTAGACAAGACCTCTCCTCATCCATGCCCACAGGCATCTCCAGTGTCCTTGAAAAGTGAACTACTGGGGCCAGGAACAGTGGCTCATGCCTGTAATCCCAGCACTTTGGGAGGCCAAGGCAGGTGGATCACCTGCGGTCAGGAGTTCGAGACCAGCCTGACCAACATGGTGAAACCCTGTCTCTACTAAAAGTACAGAAATTAGCTGTGCGTGGTGGTGGGCACCTGTAATCCCAGCTACCCAGGAGGCCGAGGCAGGAGAATTGCTTGAAGGAGAATCGCTTGAACCCGGGAGGCGGAGGTTGCAGTAAGCCAAAATTGCACCACTGCACTCCAGCCTGGGCAACACAGGGAGACTCCGTCCCCCAAAAAAAGAAAAGTAAACTACTACCCCTCCTCCCTACTCATTAATATTCACTCTTTAACCTGATTCCTCCTTTCTCACTTCCTCTTCCTCCAATATTCAAATGGTCACCAAATCTTGGAGATTCTATTGTAGCAGGACGAGCCGCAGACAAAACCTCTCAGACACCAAGTTGTAGAACGAAGGGCTTTATTCAGCTGGGAGCATCGGCAAGCTACTGTCCTAAAATCCAAGCTCCCCGAGTGCACAATTTCTGTCCCTTTTAAGGGCTCACCACACTAAAGATTTCACATGAAAGGGTCGTGATTGATTGAGCAATCTGGGGTGTATGTGACAGGGGCTTCATGCAGTGGTAGTCAGAGTGAAACAGAACAGAGTACAATGTTCTTCCATACAATGCCTGGAATCTATGCTAAGTCATGAGTTGATTTTTAACTACTAGGTTTAGGCCAGGCAGGCCCAGGCCTGGTTTCAGGTCTGGTTTTGGGTCTGGTGCCTGGTGCTGGGCTGCCTGCCTTTGGTTTCACTTCCTTGTTTTTTTTCTTAAAACAGGTACTGAGTATAAAACAATATAAAACAATATGAGAGGGTCTCTTTCTTCTCTCACTATCTCCCAAGTACTCCTTGAATCTGTTCCTTCTTCAGGACTCCTAACTCATGACTCAGCTGCTCCTGTGGCCCCACCCAGAGGTGGACTCAGAGCATGAGGACTGTTTTCCACACCCCTATGATTTCATTCCCAACCCATCAGCAGCACCCATTCCCTAGCCCCCTGCCCACCAAAATGTCCATAAAAACCCTAACCTCTGAACCTTCAGGGAGTTTGATTTAAGATAACTCTGTCATCAATTAAATTCTTTACTGCTCTGCCATGGTCTCAGTGAATTGGTTTTGTCTGTGCAGTGGGCAGGAAAAACTCACCAGGCAATCAGAATCCAGTATTGTGGTTGGGAGGTTCAGTGAAAGAAGATTTATAGGAAATCTTACTGTAGGGTAGGTGGACATGGGCATTTTTTAAAAAATTCCCGAGGAGGCCCACTGTGGTGGCTCATGCCTGTAATCCCAGCAACTGGGGAGGCTGAGGTGGGAGGATTACTTGAGCCCAGGAGGTCAAGACCAGCCTAGACAACATAAGGAGATCTCATCTCTGCAAAAAAAAATTTTTTTAATTAGCCAGCCATGGTGGCACAAGCCTGTAGTCCTAGCCACTTGGAAGGCTGAGGTGGGGAGATTGCTTGAGCCCAAGAATAAAGTTATGGTGGGCCATGATTGTGCCACTGCCCTCCAGCCTGAGCAATCCTGTCTCAAAAAAATTAAAAATAAAATAAAGTTCCCTGGTTATTCAGTCATTCAACAAAATACATTTTGTTGCTTGCTATGTACCAGTGCTGGGTACTGAGAAAACAACAGTGAACCGAATATTACCTGCCCTTGTGGAGTTTACATTCTCTTGGAAGAGACAGATATTAAATGATTTCATACCAAAAATCAAAACCAACAAAAAACCCATAGTTACCAGCTGTAATAAGAATTATGGAGGAAAAGTATTATAATTGGTCCCTTTCCCCTTCTCTCCCACCTGCCCCAGCCCAGATTGGGAATCAGTTTATGTTCCTTACCCTATCAAACAAAGCCTGTCAGGAGCTAATCTCCTTCTTCTCCCTCCCATAGACACCTTAGATTTACCAAACTGCTGTAGCGCTTGCTCTTTAACCTTTGTATAAGCTCTCCCTCTGTTTGGAAAACCCTCTCCCTTCTCCCTTGACTAACTTATACTGCTATGTAATTCTCCTCTGTGGGATTCAGAGGAAACCCAGTAGAACACCAGCCACACGAAAGGATTTTCTGAGGATTGTGCTGAGTCAGATGATAAGCCTCAGGCATTACAGCAGTGGGCTCAGTAGGGGACCCAGAAACAGTGAAATGTGGCCTATGGGGAACTGGACTATGTTATTCAGTTTAGAGGTATCAGGCCAGAGCCAGCATACCCACCCTTCAAAACACAAGTCAAGTATCATCTCCTCCAGGAAGCCTTTGCTGAACTCGGCCCCCCACCCCCACCAAGACAAATTAGTGCTCCTTTCCTGGACACTCATCCCACCCATGTTGGCCTCTCTTCCAGTGATATGCTAGAGCCAGCTCATACCAACTTTGTTATTTATTATTTATTTATTTAATTTTTTAATAGAGACGAGTTATCACTCTGTAGCCCAAGCTGGTCTCGAACTCCAGGGCTAAAGCAGTCCTTGCACCTTGGCCTCCCAAAGTGCTGAGATTACAGGCATAAGCCACCACCCCCAGCCTCATACCAGCTTTAAAGAGACAACTGTTAGATGTTCAGGAATTTTTGCAAGCCGGTTTTAGCCATTGGTAGTTTGAAATCTGCTGTGATTTGTAATGTGTGTGTGTGTAAATACTCCGTGGAAATCAGCAAATGACAAATCAGGGCTTCTTTTTGTTGTTGTTGCTGTCGAAGAGCCAGTTTACTAGCATATCAATGCCTTTGTCATATCACACATCTACATTATATTGTAATGTCCACTCCTCTATTGGAAGAATTCCTTGTATCAACTTCATTGAGCAAATATGTATTGATTTTTATTACTGTGCACCAGAGACTTAGCAAGGTGATGAGGGGGCACGCAGTGGAGAACACACAAGCATGGTCCCTACTGTAACGGAGCTTATAATCTAGCAGATAAAACAAGAAATAAGCAAAGAACTCTGTACTTTCAAATGGAGCAGGCTGCTGTGCAGTAGAACATCCTGGCCATGAATGACAGTTGATATGGTTTGGATTTGTGTCCCAATCCAAATCTTATGTCGAATTGTAATCACCAATGTTGGAGGTGGGGCCTGGTGATTGGATCATGTGGGCGTATTTCTCCCTTGCTGTTCCCGTGACAGTGAGTTCTCATGAAATCTGATGGCTTAAAAGTGTGCGGCACCTCGCCGTCTTTCTCTTTCTCCTATTCCAGAAATGTAGGATGCACCTGCTTTCCCTTCACCTTCTGCCATGATTGTAAGTTTCCTGAGGCCTCTCTGGCCATGCTTCCTGTAGAGCCTGCAGAACCATGAGACAATTAAACCTCTTTTATTTATAAATTACCCAGTCTCAGGTAGTTCTTTATAGGAATGCAAGAACCAATGACTACAGTGATGGACATAAAATACTACACTACTTTAACAAGGTGGTCTAAGAAGACCTCTCTGAGTAGACAACCTTTCCACTGAGCACTGAAGGTTGAGAAAGAGATGGAGAACCGGGGAAAGTGTGCTCCAGCCAAAGGGATCAGACCACACAAAGAAAGAGCCAGGCTGTTTGAGGGACAGAGTGGTCCGTTTTCCTGGGGTAGAGAGAGTGTAGTTTAAGTGGTCTAGATGACCTGAGGTGGTAATTAGAGCCAGGTATGCACAGCCTCAAGGCCATGGTCAGAACCCTGGATTAAATTATAGCCACCAAAAAGGGGGTTTTAAAAAGAGGATGATGTTATCTGATTCATATTTTAATGCAATTGCTCCTGCTTTGGTTTAGAAGACTGGAGTAGAAGTGGGAGCCCATCTATTGCAGTAGGCTAGGTGAGAAATAATGAAACAAAGTGCTTGCAGAGGGATGGAGAGAAGTGGGTGTATTTGATCTTTTGAGTCAACAGGACTTGCTGATGGATTGAATATAGGAGAGGATGGACTGGTGAAGGAAAAAGAGGACCCAAGGGCACTAATAGGTTATATCCATCTCTGTATCTTCAGCCCCTAGAATTGGGCCTTGCACATAGTAGGTATACTATAACTGTGTCGAATAAACTTATTTATTTTACTTGCTAAACTCTGTGCCCCATCACTGTCACATTCCTTAATACAGGGCCTCTACTAACCCATATAGTAGTGTTATGAAAATTAGGAAAAAGTGCTCCCTTCCTTCAGATGGTCATGGCCCATCACCAGGGTGCAGAATATGGACGAGATTTCAGCTACCACTTACCCCCTCAGCTGGTGCCCCTGTGCAGTGCACAATGTGCACAACCACATACAGCAGCCCCAGCTTAACATCCCTGGGAGATGGCTTTGTGGCATTAAGCCCAGTATTTATGGGGAGAATTTGAGGTCCAGGGGAAGGAAGCTGCTTGCCTGGGGTCGCCAGAGCTACTCAGAGCTGCTGCTATGACTGAGATTCAAACCTCTGCCCTCTGATTCCCTACGGGCTCTTTAGCCTCGGAGCCACACTGTCTCTCCCAAATCACTCAGCCCATCAATAAAACACTAAATTCAAAATGGTGACTTTGCTTTCTCGAGTTTCTCATCTGTCTCAGTTACTATTGTTAGAGTATTTCACATTTACATAGTAGCCAGTATGTGCTCAGTGCCTTACAAAATACAATAAAGGAATATGAAACCAAAGGACCTTGTGTGTGTTTTTTTTAACAGAATAAATAAGAAATTGCTGGCTTAAAAGGCCCTTAGCTCTTGGATAATGAGCTGTGGTATATTGGTTTAGAGTGATGCTATAAGCGATATTTTTTTTTTTAATTGCTCGTGTGCGAACTGTTTTTCTTTTGCATCCTGGACAAGAAGGAAGAAATGTTGGAGCAGCTGGCTTCAGAAATGTAAAGTAGGGAGAAGGTCAGGGGTGGGTCTCAAAGACATAAGGAAGAGAAAGAAACACCCTAGAGGAGGAAAGTGACACCTGTCGCTTCGTAATGAATAGCATTTAACAGTTAACAAGGGCTCAATGTGTGCCAGGAGCTGCGCTAAACCCTTTACATGCCTGATTGAAGTCAATCCTCACACAGCCCTACCAGATAGGATCTATAAATGCCATCATTTTACATTGGAGGAAGCTGAGGCAGAGAGAGATTACATAATATGCCCAAGGTTATGCAGCTAATAAGTGACAAACCTGAGATTTGAACAAAGACAGTGTGGCTCCAGAGTCTGAGCTGTCAACTACTGTTGTATACTGCCTCTAATACAGATGTTCCTGGTGCCAAGTGCCCTTTTTCAGCAGTGTGACCCTTTCAAGTCCTGAGATAGTTAATAGAGGATATCTGGTTCTCAAACACTTAGGAATTGTATGTTGCCTGTCTGCTCGGTGATTAGGGCAGGGTTATCTGCAGCCTAGCTTCAAAATGGACAGTTTGAACAAGGGATATATAAGACAAAAAGGGTGTTTATAAGGTTATATAAAAGACCAAACCCTGCTGGGGAACATTTTACAATCTCCTCTGAGTTTCAGTATTCTCCCAATATAATACCATAATTACCCGTATGGTATGGAAGGTGGAGGAGAAAATGTTATCAGGAGAGCAGGATTAAATAAGCCTTCCCCTTGGATATGTGGGCTCTGATCGGTCCCTCCTAACTTGAGGATTCTTTCTTTTTGTGACTTTCAGTTCATGAGCACAGAGGATCCAAATTTTACTGGGCTTTTAGGTATTGGATTCTCCCCTCATGGCTAGTGTGGGCAAGTGCTGCTATTTAGAACCGCAGGGGTCTCAGGCATCAACTGGACGAAAGGTACGATTTTGGGGGACAATAGGAGGCCAGGCCATCAACACGTAGCTTCCATTTAATTCCTGAGGAAAAGCAGGATAGAGAACTCTGAAAGACCCCAAAGTCTAGGTTAGGAACCCAGAGAACTCTAGCTCTAATTCAAGCCATCTTAAGAAGAGCATGGTGGCAACTATTGCTTGGGTGGAATCTCTGTGCTTGAGGTCATAGCATCAGATGGTAATATCCAATTGTGAGTTATACCAGCACTTCTCCCCACCCCACACCATATCCATACACTCCCTCACAATTAGCTTTACTGCACCAAGTCTGGTCTATCCACTTCTTGATCTCAAGGCTTGCATGTCTAAACTATCCAATGCCACATTGCCCATTTCAGGGGTAGGGCTTAGCAATATTATGGCAATATTACGCCACATTCATCTTGACTCTATTATCTGAGAACAAAGACTCCTTAGAGCTGTAATTGATAAATACTCTGGTAATTTCTTCCACTTAAAACCTCACAGCTCAGCTCTGACCAAGCCAGTCAGATATTTAGAGCTGGACTTTTTGGTTCTAACAATGCCCTGATTTTGACATCTCAACTCCTATCTCAGGAGGTGCAGCAAGCCACATCTCTCACCCCAAGGTGCTGCCAGGGGCCCATGGTATTGATTAGAAGCTGTGCCGAGCACCTAGCAGGAGCTAGAAGGCAAAGCAAATGGATACAGAAACAAACTTGAGACTAGGACCCTGCAAATGCCTGCTGCTATAAAGCATGTAACCTTAGATGATTCACTAAAACTCAGTTTCCTCATCTGTAAAATGGAGACCCACCAAGACCACCTGTCTCATCAGGTAATCATGAATATTTAGTCATATAATGGATAGGAAATGGTTTCATAAACTAGCTAACAAGGAAAAAGGTAAATGTATATTACATAAAGTTTTGCTCCTAAGGGACAGATCAGGGTGAGGAACAATTAGATTTTTTAAATTGAGATGCTGATTCTTTTTTCAGTCAGGAGATTGGTTGAGGCTGAGTGACTCTTCTTCAAGGTTTCCTTCCCAGGACACAACTTCTCAGTTTCAGACCCTCTCCCTTGGCCCCATAGCACTCAAAAAGTCATGGTCCCCAATCAACTGCCACCTAGTGCATTGCATATACAGTTGGCTCTCTATGTCTATGAGCTCTGCACCTACAGATTCAACCAACCTTGGATAGAAGATGTGGTTAGATTTAAGATGGTTGCATCTGTACTGAACCTGTACAGACTTTTTTTCTTGTCATTATTCCCTAAACAATCAGTATAACAATTAACAATTGTTTACATGGCATTTACATTGTATTAGGTATTGTAAGTAACCTAGAGATGATTTAAAACATGCAGGAAGGGATTAAGATGGCAGATAGGAGGCGGGATTAGCTTGTAGTCCCTGTTTAGAGGGACAGAGCAGCATGTGGAGACTCATGTCATAAACTTTTGCTCCAATAACTACCACAGGAACATACCAGGAAAGCCGAGATAATCCACAGACCCTTTGAAGGAACTGGATCGCTGCTGCAGGCTCTCTGAGACATGGAAAAACTGTGAGTCTGCTTACTTTCTTAATGGGAAGGCTTGTGGTTTGGGGCAAGTTCTCAGTCCTGATCACCTGCTGCCTGAAAATAGACTCGGTGCTGTTTGGGGAGGGGGTGGGCACAGTAGGAGTGAGACCAGCCTTTAAAACTGTGGGCAGCATGGGAGTGGGGTGAAGCCTATGACTGCCAGCTTTCCCTCACTTCCCTGGCAGACTGTATGACTCAGCAGAGGCAGCCATAATCCCCCTGGGAATATAACTCCACTGGACTGGGAACCACATCCCCATCCCCCACAGCAGCCACAGCAAGCCCCGCCCAAGGAAAGACTGAGCTCAGACACACACCTATCCCTGCCCCCATCTGGTGGTCTTTCTCTACCCGCTCTCGTAGCCAAAGACAAAGGTCATAATCTCTTGGGAGCTTTATGGCCTTACCCACTGCCTGAGAAACATGAATACTTAACCAGGTGAACCTAGGGCAAGTCTGCATCCTCCCTATAGGACTGCAGCTGATGCATTCTTGAAAGCACCACTTCCTGGTTTGATTTAGTTTGGCTGTGTCCCCACCCAAATCTCACCTTGAATTGTAATAATCCTCACGTGTCAAGGGTGGGGCCAGGTGGAGATAATTCAATCATGGGGGCCATTTCCCCTGTACTGTTCTGGTGGTGGTGAATAAGCCTCATGAGATCTAATGGTTGTATAAATGGGAGGTCCCTGCACAAGCTCTCTCTTGACTGCCACCATGTAAGATGTGACTTTGCTTCTCCTTTGCCTTCCGCCATGATTGTGAGGCCTCCACAGCCATGTGGAACTGTAAGTTCAGGCCATTAAACCTCTTTCCTTTATAAATTACCCAGTCTCAGGTATGTCTTTATTAGCAGTGTGAGAACAGACAAATACAGTAAATTGATACCAGGTAGTGGGGTGCTGCTGTAAAGATACCCAAAAATGTAGAAGTGACTTTGGAACTAGGTAACAAGTTGAAACAGTTTGGAGAGCTCAGAAGAGGACAGGAAGATGTGGGAAAGTTTGGAACTTCCTAGAGACTTGTTGAATGACTTTGACCAAAATGCTGATACTGCTATGGATAATGAAGTCCAGGTTCAGGTGGTCTCAGATGGAGCTGAGGAACTTGTTGGGAACCAGAATAAAGGTTACTCTGCTACATTTTAGCAAAGAGACTGGTGACATTTTCTCCTGCCCTAGAGATCTGTGGAACTTTGAACTTCAGAGAGATGATTTCAGGTATCTAGTGGAAGAAATTTCTAAGCGGAAAAGCATTCAAGAGGTGACAGAGCATAAAAGTTTGGAAAATTTGCAGTCTGATGATGCAGCAGAAAAGAAAAACCCATTTTCTGTGGAGAAATTCAAGCCTGCTGCAGATAACAAGGAGTCAAATGTTAATCACCAAGACAATAGGGAAAATGTCTCCAGGGTATGTCAGAGACCTTTGAGCAGCAGCCCCTGCCATCACAGGCCTGGAAGTCTCAGAGGAAAAAATGGTTTCTTGAGACAGGCCCATGTAGGCTGCTCAGGATGTGCAGCCTACAAACTTGGTGCCCTGCATCCCAGCTGCTCCAGCCGTGGGTAAAAGGGGTCATGGTACAGCTCAGGCCATGGCTTCGGAGGGTGCAAGCCCCAAGCCTTGGCAGCTTCCATGTGATGTTCAGCTTGCAGGTGCACAGAAGTCAAGAATTGAGGTTTGGGAACCTCCATCTAGACATCAGAGGATGTATGGAAATGCCTGAATGTCCAGGCAGAGGTGTGCTGCAGAGGCAGAGCCTTCATGGAGAACCTCTCTGCTAGGGCGGTACAGAAGGGAAATGTGGGGTGGGGACCCTCACACAGAGTCCCCACTGGGGCACTGCCTAGTGGAGCTGTGAGAAGATGGTCACCATCCTCCAGATCCCAGAATGGTAGATCCACTGGCAGCTTGCCCTGTGCACCTAGAAAAGCTGCAGACCCTCAATGCCAGCCCATGAAAGCAGCCAAGAGTGGGGCTATACCCTGCAAAGCCAGAGGGATGGAGCTGCCCAAGACCATGGGAACCCAGCTCTTGCATCAGCATAACCTGGATGTGAGACATGGAGTCAAAGAAGATCATTTTGAAGCTTTAAGATTTGATTGCCCTGTTAGATTTTGGACTTGCATGGTGGCTGTAGTCCCTTCATTTTGGCCAATTTCTCCCATTTGGAATGGGTGTATTTACCCAATGCCTGTACCCCCATTGTATCTAGAAGGTAACTAACTTGCTTTTAACTTTACAAGCTCATAGGTGGAAGGGGCTTGCCTTGTCTCAGATGAGACTTTGGACTGTGGACTTTTGAATTAATCCTGAAATGAGTTAAGACTTTGGGGGACTGATGGGAAGGCATGATTCGTTTTGAAATGTGGGGACATTAGATTTGGGAGGGGCCTGGGAAGGAATGATATAGTTTGGCTGTGTCCCCACCCAAATCTCACCTTGGATTGTAATAATTATCCCCATGTGTCAAGGGTGGGAACAGGTGGAGATAACTGAATCATGAGGGCACTTTCCCCATACTGTTCTAGTGGTAGTGAATAAATCTCATGAGATCTGATGGTTTTATAAATGGGAGTTGCCCTGTAAAAGCTCTCTCTTGCTTGCCACCATGTAAGACATGACATTGCTCCTCATTTGCCTTCTGCCATGATTGTGAGGCCTCCCCAGCCATGTGAAACTATGAGTCAGTTAAACCTCTTTCCTTTATAAATTACCCAGTCTTGGGTTTGTCTTTATTAGCAGCGTGAGAACAGACTAGTAGATAGCTGGAGGCCAATGAACACAAACCCAGCACACTAAACAAAAACACAATCAAGGATCCTTACAGAATCCACTTGACTCCCCTGCTAACTCCACCACAGCAGGTGCTGGTATCCATGGCTGCAAGATCTGAAGATGAATTACATCACAAGACTTTTTGCAGACACTCCCTGGTACCAGCCCAGAGCCTGGTAGCTCTGCTGGGTGGTTAGGCCCAGAGGAACAAAAATAATCACTACAGTTTGGCTCTCAGAAAGCTCCATTCCTAGGGGAAGAGGAAGAATACCACATCAAGGGAGCACCCCATAGGACAAAAGAATCTGAACAGCAGCCCTTGAACCCCAGATCTTCCCTCTGACAAAGTCTACCCAAATGAGAAGAAACCAGAAAAACAATTCCAGTAAGATGATAAAATAAGGTTCTTACTACCCCCACCCCACCCCGAAGATCATACCAGCTCACCAACAATGGATCCAAACCAAGATGAAATCTCTGAATTGCCAGAAAAAGAATTCAGAAGGATGATTATTAAGCTATTGAGCTAATCAAAGAGGCACCAGAGAAAGGTGAAGTCCAACTTAAAGAAATCAAAAACATAATACAAGATATGAAAGTAAAATTCTTCAGTGAAATAGATAGAAAAATATAAAACAATCACAACTTCCAGAAATCAAGGACACACTTAGAGAAATGCAAAGTGCACTGGAAAGTCTCAGCTATAGAATCAAACAAACAGAAGAAAGAACTTCAGAGCTCTAAGATTAGACTTTTGAATTAATCCAATCTATCAAAGACAAATAAAAAAGAATTTAAAAAAAATTGAACAAAGCCTCCAGGAAGTTTGGGACTATGTTAAATATCCAAACCTAAGAATAATTGGTTTTCCCAAGGAAGAAGAGAAATCTAAAGGTTTGGAAAACATATTTGAGGGAATAATTGAGGAAAAATTTCCTAGACTTGCTAGAGATCTAGACATCCAAATCCAAGAAGCTCAAAGAACACCTGGGGAATTCATTGCAAAAGGATCATTGCCTAGGGACATAGTCATCAGGTTATCTAAAGTCAAGATGAAAGAAAGAAACTTAAGAGCTGTGAGGTGAAAAGCATCAGGTAGCCTATAAAGGAAAAACCTATTAGATTACAGAAGACTTCTCAGCAGAAACCCTACGAGCTAGAAGGGATTGGGTTCCTATTTTAGCCTCCTTAACAAAACAATTGTCAGCCAAAAATTTTGTATCCAGCAAAACTAAGCTTAAAAATGAAGGAAAGATACAATCTTTTCCAGACAAACAAATGCTGAGAGAATTTGCCACTACCAAGCCAGCACTACAAGAACTGCTAAAAGGAGCTCTAAATCTTGAAACAAATGCTGAAAATACACCAAAATAGAACCTTCTTAAAGTATACATCTCACCGGACCTATGTAACAATAACATGATGAAAAAAAAAAAAACACACACACAAGGTATTCAGGCACAATGAATAGAATAATACCTCACATCTCAATACTAATGTTGAATGTAAATGGCCTAAATGCTCCACTTAAAAAAAAAACAGAATAGCCGAATGGATAAGAGTTAACTAATCAAGTTTTTGCTGTCTTCAGGAGACTCACCTAACACATAAGAACTCACATAAATTTAAGGTAAAGGTGTGGAAAAAGATATTCCATGCAAATGGACACCAAAAGTGAGCAGGAGTAGCTATTCTCATATCAGACAAAACTTTAAGGCAACAGCACTTAAAAAAGACAAAAAGGAACAATATATAATGATAAAAGGACTAGTCCAACAGGAAAATGTCACAATTCTAAGTACATATGCACCTAACACTAGAGCTCCCAGATTTATACAACAATTACTACTAGACCTAAGAAATGAGGTAGATGGCAACATAATAATAGTGAGAGACTTTAATACTCCACTGACAGCACTAGACAAGTCATCAAGACAGAAAATTAACAAATAAACAATGGACTTAAACTATACCCTAGAACAAATGGACTTAACAGATATTTACAGAACGTTCTACCCAACAACTGCAGAATATACATTCTATTTATCAGCATATGGAACATTCTCCAAGATAGACCATATGATAGGCCACAAAACAAGTCTCAGTAAATTTAAGAAAATCAAAATTATATCAAGTACTTTCTCAGGCCACAGTGGAATAAAATTGGAAGTCAACTCCAAAAGGAAGCCTCAAAACCATGCAAATACATGGAAATTAAGCAACCTGCTCCTGAATGATCACTGGGTCAACAATGAAATTAAGATGGAAATTTAAAAGTTTTTTGAATGAACAATAACAGTGACACAACCTATCAAAACCTCTGGGATACAGCAAAAGCAGTGCTAAGAGGAAAGTTCGTAGCATTAAATGCCTACATCAAAAAGTCTGAAAGAGTGCAAATAGATAATCTAAGGTCGCACCTCACAGAAATGGAGAAACAAGAACAATTCAAACCCATACCCAGCAGAAGAAAAGAAATAAGACCAGAGCAGAACTAAATAAAATTGAAACAAAAAACAAACAAAAACTCAAAAGATAAATGAAACAAAAAGCTAATTCTTTAAAAAGATAAATAAAATTGATAGACCATTAGCAAGATTAACCAAGAAAAGAAGAGAGAAGAGCCAAATAAGCTCAATTAGAAATGAAATGGGAAACATTACAACTGATACCACAAACAAACAAAAGATTATTCAAGGCTACTATAAATACCTTTACATGCATAAACTAGAAAACCTAGAGGAGACGAATAAATTCCCGCAAATATACAACCCTCCTAGATTAAGCCAGGAAGATATAGAATCTCTGAACAGACCAATAACAAGCAGCGAGATTGAAAAGGTAATTTTTAAATTGCCAAAAAAAAAAGTCCAGGACCAGATGGATTCACAGCTGAATTCTATCAGACATTCAGAGAAGAATTGGTACCATTCCTATTGACACTATTCCATAAGATAAAGAGGGGATCCTTTTCTAAATCATTCTATGAAGCCAGTATCGCCCTGATACCAAAACCAGGGAAGGACATAACAAAAAAAAAAGAAAACTACAGAGCCATAACTCTCATGAACATAGATGTAAAAATCCTCAACAAAATACTAGAGAACGATATCCAACAGCATATCAAAAAGATAATCCACAATGATCAAGTGGGTTTCATACCAGGGATGCAGGGATGGTTTAACATATGTAAGCCAATAAATGTGATACACCACATAAACAAAATTAAAAACAAAAATCACATGATCATCTCAATAGATGCAGAAAAAGCATTTGACAAAATTCAGCATCTTTTTTGATCAAAATCCTCAGCAAATTGTCATAGAAGGGATATACTTTAAGGTAATAAAAGCCATCTATGGCAAACACAGAGCCAACAATATACTGAACAAGGAAATGTTGAAAGCATTTTCCCTGAGAATTGAAAAAGAGAAGGATGCCGACTTTCACCACTTCTGTTCAACATAGTACTAGAAGTCCTAGCTAGAGAAATCAGACAAGAGAAAGAAATAAAGTGCATCCAAATCAGTAAACATGAAGTCAAACTGTCACTGTTTGCTGATTGTATTAGTCTGTTCTCATGCTGCTAATAAAGACACACCTGAGACTAAGTAATTTATAAAGGAAAGGGGTTTAACTGACTCACAGTTCCACATGGCTGGGGAGGCCTCACGAACATGATGGAAGGCAAATGAGGTGCCAAGTCATGTCTTACATGGCAGCAGGCAAGAGAGAGCTTGTTCGGGGGAACTCCCATTTACAAAACCATCAGATCTTGTGAGACCTATTCACTACTAACAGAACAGTATGGGGGAACCAACCCCATGATTCAATTATCTCCACCTGGCCCCGCCCTTGACACATGCGGATTATTACCATTCAAGGTGAGATTTGGGTGGGGACACAGCCAAACCATATCACCGATGATATGATCATATACCTGGAAAACCCTGAAGACTCATCCAGAAAACTCCTAGAACTGGTAAATGAATTCAGCAAAGTTTCAGGATACAAAATTAATGTACACAAAACAGTAGCTCTGCTATATACCAACAGCAACCAAGCTGATAATCAAATCAATAACTCAACTCCTTTTACAGTAGCTGCAAAAAAAAAAAAAAATACTTAGGAATATACCTAACCAAGGACTTGAAAGACCTCTGCAAGGAAAGCTACAAAACACTGCTGAAAGAAATCATAGATGACACAAACAAATGAAAACACATCCCATGCTCATGGATGGGTAGAATCAATATTGTGAAAATGACCATACTGTTAAATGCAATATACAAATTCAATGCAATTCCCATCAAAATACCACCATCATTCTTCACAGAACTAGAAAAAACAATCCTAAAATTCATACAGAACCAAAAAAGGAGCCTGCATAGCCAAAGCAAGACTAAGAAAAAGAACAAATCTGGAAGCATCACATTACCCAACTTCAAACTATACTATAAGGCCATAGTCACCCAAACAGCATGGTACTGGTATAAAAATAGGCACATAGACCAATGGAACAGAATAGGGAACCCAGAAATAAAGCTAAATACTTGCAGCCAACTGATTTTCGACAAAGCAAACAAAAACAAAGTGGGGAAATGACACCCTATTCAACAAATGGTGCTGGGATAATTGGCAAGCCACACGTAGAAGAATGAAACTAGATCCTCATCTCTCACCTTATACAAAAATCAACTCAAAATGGGTCAAATACTTAAATCTAAGACCTGAAACCATAAAAATTCTAGAAGATAACATTGGAAAAGCCCTCTAGACGTTGGCTTAGGCAAAGGCTTCGTGACTAAGAACCCAAAAGCAAATGCAACAAAAACAAAGATAAACAGATGAGACATAACTAAAAAGCTTCTGTCCAGAAAATGAAATAATCAGCAGAGTTAACAGACAACCCACAGAGTGGGAGAAAATCTTCACAATCTATACATCCATCCAAGGACTAATATTCAGGATCCACAAATAAATCAGCAAGAAAAACAAACAGTCCCATCCAAAAGTGGGCTAAGGACATGAATATACAATTTGCAAAAGAAGATATACAAATGGCCAATAAGCATATGGAAAAATGCTCAACATCACTAATGATCAGGGAAATACAAATCAAAACCCCAATGTGATACCACCTCACTCCTGTAAGAATGGTCGTAATTAAAAAAATAATAGATGTTGGCATAGATGCAGTGAAAAGGGAACACTTTTACACTGTTGGTGAGAATGTAAACTAGTACAACCACTAGGGAAAACAGTATGGAGATCTATTGTTTGATCCAGCAATCTCACTGCTAGGTATCTACCCAGAGGAAAAGAAGTCACGTGAAAAAGACACTTGCACATGCATGTTTATAGCAGCACAATTTGCAACTGCAAAAATATGGAAGCAGCCCAAATGCCCATCAATCAACGAGTAGATAAAGAGATCGTGGTGTAGGCATGTTCTCACTCATAGGTGGGAATTGAACAATGAGAACACATGGACACAGGAAGGGAAACATCACATACCGGGGACTGTTGTGGGGTCAGGGGAGCGGGGAGGGATAGCATTAGGAGATATACCTAATGCTAAATGACGAGGTAATGGGTGCAGCACACCAACATGGCACATGTATACATATGTAACAAACCTGCACGTTGTGCACATGTACCCTAAAACTTAAAGTATAATAATAATAAAATAAAAAAAAAGAAATCCTGGTGTATATATACTATGGAATACTACTCAGCCATAAAAAGGAATGAAATAATGGCATTTCCAGCAACCTGGATGGAATTGAAAACTATTATTCTAAGTGAAATAACTCAGGAATGGAAAACCAAACATCATATGTTTTCACTCATATATGGGAGCTAGCTAAGCTATGAGGATGCAAAGGATGATACATTGGACTTTGGGGACTCTGGGGCAAGGGTGGGGTGTGGCAAGAGATAAAAGACTACACATTGGGTACAGTGCATACTGCTCAGATAATGGGTGCACCAAAATCTCAGAAATTACCACTAAAGAACTTATTCATGTAACCAAATATCACCTGTTCCCCAAAAACCTATTAAATTGAAAATAAATACATAAGGCCGGGCACAGTGGCTCACACCTGTAATCCAGCACTCTGGGAGGCCGAGGCTGGTGGATCACTTGAGGTCAGGAGTTTGAGACCAGCCTGGGCAACATGGCAAAACCCTGTTTCCACCAAAAAATAGAAAAATTAGCCAGGCTTGGTGGCGTTCACCTGAAGTCCCAACTACTCAGGAGGCTGAGGCAGGAGAATCACTTGAACCCAGGAGGCAGAGGTTGCAGTTAGCTGGGATCGTGCCACTGCATTCTAGCCTGGGTGACACAGCAATACTCCATCTAAAATAAATAAATACATAAAATAAAAATAAATACATAAATATATAAATACATACATAGAAATAAAGTGTACAAGAAAATGTGTGTAGGTTATATGCAAATACTGTACCATCTTTATTTTTTTTTATAGACAGTCTACTCTGCCACCCAGGCTAAAGTACAGTGCTGCAATCATAGCTCACTGCAGCCTCAACCTCCTGGGCTCAAGCAATCCTTCCACCTCAGCATCCTTAGTAGCTGAAACCACAGACAAGTGCAAACATGCTCAGTTAATTTTTTAAAAATAATTTTGTAGGCATGAGGATCTTGCTTTGTTGCCCAGGCTGGTCTTGAACTCCTGGCCGCAAGGAATCCTCCCACCTCAACTTCTCAAAGTGCTGGGATTATAGGCATAAGCTGTTGCACCCAGCACATGCCATTTTATATAAGGGACTGGAGCATCCATGGATTTTGGGATCCGCAGGAGTCCTGGAACCAATCCCCCAGAGGCACAGAAGAAAGAGTGTAGTAGAAACTTGCTAAATATTTGTTCCACAATTATCCTTTTCTTTTTTCTTGAGAGGGGGTCTCCCTATGTTGCCCAGGCTTGTCTGGATCTCCTGCCTCAAGTGATCCTCCTGCCTCAGCCTCCTGAGTAGCTGGGGCGACAGGCACACACCACCTCACCTGGCTATAATTATCCTTTCTATCTAACAATGGTATACCGAGATGAGAATTTGGCTAGACATGTCACAGAGTTACATCCTCAGGACACCTTAAAATTGGTAACCCAATCTGTCATCTAGGGTTATGGGGCCCCAAATTGACCCACTTATCTCAAGAAAGCAAGAAGGACAGCTCCAGGCAGAAAGAATTTTTTCTGCTCTCCAAGCTGCATTATTTTACACCTTGCTTCCTTTGCACGTGTTGTTCCTTTCTCTCCTTCCTCCACCTCCATCAGGATCCAACTCACGTCATCTCTACAAAACTTTTCCAACTTCCTTGGACTAACAAGTAACTTCTGCCTCCTCCCTCCACTTGCCTTCCCAATGAGCTCTCATCATCATTGTTATAGTGCTCCCCACCAGATCACAATTATGTATGTGTGTCTGTACCCCACCAAAGCCAGCATCATCGCTAAACACAATGCATGGCACAGAGGCCTTGTGCTTGTTTGTTGGATGGACTGGTCCTCTCTCTGTCCTTTCAGGGAGGCCTGGGAATTGTGAGCCAAAAGAAATATCAAGTAATCAACAACTTTAGTTAACACTCTCGTTCCTCAAGATCACTTTTGCAGACAGCTTCTCCCTACACCTAATTCCTCTACCTCTAGAAATAATTTTGCAAAGCATGTGATGAATTGCCTGGGAGTAGGCAGAACTTCACGAAGAGCAATTTCACTTAACTTGGTTCCTCTACCCAGCTTTAGGCTGGTTCAGAATAGTTAAAATCTCTGAAGCTGAATAGCCCAGGTTTAAATCCTAGCTCTACTTCTTACTAGCTGTGTAACTTTAAGCAAGTTACTTAATCTTTCTGTGCCTTAGTTTTCTGTTGCCTAAAATAATAGTAGTGACACCATAGAAAGTGGGCAAGGGTTGTGAGAATTAAATGATACAATCTATGTGAAGTGTTCAGCTCCTGGCACATCGTAAGCACTCCGTAAGCAGTAGCTGGCTTGTGAACGGTCCAATCTGAAGGATGACAAGCCCATTCTTTTTAAACCTTCAGAGGGCTGGATTCGCTCCAAGACATCCTGAGCAGGGAGAGGGTGTTGTGGCCATGGTGGAGTTCTGCCGGGAGGCTCAGACAACTGGTGTCATCGACCTTTGGTTCTCATCTGGATCCATTGCTCACCAGCCATGGCCCTAGCCTAAGTAGCTTATCTTCTCAAAGCTTTATGTCCCCAGTAGGGCTGGCAGTACTGAGCTGCCTCACAAGGGGTGCCGAAAAGATCAATTCATGTTAGCAAAGTGCTTTGGAAATGTAAAATGCTAAATATTAATGGGTCTCTCTCAGTGTCGGGAAATGTGCAATCTGAACTCTGCTCAGGGCAAGCTGAAGGTGGGGAGAGTAATTCTGGGCAGCCCGATTGCCACATCCTTGGTCTAATTGGGAGGTGGTGCTTATGAAGGAGTGAGCACAGCGAGTATCTGGGGGCTGGGCAGGGCTCCGGATGGCAGCTCTGGAAGGAAGGATGTTCTGAGGAACCACCTAATCCATAAATAGACAGAAGCCTGGGGTGAGTCTTGGGGAAACCCAGAAAAGTCCTTCCTTGTGTTTCTTTACAAAAAGCAGACACAAGCTCACTCCTTGCTGCTCTCTCTTTCTCTCTCTCACTCTTATCCCTCAATTTTGGAGAGGACAGCACTCTGAGGATCTGTTAGCCGTATGAGTTCTTGTCCTGTTCTTAACCTCTCAATTTCCCTGGATACGGTGATAAGTAGATATTTTCTTAACCTGAGCCAGAACTCTCAATCTAAAATCTTTAGTGTGGCCAGACATCAGGGCCTCTCTGCACATGCCCTCACTGAACAACTCTGGAGTAAGGCATTCCCTTAGAATACTGTTCCTCCATCACTTCTTCCAGGAAGACTTCTTGGACCCAGCCAGTTTGAGCTGGGAACTCCTCTTCAGGGCTTCTGTAATGGTCTGTGCTTGTGTCTATAAGTGCACATAACAGACATGATCAGTGCTCTGCCCACATTCTCTTGGCACCATCATTTTCTTCTCACCTATGACGCTCTGCTGCTGATGGCCAAGCATGTACTTGACCAGAGGTCAGGCCAGGTCAGAAGGTAGAGATTAATGGGAAAATACCCTAGATTCTCACCCTCAGATGGGACATCACTGACACAGCTTCTACACTCTCTGAGAGATTCCCAGTGGGACTGAGCCCAGTTGCCCACAGCAGGACCCTGTTCATTAACATACCCTGTACTCATTTCCTTTCCTTGCTTGTCTCAGCTTCTCACTCCTCTACTGGTACTTCTTGGGATCACTGTCTAGGACTGTTTCTGGGGCACCCAACCTAAGACATTGGACTTACCCTGCTGTACGAGAGGTATCTGTTTGTGCCTCTTTTTCTCACTAGATAGGAGCTACTTACGGGAGGGGACTATGTGTACTTCATCTTTTTATCTTCAATGTTTTGCATCATGCCTGGAATAGAAGTGCTCAGTAAATATTTGTTGAATGAATGAACTAATGAATAAATTATTCACTAAAACTCAGTTTCCTCATCTGTAAAATGGAGACCCACCAAGACCACCTACCTCATTGGGTAATCATGAATATTAAGTCATATAATGGATGGGAAATGGTTTGGTAAACTAGCTAACACGGAAAAGGGGGAGATATAAATTACATGAAGTTTTGCTCCTAAGGGACAGATCAGGGTAAGTTGGACAACTAGATTTCTTTCTCTCTCTTTCTTTCTTTCTGTCTCTCTTTCTTTCTTTCTTCTCTTTCACTCTCTTTCTCTATTTCTTTCCCTCTTTCTTCCTCTTTCTTCTCTTTCACTCTCTTTCTTTCTCTCTTTGTCTTTCTTTCTTTCTTTCTTTCTCTATCTCTCTCTCTCTCTTTCTTTCTTTTTCAAGGTCTTGCTGTTACCCATGCTAGAGTGCAGTGGCATGATTATGGCTCACTGCAGCTTCCCGACTACCTGGGACACTGCACCACCATGCCCGGTTATCAATTAGATTTTAAAAATTGCAATGACAATTCTGTTTTCAATCAGGAGAATGGTAGAGGCAGATCAGGGTAAGAAACAATCAGATAAGGTATGGGGGGTGGCTAAAGGATGATGTTAATAATATCTGGCACTTACTGAACCCTTAAATAACACTTCCCTCACTATTCTCAATAACAGCTCAGGAACAAGGGATTCTGTCCCAGGGCTTAGTAGGAAAACTAATACCAGTAATAATTGAACTTTCCAAATGTGGTCAAAACTTGCATGCCAAGCTGGCTGCTCCTAGAGCCCTGTGTGTCTCCTGCAGCTCTGACCTCGGGGAGTCCGTCACCTCAGTAGAACAGCAGCTTCTGCCACCATATATAACAGCAAACGTTCCTTTCTGCTCATGCCAACTCCTCAGGCCTCTCTCTTTTCTATTCTTCACATTAAAAAAAAAAAAAAAAACTGGCTGGCTATTTTTTATGCATTTTCTGCATTGTTGTCTTTCTTCCTGGCTTTTTTGCTTTCTCAGTGCTCAAAGAAAGGGAAGAGGATGAATTTATAAGAAAAGTATCCAAAAAGTTGAAGCCAGAGGATGAGCCAGTGCTCCAGAGAAAGCTAAAAGCAACCAAAGGGACTCAATCATTATGTTTGGAGGAGAACATTAAGAAAAGGCTAAACCCATTGTTTGTAGAAAGTGTGGAAATGTGTGTGTATGACAGACAAAGAGGTCAAACTATTTCACATCTGGTTTTCTACTCACTTTCCCCAGTCTTTACAAAGGTGTTCAAATGAGAAATTGTATGATAATCAATAGAAGAGTGCCTAGAATTCCAGCAAAGGGAAAGCACCTAAGCAATTTACAGAGAGCTCACATCATACAAATTCAACTATTGGCATTTGGGGAAAGAGAGAAACAGATAGAAAAAGAATAAGGGAGAAATCACAATCTAAACAATCTACTATATGCTGCCTGCCTTCCATCCATTGAACGTATGCCCCAGTATGAACATGAGATGGGAGATAATAAAATAATTGCTCATGTTGATTAGAAAGCATAGAAATACTATGTGCCCGGTGCTAGTCTAGAGACCTCATATACATTAGTAAACTTAGTCCTCAATCTATTCCTATGAGGCAGGTACTATTATTATTCTGCTTTACAGATGAAAAAACTGATGCATAGATAAGTTGAATATCTTGCCTGTAGTCATACAGCAAGTAAGTAAATGTTAGAGCCAGGATTCAAAATTAGATAGTTTGGCTCCAGCACCCACGCTCAAAACTACTTGGCTATCCTAGGGGATATAAAATTGCTGTTCTCTCAGTCAGCCTCAGTTCCTAAATAAATACTTCCTCTAGGAAAAGCACCTAACCAGGCTAAGAGTGATTCAGGTGTTCAGAGATCCATATTTTTCATACCACAGGGCTGCTAATACAAACAAACCAATTCCTCAGACACACAACTACAGAATCAGTAATCTGTTGTGATGCTAGGGATGTTCAAGGAAAATCCTGATGCTATGTGAATTTTACCTTCCTATGCTGACTTGAGAATGTAACCTCATGCTAGATAAAAATCTTCTGTGCATGCAATTTGCTTAGGTCCCTAGGCCAAGGTGGAAAAATCTCCTAGACACACAGCTGAAAGAACTTGCAGATCTTACAGCCACAGTCAAAATATTTGAGAAATCATGAAGAGTAGGAAATACCACAGGATTTCTGATGAGAAACTATTTGGGCACATTTTCAAAAAGATTGGACTTGTTTCTAGAAACTACAGGCAAGTACACTGGATATTAATGCTGCTAATTTTTATTTTTATTTATTTATTGAGACAGAGTCTTGCTCTATTGCCCAGGCTGGAGTGCAGTGGCTGATCATAGCTCACTGCAGCCTCAGACTCCTAGGATCAAGTGATTTTTCCACCTCAGCCTCCCAAATAGCTGGGACTACAGGCACGCACCACTATACCCAGCTAATTTTTAAATTTTTGTAGAGTTGGGGTCTCACTTTCTTGCTCAGGCTGGTCTCAAAATCCTGACTGCAAGTGATCCTCCCACCTTGGCCTCCCAAAGTGCTGGGATTATGGGCGTGAGCCACCAAGCCTGGCCAGCTGCTAGATTTTAGAATAGGTTGTCAAGAAGATTAACTCATTCATTCACTCCACAAATGTTTATTTGGCACATGTCATGAGCCAGCCCTGTTCTTGGCACTGGGGATATAGCAGTGAACGAAACAGACAAAATCCTGCCTTCAAAGAGCTCACATTCTATTGGGAGACTGACAACTAATAAGTAAATGAAAGATAAATTTAGATCGTAATAAATGCTATTAAGTAAATAAGGCAGGGTAAGGGGATAGCAAGCAACAAGTTGTGGGGTGAGGGGACTTTAGGTCTCTCTATACAGCCGAATGATGTGAATGAGGGAGCAAGCCATAGGGAAGCCCAAGAGGAAACACTAAATATAAAAGCCCTAACATAGGAATCTGGTGGGTTCAAGGGACAGCAAGGAAGTCAGGGTGACCAGAGTGGAAATGTTTGAAAGTTCATGTGGGCAAGAAGAGGTGGCCAGATGCCAGATAGTGCAGGATCCTACAGGCCACTGTAAGGACATGGGGTTCATTTTCGTTTGTTTTGTTTTTTGTTTTTTTAAGAGATGGGATCTCACTATGTTGTCCAGGCTGGTCTCAAACTCCCGGCCTCAATCAATCCTCCCACCTCCGCCTCCCAAAGTGCTGGGATTATGAGTGTGAGCCACTACCCCTGGCCCCTGGGGTTAATTTTTTAGTGTGATGGAGAGCCTTGAAGGATTTTGAACAGCAAGAAATATGATCTGATTTGGATTTTAAAGCAATAACTCTGGCTGCTGAATAGACATGAGAACAGGCTATCTCTGCTCCCTTCTTTGGAAGTGACCTCCTTCTCCTCTGTGCTTCCACAATATTTACCATGTCTCAATTATAGCATTTGTTTTACTCTTTTCTGGGTTGTCCCCACTGGAGTGCAAGTTCCTTAGAGACAAAGTCTGAGCTTGTTTGTTCTTTTTCCTCCACCTTGACTACCCCCATGGACCACCCATGTCCCCATGGACCACCCATGTCCACCCACACACATACTTAGAACAGTGCTGCACAAAGTAGATGCTCCATAACTCTGAAAGTTGACTCTTTCTTCCTTCCTTCTTTCCTTTTTTTTTCCTTTCCCTTCCTTTCCTTCCTTTCCTTTCCTTTCCTTTCCTTTCGTTTCCTTTCCTTTCCTTTCTTTTCCTTTCCTCTTTCTTTCTTTCTTGAGATAGGGTCTCACTCAGTTGCCCAGACTGGAGTTCAGTAGCATGATCATAGCTCACTGTAGTCTCAACTTTCTAGGTTCATGGGATTCTTCCACCTCAGTCTCCCAAGTAGCTGGGACTTCAGGTTATTACCCTTGGATAATTTTTTCTTTTTTTGTAGAGATGGGGTCTCACTATGTTGCTGAAGCTGGTCTCGAACTCCTGGGCTCAACTGATCCTTCAGCCTCAGCCTCCCAAACTGCTGGGGTTACAGGCATGAGCCATTGCACCCGGCCAACTAACCTTTCGATGCAGCAGGTTTCAATTGAAAAGGATAAACTTTTGAACAGAGAAGTCAAAATACTGAAGGGCCTGTCTTCATAAAAAACAAGAGTTTCCATTATAGAATACTCAAGACCCCCAGTTTCTCTCAAGGAATGTTGTAGCCTGGTGATTTAATCAACAGATGGGTGATGACGCCTTTTAAGAATCTTTGTAACCCTAAGTTTTTATAATTCGAAGAACAATTTTTAAGTCATGAAAAATTACCGGGGTTGGTTCATACAAAAATTTGCATAATTCACCCCGAACAAGCCATGGTCACACGTTTACAGACTTCTCCCTGACTAGGAACGCCTTGGTGCACCCTGTCAACTCAGTGGACCCCTTGTCCCTTTCAAGACTCATCTAAATGTCCCTGTGTGCTGGCTTGTACTCCAAATTATTAAGATCACAGACGAAGTACTATGTACACGCTGGGCACCACAATTTAAGAGGGATGTAGACACACTGGGGCATGATCACGGGAAACCAACCAGGGGGTGAGGTGTCTGAAAACCAAATATTAAAAGAAACAGTTGGAGGCTGGGCACGGTGGCTCCAGCCTGTAATGCCAGCAATTTGGGTGGCCAAAGCAGGTGGATCGCTTGAGCTCAGGAGTTCAAGGTCAACCTGCGCAACATGGCAAAACCCTGTCTCTACAAAAGATAGAAAAATTAGCTGGGCATGGTGGAGCATGCTTGTAGTCCCAGCTACCCAGGAGGCTGAGGTGGGAGGAACACTTGAGCCCGGGAGATGGAGGCTGCAGTGTGCCAAGATCATGCCACTGCACTACAGCCTGGGTGACAGAGTGAGATCCTGTCTCCAAAAAAAAAAAAAAAAGAAAGAAAGAAAAGAAAACAACAATTAAAAAGTAGCTGGAAGTGCTTAGATTTCCTCTAGAAAAAAATAAAAACTAGGGGAAGGCACAAAAGCCATCTTCTAATGTTGGAAGGGCTGTCATATGGCATAGGGAGAGCCTTATTGTGCGCTGTCCAGAAGGCAGGTATAGGACCAATGGGGAGAACTTGCAAGAAGAAAGGTTTCTGTCCGCTTAAGGAAGCACCTTCTCAATACCTAGCCCAGGGCTTTTCCTGTGGTAGAAACACAGTGAGATTTAATTATAACAGAGGCTTAAAAATTTGAGCTATTCAACAACAAAATAGGTTCACAAAGTCTCTACAGCAGCTCTCCAGAAAGCCAGAGAAGGAATCCTACTGGAATGATGTTAGATTGAAAAAAATCAGGAAAGGCAAAAGCCTCCACATTGAGTGCCAACTGTAATGATCTGGTCGTGGCTGCTGAAACACTGGTGAGAACATTCTCAGGCGGCATCTATGCTCAGCAAGCATGTGGATATCAGGAAAAAATGTCTGCTGTGGGTAGAGGAGCAGGGAATGGCAACAAGAATGCCGTTCCCACTCCCCAAAGACTCCTTCAGCCCTTCAGTTGTATGATCCTCCATTGCTCTGTGCTTGAATACTGGGCCACTGGTGGCTCAGGTGCAGTCGTTGGTATGAAATTCAATAAAATGTCTCCCAAACAGGTACACATTGTTGTATTCTGCAAAATCAGCATGAAGCCTCCATCCATGGGCCCTGTGGCTTTCAGATCTGCTCAGAGACCTGGGGCAGCTGGCATTGATTCTGTTTGTTTCCTTAGAAGGAACAATATTGATCTACTGTACCATGAAACCCGCTCCCGGTTCACCTAGTTCCAACAAGCAATTCCCTTGTATTCGGCAGCCATTTCAAAGTTCCCCAGATACTTCATTTCTATTTGGCTCAGCCTCCAGCTAACAGGCTACTTATGCTGAGTACCACGGAGCAGCGCCCAGTTTAATCTGTGTCACCATGCTGTCCTACCACACTGGACAGCAACTTCTTCAATGCCCAGAACAGCTGGCCACTTGGATGAGGCTGGCTCCTCATTTCAGTCCCGTGTAGATGACAGATAAACAGATGAATGAGGAAGTCCGATATAGACAATGCTGGCAGAGGAAAGCAAAATGGGGGCTGGGAGATGGTGGAGGAGGGAGGCCAAGCTCTGCAGAAGGTGGGACAGGGCTGGGATTGCTTTAGTAGGAGGCTCAGCAGAGATGGGCAGGACTCTTGAATGAGTAAAGACCTCTCCTAAAGTAGCGAGTACAATGTTATTGCTTGGAAGTCACCTCTAATGACCTGACAAGAGTTCCTAAGACTGGCCAACAAAGTGTGAAATCAGGGCCAGCACCGGACAAATGGGGAGGTAGATAAAGTTTGGCATTTCCCTTCCTTCTAGATCCTCTCCCTTATACGTGGATACTTCTGCAGGCCCAGGAAACTGTCCCTCCCTCTATCCTGCAGAGGGTGCCCCAGCACTTCTGCTGCCCCTTTGAACTCAGGACTTGTCTGTTCAGGGTCCTACAAGGGCCCTACTTGATCTGAATGCTGCTGGCCTCCAGAATCCGCAGGTTTCTGCCATCACAACTGAGCTTCCCCACGATGCTTGCAGCTTTATTCACAATTGCCAAAAGGTAGAAGCAACCCGAGTGCCCACTGAAGGATGCATGGATAAACAAAACACGGTGTCCACATACAATGGAATATCATTCATCCTTAAACAGGAAGGAAATTCTGACATGTGCTATGACATGGATGAACCTTGAGGGTATAATACTAAGTGAAATAAGCCACCCACAAAAGGACAAACACTGTATGATTCTATTTAGATAAGGTACCTGGAGTAGTCAAATTCACAGAGACAGAAAGAATGGCAGTTGCCAGGGGCTGGGGAGAGAGGGAAGAATGAAGAATTGTTTGATGGGTACAGTTTTACGTTTGCAAGATGAAAAAGTTCTAAAGATGGTCATACAATTCGAATATACTTAACACTACTGAACTATACATTTAAATTGGTTAAAATGGTAAGTTTTATGTTATGCATATTTTTCTATAATTAAAACACTTTTTAAATTACACATACAAAACAGAACAAAACAAAACAAAACAAAAAACCTGCAACAAAACCCCCGATCGTCCCCTTCCACCATTCTTGGGAACTGTGCACTAGCTACTGAAGTGAGGTGGCTCTCCATGTCCTTCATCTGAGAGTCCAATTCTGTGATCTCTACCAAGAAAGGCCAGTTCAGCCAACAAACCAAGTGTACTAATGCAATTGCCCAATGGGTTCATCTTGCCTGCTGCACAGTTCATCACTGAGAACATCACTGAGAGGTTTTTGCAATAGACAGAGTTTAATAAATGCAGAGCCAGCTCAGCAGAAGGATAGGAGTTTATTATTACTTAAATTAGCCTCCCTAAAAATTTGAAGGGCAGGGTTTTTTAAGGACACTTTGGAGGGCAGGGGGCTAGGGAATGGGGCCTACTGATTGGTTGGGTCACAGATGAAAGCACAGGGATTCATAGCTTGTCTTCTTGCACTGAGTCACAGTTCCTGGGTAGGAGCCACAAGACCAGCTCAGCCAGTTTATCCATTTGGGTGGTGTCAGCTGGTTCATCGAGTGCAAGATGTGAAAAATATCTTGAACACCAATCTTAGATTTTACAATAGTGATGTCCTCTATAGGAGCAACTGGGGAGTTAAGGATCTTGTGGCCTCTAGCTGTATGACTTCTGAGCCATAATTTCTAATCTTGTGGCTAATTTGTTAGTTTTACAAAAGAGGTCTGATCCCCAAGGAAGGAGGGGGTTTGTTTCAGGAAAGGGCTGTTATTATCTTTGTTTCAAAGTTAAATTATGAACTTAATCCTTCCATAGTTAGCCTGGCCTAAGCCCAGGAATGAACAAGTGCGGCTTGGAGGTTAGAAACAAGACAGAGTCAGTTAGGTCTGATTTTTCTCACTGTCATAACTTTTGCAAAGGCAGTTTCACCAAACAGGTGAGAATGAGATAAAGTGATGCTCCTTCCAGTGCATACACTATAAATGGAACCCTGTGGAACTCATTTCTTGAAGCCAAAGACCATGGTTAGTGGAGGGAACTTCAGGAAATGTGGTCCATGCAGTGAGAGGTCCCTGAGCCCTCACTGGACTGGAAGATCTGTGAGAGGAAGGCCAAGCTTGACTTTGTCACTGCTTTACCCCAAACCTTGGCACTGGGTCTGGGCCTTAGGAGATACTCAGCATGGTTTTATTTTTCCAGTAACAGTGAATGAGGAAATTAATGGGTAAATAAAACTGGGCCCTTTAAATAACACAAAGCAGACGGCTTTGGGCATCTTGTGGGAAATAGCATGTTATATTCTATGTGTGCACCAAACAAGTTGGTTTTGTCTTTTGGCACCCCTTCATTTGGAAGAACTACGTCTCCCTCATTCCTTGTAGTCTGAGAGGCTTTAAACTACTGTGTCTTTCCCCACTGGCCACAGGAGTGGGCATGTGACCCAGGCTGAGCCAGCCATAGTACTACATCTTTTGTACCTATGTCTAGTTCAGATGTGGGCAGAGAACCCAAGCAGGGTCGGTGAGAATTCTTCCATGAGATTTGCACATGGACACAAAGAGAGAAAGGGCTTCTCTCCTTTGACTCACAAGCCCCCAGCCATCCTTCCCGCCAGCTGGAGATATTTTGCCTGAGAATAAAGCCATAGAGGCAGGGCCCACCCGGAGCTGGCCTGTCTTCAGTATTTTAACCCCTGGACACCACTTTGCTGAAAGGCAGATCTACCCTAGAACTTCCCAATTAGGAAAGTCAATAAATTATTTTCTCCCCCTCAAGTTTGTTTGAATTGGGTGTATGGCCCTTGCAACAAGGAATCCTGTTCATTTCAGTTTGAATGTTTTCCATACGTGTTTCATCTTATGACATCGACTATTTTTGAGAGTACACAAAAAATGTATTCTGCACATCTTTGTATGCAATGCACCAAGACACAGCATAAAAATCTGGAGAGAAAGAATTTAAAAAGCCAGTTTGTCCTTAAGGGACATTCTAATGGAGGTGAAGAGTTGGGGGAAGGGAAGAATTCCATTTAATGAGTATTTTAAAATGATCTGCTATGCGCCAGATGTTTTCACAAGTAATTGCAATTAATCATCACCAATCTTGTAAAGAAGATATTGTTATGGCCACTTTATAGATAAAACTATGGTTCAGAAGGGTTAAATAACATGCCTAAGACAGCCCAGCTATTAAGAGCTAAAACAAGACTTCAGATTCAGATGTCTAACTTCAAGGTCAGTGTCCTTACTACTGCACAATCCTGCCTCCTGGACAGGAGATAAGACAAGCTTAAGAATATGATAAGGAAAAAAAAAAAAGAAAGGAATTCATACACGAATCTGTTCAGAAAATACTTAGTGTCTGAATAAGTTTTTCACAAACGTTAGTGAGTAACATTTCACTTATTCAGGCCCTTATTTCACTTATTTTCACAAACATTATTCATTAATGTTTGTGAAAATACTTCTTAAACTAGTTATACATCACATAAATGTAAAACATTGTCAACATGTGCAAGGCATCATGCTAGGCACTGCAGAAGAAGGGACATAAAGATGAATAAAATAGCCTTTTTCCCCAGGGGCATACAATAGAGTAGACCTAGAAATATTACATGGCAAAGTATGATTAATGGCATAGGAGAAGTTCAAAGTGCTGGGAGAGTTCTGAGCAGGAAATGTTTACATCTGATTGAGGGAGCCGGAAAGACTTCATGGAAAAAATCTATTAGGTAAGTGCGAATAAATGTATTGATAATGGTGTGCTTACTAAGGTGCCTGTAGGAATTTGGAAGGAGTGAAAAAGAAAAATGAAAAAGAAAAGAAGGGAGGGAAAGTAGGGAGGGAGAGAAGAAGAGAGAGAGAGAGAGACAGTGAGGTAGAGGGAGAGAGGAGGAAAGGAAGGAGGGAAGGAAGGAAGGAAGGAAAAGAGAGAAAAAGAAAGAGAAAAAGAAAGAAAGAAAAGGAAAGAAGGAGGGAGGGAACAGGAAGGGGAGAAGAGGGGAGGATAGGGAAGAAAGAAAAGAAGGGAAATGAGAGAAGAAAGGGAGAGTGGAAGGGAGGGGTAGAGAGGCCGGCAAGCCAACTGGCATGGAGCTGCAGCGTGGTCCTGGGGCAGTGGCCTGGGTGTAGACCATGGAATAGAAGCTCTCTAATCTTTCTCTCCAGGGACACTTTGTTAGGATAAAATATCCTCTGGATTACTCACTCATCCATTCCACTTGTCACTTCAAAATAACTCAAATGATTACTTAATCCAGTAACCCCCACACCTTAGAACAGAAAAAAACTTGCCATTATAAAATTTTAAAGGTTTTCAACTTGAGTGGAAATAAGAATCACCTGGGGAGTTTGCTCAACTACAGACTCCCAAGGCCCCAAAGATTCATTTTTGATAGCACTGATTTGAGTCCAGGGAATTTGCATTTATATATATATATTTTTTTTTAATTAATTAATTTATTTATTTTTTTGAGACAGAATCTCACTCCATTGCCTAGGCTGGAGTGCAGTGGTGCAATCTTGGCTTACTGTAACCTCCACCTCCTGGGTTCAAGACATTCTCGTGCCTCAGCCTCCTGAGTAGCTGGAATTACAGGCACACACCACCATGCCCAGCTAATTTTTTTTGTATTTTTAGTAGAGACAGGGTTTCACCATGTTGGCCAGGCTGGTCTCAAACTCCTGACCTCAAGTGATCCACCTGCCTCAGCCTCCTAAAGGGCTGAGATTACAGGTGTGAACCACCGCACCAGGCCCGGAATTTGCATTTTCTAAAAGCCGCTCAGGTGAATCTGCTACAAGTGTTCTGAGGATCACATTTTGAGAGACATTGCAGCCTAACCTCATTGTTTCACAGGTAAAGAAGCAATAGAGTCACAGAGAGGTTAAAAGACTTGTTCAAGGTCACATAGCTAGTTAGTGAAAAATCTAGGCCCAGAAAACTCAGGTCTGTGAACTCTTGGTCTGTTGCTTTTTGTTCCCCACTCAGTAGCTATATCATTCAGAGCTTACCTAAATACTGATATTGTAGAAAAGTAGATCTGCCCTTGGCTTCCAGGAACATCCATGTGGACCATGCTCTGAGAACCACAGCTCTGAGTCAGCCAAGAGTACAAGATTTCAAAGCTAGCTTCTCCCAGATTCCAGTGTTGACTTGTATACAGTACTAAATAAACATTTGTTGACTTGATGAATTCCTAGCTGTCATTGAAAGAAAGAAAAAAGAGAGAAGGAGGTTCTAGTGAATCTGTTAATAAAAGAGTGAGATTCCTTCTCGGCTACCTTCTTGTGGCATCTCTTCTTCATAAGTTTGCCCTCGAATCAGACTAATTGAAGGAGTATTAATTGAGCACCTACCACTTTCAAGGCCCTATGTTCTGTGCTTAGTGGATACAAAAATAAAAGTTAGCTTTCCTATTGTGATGAGTAACACAAGAGTGACACAGTGTAGGGTTCAAGAAGAGAAATATCTATTCAGGTAAATCAAAGTATCTTTTATGGAGGTGGTTTTGAGATGGTTCTTAAAGGAAGAGTAGGATTTCAACAGATGAAATGTGAAGGGAAGTTGGTCCAGGCAGATTCATCTCATTGGCAGCAAGGTGTGGAAGAACTGGGATGTAGTTCAATTTGCCTGTAGCTTGGGCACCAATGAGAGAGTAATGGGATTATAAAACCAGAAAGATAGTGAAAAGACCTTGTAGTGGTCTAAATCCATTCTTGGGTTTAGAATGGAAAGTGTTGGCTAAATCTAAAACACATTGAGAAATCATTAAAAATGTTTGATTGGTTTGATGTTTCAGGAAGATGTTTCTGATGGGTGTTGTGTAGAGTGATCAGAAACTGGGAGAGCTAGGAGGCAGGGAGACCAACTGAGAAGACTGTCAATTTGACACCGAGGTTATGTTGGTCAGGATGCAGCCAGAGGCAAAAGTGTGAGGTCATGGTAGCTGACTGGTTGAGGGGCCTAAAGGAAAAAAGGATATGGATAACTCTGAAGTTTCAAACTTGGGCAACTGAATAATCCAACATAGGAAAGTGGGGAAGTGAGGTTGATTTGGCTTGGGTGATGATGGTAAAAATGTTGGTATTACATATGCTAAGATTAAAGCTTCATAAACCAAGTATAGCTACTCAGTGAAAGGCTAGTAGTGCTGGAGTTGAAGGTAAGGAGACAGGTGGTAGAGGTGTAGAGGAATCGTCTACATAGATATAAACATGGAAGCTATGGGAATAGGTAAGAGCAATGAGATATAACATATCATATAAAGGGAGAACCGTGAAGGAAGCGATAACGGTTATATGTTTGGATTGCAAATAATGGAAATCCCTACACATCATGGTTTAAGTAATGCAAGGAACTTATTGGCTCATGTAACTGAAAAATCCGATAATAGAGTGGGCTTCAGGCATAGTTCAGTCAGGGATTTGGATCCGTTGTGCATCAGTTCTCTCTGCTTTATTCTGTGTGTTGTTTCATTTTCATACTGGATTCCCTCAAGTTTGTACAATGGTAGCCAACAGCAATTAGGTTTACATGCTTTGTCGTTTATATCCAAGAGGAAAGAAATAACTATTTTCCCTCAACTACCAAACAAAAATCCTGAGCTTGGCGCTAATTGGATCACCAGAGGTCATATGTAAATGTCACATGTTAATTGCTCTGGTCTGGTTTTCCCTGAGACATCATTGTGGTAGGAGGAATGGGTTTATACTAATGGGCTTAGATGAGTCATAGCTTCCACTAGAGCTGGGGGTAGGATCAGTCCCTCCCAATTCTCCTGGCTGCTACACAGTGGGAGGTAGATATCATTTAAAGTTCACTAAAAGGTTTGAGAACAAATTCTTATAGAGGTACAATTTTGGTAGGATAGAAGGGACTCTAAAGAAATTTTACGGCCACGGAACCTCAGATAGGAAAATGTTTCAATGAGGACAAGATAGCCAACAGGGTGGTAGGAATGATGACCGATAAAGGGTCATTTGCTTGGATTTTTAAGAAAATTATTGGTGGCCTTGACATGGCAGCTTTAGTTGAGTGTTGGTCATCAGTAAAAGAGGGCAAAAGGTTGAGAAGGAACTAGAAGATGAGATGGTGAAGTGTAGACTCTTCCTTCAGAAAGATGGATGGTGACAGAAAAAGATATTTCATGGGGAGAGGGAGAAATTGCCTATTGCTTTTAGGAAAAGGGAGATGAGGATATTTGCAGGCTGAGGGGAAAGAGCAGAAGAAGAGGGAGAGACAGATGATGTAAAAAGGGTGGAATAACTGATGCAGCATGGTGCTGAAGAGACAGGAAGAGGGACCGTGGTCAAATATGCAGGCAGGGAGGTGTGTTTGGAGAGGAAATCAGACACCTCTTCTTCAGAGATCAGCCTAGGAGGGAAGCCCAGGTAAAAATAGAAACATTGATGTGGAAGGAAGTTGAGGAAACTCAGGGACATGTGTGTAACTTTCCCAGTAAAATCACCTCTGAAGGTTGAGAGTGGCTTGATGCCCCAGGCAGGCCCAGAAGATTTGGAACAACCCCTGGGGGAATTCATTAGGAGGCTACAAAGCACGAATAAAAAGACGAGAGAATTGCAAATTAGTACAGTCTTTTGGAGAGCAGTCTGGCACCTCACAACAAAAGCCATAAAAGCGTCTCTAGCCTTTGACCTAATAATCCCTCTTCTGGGAATATATACCAGGGAAATAACTGAAAAGGAAATATAAGCTATTTGTGAAAAGATGTTTATTTCTGCCCTGTTCATAATAAGAAAATCCTGGAAAACACCCAAAAGCTCCACAAATGGGGAATTATTAAGCAAACTATGAAACATTAATATGATAGAATATTATATAACCATTACAAATGATAAATACTAGTACTCTGTCAATACATGAGAAAGTTTATACAGAAAAATGTTAGGTGAATGAGGTAGAGTATGAAATGGGATGAATAGTTGATTTCTACCCTTGCAAATGATGCTTATACAATGGCACGGTTTATAAAAGGTCACTGAATTATGCAAATAGTTGGTGTGAGGAGGTGAAGAGATTTTTTCCCCTTTAGAAAATTGTTTACTCATTTTTTAAAGAGTTGGCAAGCAGCTGAAGCTGGTCTGCATGCATTTCTAGTAATGCTGATGTGCAGGACTCTTGGGCAATCTCTCTTTCCAGAGAAAGAAACGGAAACTGGGGGACATGCAGAGCCAAAGACAGGTAAGGCAGTGAGTCATGAATGCAGGGTTCATCAAAAGATGATCAAGCTCTTTCCTGAAATGGCTTATGATGTTGCAGGCTTTGTAGGGAAGCCAGCAGAAGCAGAATGGAACCCTGGAAATTAGGAGAAGGGGAGAGACTGAAGACCCCAAAGTACATGAAGAGTCATGCTAATGGAAGTGAATGAATGGCAGCTTTGGGCTCCTGACAGTGGTGTTATAAAACTGGGGGTCATGGGGATTATGAGAACAAATTGAGGGGGAGTTGAGGGAGAGGGTGCATAGAAGTCCCTGGAGTAAAAGAGGTTGAAAAATAGTAATATTAGATAACTATGTCTGGAATGAGCAGAAAAGTAAATACAATGGCCTTTCAGTCATTTTTCAACCCAACAAATACTTGTGGAACCCTACTATGCACCGGGCACTGTTCTAGACACTAGGGAGCCAACAGTGAATAAAACAGACAGTATGATTTTTCTTGCCACAGACTGAGTCCCTGAACCACATTCTCTCTCTATTGCAGGTCCTAGCACATGGCTTGTGTTGCTACCTTTTGTTAAAGAGTGTAGAAATGAGATGAATTCTCTTGGTCTTTTAAAGCAGGGTCCATCCAGTATGCTAGGGCCCTGGGAACACAGGGATGGGAGGTCGTCGGGGCCTGGTGACCTGCTCCAGGGTTTGGTGCATTAGAGCACTGGGAGAGTTGCTGCCTAAAGGGGTGAGCTCAGCAGAGATGGGAGGGATCAGGTTTAGAGAGAAGAAATACATCACCATCCTTTCTAGAACCAGAGGGAAGGAAAAGAAGATTGATGCAGGCCGGGCGCAGTGGCTCATGCCTGTAATCCCAGTACTTTGGGAGGCTGAGGTGGGCAGATCACGAGGTCAGGAGTTTGATACCAGCCTGGCCAACATGGCGAAACCCTGTCTCTACTAAAAATACAAAAATTAGCCGGGCGTGGTGGCATGTGCCTGTATTCCCAGCTACTCAGGAGGCTGAGACAGGAGAATCACTTGAACCCAGGAGGCGGAGGTTGCAGTGAGCCGAGATTGCACCACTGCACCACTGCACTCCAACCTAGGCAACAGAGCAAGACTCCGTCTCAAAAAAAAAAAAAAAAGAAAGAAAGAAAGATTAATGCAGGGATGGGATATGGGATATATTAAGATGGGAAGTGTTATGTTCGAGGAAGTATTCACAGAATGTTCTTGGTGTTTTCCAGGAAGTCATTCATTCGCCATTTACTGGGCATCTACCTTGGTGCATAGCTCTTGATGATAGATTGTGGGGCCTGCAGAGTTGAAAAAAACTCAGCTGCTATTATCAGGAAGGTTACAAGCTTGTAAAATTGAAGTTGGTCTTGAAAACTGGGGCATAGGAAGAGAGGAGCTATTCCTGCATTCCCCATTGAAAGAAGAAGGGATGACAACTGCCCAGGGCTCTGTCTGAAACACAGTCCTGTGAATGTTTTCCAGGTCTTAACCAGAGGCTGGAGGCACACGGGGACAGAGATGCTGGGGACAGAGAAGCTGGAATGCTGACCGCACAGCAGGAGCTGGGGAGGGAATGCCTAGAAGGGGTTGCTATCCTGAGGAGAGTGAGAGTGGTGGGGTCATGGGGGCTAGTTGGAGAAGGTGGCAGAGACCTTTCTCTAGGGCCTCCTGGCCACGCCCAGGAGAAAAGAGACAAAAGTGTAATACCCTGGAAGCGGAGAGAGCCTGAGTCACAGAGACGGGGATGGGATGGATTGGCAGCACTGGATCAGGAGCTAAACACCACCACGGGCCCTTCCACTGGTCTGCCTGAGGGCGGCTGGCACCAGAGGTGGGGTGGGAGTAGAGGTTCATTCCTTCAGTCAACAAACATTTACTGAGCTCAGACAGTTCTGGTTTCTAGTCCCTGCTCTGCCACATACTAGCCATGTGTCCCTATACAGGTCACTTTGCTTCTACAAACCTCAGTTTCTTCATCTGTGAAACAGACCTAATAACCTGGAAGAATTGTTCTGAGGATAACATAAAATAATGTGAATGAAGGCCTCCCAGAGTGCTGAGTAAGCCCTCAGTACATGCTAGCTATTATTTTTATTAACAACTGTGCTTAGTTCTGTGGGGCATACAGAGGAGCAGGAGACAGCCCTCTTCCTGCCAGAACTCCCTGTGATGAGGGGAAACATAGACAGAAACAAAGGATTACGCCCAACCAGAATATAGCGTGGTCGTTGTTAAAACAGTAGCATGCTTGCTATGGGAACCGGTGGAGGGAATAATTAGTTCTGCCTGGAGAGGTCAGAGAGGGCTTCCCTGAGGAGGAGATATTTGAGCTGGGCCATTAACTGGATCACCTGGCAGAGAAGAGGGGCGAGGCGCTGCAGGCAGAGCAACTGCCTTGGGCAAAGCAGGGAGGCAGGCAAGGGCACTGGGGTTTGGAGAAGAGCAGTGATGCTCCAGCCTGCAGCCTGACAGGGGATGGGGAAGCAGGCTGGAGGGGCGTTTGTGGCCAGTCTGGGAAGGGCCTTGATCTCTGGGCTGATGTGAGTGAATGTGTTCTTGCTGCAGTGAGTGATCTCCAAGCATTTGTCAGCACGGGGGTGACACACTCAGGCGAGACGAGTCTGGTGGGACGCAGGACAGAAGGGAGGAGGCCAGAGCTGGTGCAAGGACACTGGCGAGGAGGCTGTGCCCCCACTGCTTCTTGTTGAGGGGTCCAAAGCCCCTCTGCAGCAGTCAGTCATCACTGGTACCCACAGCATCCAGACATCCCCTGCGGCAGGGGAGAGGTCCCTCATGCACAGAGTGCCAAGTGTCCACGGTTTCCCACCTACCATTCTGGGGGAGCTCTGTGAGCCCCACACTAGTTTGGGGGCTGATGGGTGGCAGCCTTGGTCTCTTTCATGGGAGGAGCAAAAGGACAGTCCCCACCTGTTAAGTTGATTTTCCTTTTCAAAAAGACAGCTTTGCTGATGAAGAGCGATAAGTGTCTTTCACCGGTGAGGAAAGGATTTTAATAACATCTGCTGATGACTCTTGCCCTGCTCTGCCGAGATACAGAGGCTCATTCTTCTTCCTTTTAATAACCCTGCGCGACTGGACTGCAGCGGAGGCAGCTCCAGCTCTTCCTCGCCCTGGCGGTGCGCTGCCTGCCCCTCCAGCCCCAAAGTGATCCAGGTCTTTGCCTGTTTCCTCAGTTTCCTTCTCTGTTCTGCTGTCAGATTCCTCTCCCACCGTTCTTTTCTTCCTTCTCTGACTCCTCATTTCCCTGAGTTGGTCATGGGGCTGGAAGGGACCTTATTAACAGGAAACCTGGTCCAAAGAGATGGATGAGCTGGCCCTGGAGGGGAGCCCCTTGTCACCTTTATGGTGACCACATAGGCCAGAGATCTTGCCAAGGAGATTGGTGTCAGCAGAAAAAATGTGGTTCTCAAATTTCGGTTTGCAATAGAATCACCTGTGGGGCTTCCTAAAAACAAAGTTCCAAACCCTATCCTAAGCGAAGAGCCCAAAGCACTGCAGTTTCCACTGGTCCCCCAGGAGCCCCGGGCAGGAGGCCGTCGGCCACTCCCAGAAAGACAGCGGTGAGGCTGGACAAGTCACTGCCTCAGAGTCTCTGGCTAACCCCATCCAATAGCCTTTCTCCCAACTCCCCTTTGTTTTTCAACAATCCGTGTAAGTAAGTCCTGAGCCATTTCGGTGGTTTGGAAACTTGAACCATATGCTGGGTTAAAGTGGTTTTGTAATAACAGCAGCTAACATATGAGTACAAGGAACATGGGTAGGCACTTTACATGCCTCTCATTTCATCTCCTGCTGGTGCTGTGAGGTCGATTTTATTGTCCCCTTCATTGCCTTTATGTGACGTGCCCAGGGACTCCAGGCCAGTAGCAGCAGAGCTGGGACTGAGATCTGAGCTGACAATCTCCCAAGCCCATGCTGCTGACCCCACTCCACACATGCACAGAAGACAAGCACACTGGAGGGAGGCAAAAGGAGAGGAGACATTTGTTCCATTTTGTGGAAACGTCTTTTTCCCTTAAGATGTCCAAAGGAAAATGGTCCCCAAGAGAAAATGGCCATTGCCCCAATTGTTTCACTTTCCCCCAGGCCTTCTTGTGTCTAGTCCTGCTATCCCTCCTCAGAGAAAACTCTCTCTCCCTTCCACACCTCACTCACAAACTCAACTCACAAAATTACCCACTTTGCCACCATGCGCCCTGGCTTTGTACATGATTCTATTTGATGCCTTCTCACACTGGGCCCAGTAGCTCATGCCTATAATCCCAGCACTTTGGGAGGCCGAGGCAGGCGGATCGCCTGAGGTCAGGAGTTTGAGACCAGCCTGGCCAGCATGGCAAAACTCCTTCTCTACTAAAAAAATACAAAAATTAGCCGGCATGGTGGCACACGCCTGTAATTCCAGCTACTCGGGAGGCTGAGGCAGGAGAATCGCTTGAATCCAGGAGGCAGAGGTTGCAGTGAGCCAAGATTGCACCACTGCACTCCAGCCTGGGTGACAGAGTGAGACTCTGTCTTGAAAAAAAGACAAAAAAAAAGTGGACGCCTTCTCTCCTTCAGCCCTTATGCCAAACCCTGGTGCCCTCTTCATTGCAGCCTCTGGGCGTCATCTCTCGATTACTTTCTGGCCTCCACACCAGCCCCCACTGCCACCACTACTCATGCCTAGATTTCCCTCATTACTTTCCTACCTAGAATTCAGTCCCCCAACCTCCAATATTCTGGGGTATCTACCGTCAGTGACGTCTTCTTAAACCCACTGCTGTCACTTTGCTGCCCCTGCTTAACCACCTATATTGGCTCAGCCTTGCCTTGCACACTGAGTCTGAAACTCCTGCCTCCCCAGCCCATGCCTCTCTCCTTCTGCAGCATAAATTCTCCTTTCCTGGAGGTCCAACATGATATACTATGTTCTTTCTAGCCACTGGGCCTCGGCCTATGTGGTTTCTGCCATCAGACAAGCCGTTCTCTCTAATTTTCTCTAATCCCAGCCCTTCATTCCTTTACCAACTCAGGTCCACACTCTGCCTCCACAAAGCCTTCTTGAGCTGAGCCTGCCTTCCTTTCCTTTTAATTCCCTGATGCTTAGTGTACACGGTTGGCATCACACACTCTCACACTTATTTATTTGTTGTCTTGGAATAATTCTAAGGTTGTTTTAGGTCTGTGTGGTTTTTCTCTCCCCAGCCAGATGCTGTAGGTGTTTAAGAACAATACCAGACCTTCCTGCACTTTAACACCTACTCTCCCAGAACACAGTGAGTGGCTTTAGTAACTTTGCATTGAATTGAAACAATTCCTAAATGACCATCCCTTTAATTACAATGAATGACTCTGAAGTCCTAAGCCAGTGGAGTGTGTGCTTTGTGGATGGAAATGATAGGACGATATAATGGGGACAAAGAACACAGGACTTGAAGGTAGAACACCTGCTTTATAATCTCACATTTTCTACTGTACAGCTCTATGATCTGGGGCAAGTCACTCCACTTCTCTATCCTGAGGGGTCAGGCCAGATATGCCGTGAGATCCTTCCCAGCTTCTCCACATTCTATGATCTGAACGAACCCATCCACTCTCTCTCCTAGCCAATGATCAAGGGCACACATGTCTCCCTGGACCTCACTTTACTAACATGTGAAATGGAAACTGCAGTAATAGCAACTAATTTATAGAATTGTTGTAAGGATTAAATGCAACAATTCAGAGAGCTCTCAGCCTAGAGCTGGCCCATAGAAAGTGATCAATAAATGGTAGCTGTTATTGGCCACAGTTAGGAGAGTGGCATGTACCCTAGGGAGAGAAGAAGGCCATCCCCTTGTGCTCGTGTCCAAGTAGGAAGCCCCAGAGTCCATGAAACCATTTGAGCTCTGAAGAGGCCAGGTTGGGTCCCCAGTGCTAGGGTCCTGCCCAGCAGCCTTGCAGTAGCTGGAACACCAACTGTCCCATTAATGACAGCACTGCTGGCAGCTGGGGTGACCCTGTTGTATAGTCCCATCGATTTTACCATTACCCTTTAATGCTGTGTATTAAAGGCTTTGCAGATCCACTCTGTTACCTTCTTTCTTTATTATCTCCAGGGCCTGCCCAAATGCTTGGGAGGATTAAATTGCCTGGCTGCAGTAAACCTCTCCGCAGGGTGAGACACCTCTTCTTGAGCAGATCTTGGAGCCAGGAGTCTTGGAGGCCCTCCTAGCTTGCTCCTCAGGTTCAGGCACACCCTGATAAGGACGCTGCAGGGAGCACAGACTGTGCACCTGGGACCAACTCACAATCCATTGCCGGCTGGAGAAGGAGATCCCAGCAGAGCCGGGTCCTCATCCCTCTGCTAGGTGCGTCTTCTGGACTTAGCTGGTCTCAGCCTGCTCCTGGCTAGTAACTGCCTTTACTTGGTCCTCTCTCCCCTTTCATCTTGCTTCCTGTTGGCCCCGTATGTCACTACTCAGATCCCAAGATTCATCCTCCGGCCTGACCTCCTGGGTGCTCTCTTTATTCAGTGATTCAATTTAATATTCTGGATCCCAGTACATATGTGGCTTCACTAAAAAAAAAAAACTCAAGTTTGCCTCGATTTTCTTATTTGTGAAATGGGAATATGAGCCCTCTCATTGAGACAAGACGGAGATGAAGTCCATATGTTTCTCTGAGCAAAGGAGGCCAGGGGAAGAAGCACTGCTGTTTTGCTGTTGTTGTTTTGAAGTATGACCAAAAACAATGAGGTTGATCTTTCATACTACAATTCACCTATGCAAATTAATTTTCTCCCATTCACCTTGAAAAGCAAAACAGCAATTCAAAGATGCAACTCATTCTCAGCTGGCGTCCTGGTCAGCAAGTCTCCATCCTCCGCGAGTAGATTTGATTTTGAGACATGGTCAATTAGAGTTAGGTCTGATGAACAATCTAAGCAATCAGATAGACTACAGATGGTCTCCAGTTTATCACGGTTTAACTTATGGTTTTTTGACTTTATAGTGGTACAAAAGTGGTATGCATTTAGTAGAAACTGAACTTCAAATTTTGAAGTCTGACTTTTTCCCAGGCTAACAATATGTGGTATGATACTCAATTGTGATGCTGGGCCCCCAGCCAGGTATGCAGTCACAAGTTAAACAACCAATACTCTACAGTATACTGTGTTCAGTAAATTACATGAGATATTCAACACTTTACCATAAGACAGGATTTGTGTTAGATGACTTTGCCCAACTTTAGGCTAATGTAAGTGTTTTGAGCATGTTGTAGGCTAGGCTAAGCTATGATGTTCCATAGGTTATGTGTATTAAATTAATTTTCAAATTACAGTATTTTCAATTTACATACGTTTATCCAGATGTAACTCCATTGTAAGTTGAGGAGCGTCTGTAATCCTCTCCTCCCTCTCAATGATACAAAGTAAGCAGATGACTTTATTGTTAAATTGGTACCAAGGGTTATCTCAATGAGGAGTTCTAAAAAATACTTTGAAATAAGTGTTGCTTCCCAAGGTGACAACTTTGAAGGGAAAAGTACTTACACGACGTAGCTTTGATCTACTTGTAAATTAAGCAGAACTTTTTTGGTGGAAGTTGAGAGAAATCCAACTCAAACTAGCTTAAAGATAAAAAAATAATAATAATTTATTGGTTCAGTGACTGAAACATCCACAGCTAAATTTTGTTTCAGGCATGGTTGGACCCAGGAGCTAAAATAATGTGATCAGGACCTAGCGGTTCTTAATCTCTTAGCTGTTTCCCTGTGCTTTCTTTTCACTCTCAAACAGGCCCTCAGAGCATGATGGCCCCAGCCACTCAATCTTCAAATCCAGTGGAAAGAGAGTTCTACTTTCCCACCAATTTCAACAGAAGTTCTGCGATACAGGGGCCAGGCATGGTGGCTCACGCCTGTAATCCCAGCACTTTGGGAGGCCAAGGTGGGCGGATCACGCGGTCAGGAGATCGAGACCAGCCTGGCTAACATGGTGAAACCCCGTCTCTACTAAAAATACAAAAAAATTAGCCGGGTGTGGTGGTGGGCACCTGTAGTCCCAGCTACTTGGGAGGCTGAGGCAGGAAAATGGCATGAACCGGGGAGGCAGAGATTGCAGTGAGCTGAGATCGCACCACTGCACTCCAGCCTGGGCGACAGAGTGAGACTCTGTCTCAAAAAAAAAAAAAAAAAAAAAATCCGTGATAGAATCCCATTGGCTTGGCTGGTGCGATGCCTTTCCCTGAGCAATGACTATGGCCAAGGAGATGGAATACTCTGAGTGACCAGGACTGGGTCATTTGAAATAAGTGTTGCTTCCCAAGGTGACAACTTTGAAGGGAAATGCACTTACATGATGAAGCTTTGATCTACTTGTAAATTAAGCAGAACTTTTTTGGTGGAAGGTGAGAGAAATCCAACTCAAACTGGCTTAAAGATAAAAAAAATAAAACTTATTGGCTCCGTGACTGAAACATCCACAGTTAAATCTTGTTTCAGGCATCATATGCATTCTTGGAACCAGATTGAACATCCACAATTAAATCACGCAGGTGCACACCTATGCATTCTCAGAACCAGATTGACCCGACATGTACGAAGAGTAGGAAAGGGGTGGCTCCACAGAGGAAGAAATGAGGTTCTGGTGCCAGGGGAGAGACAAATGCATGGTTGGCAGACAAATACAACAGACATCCACTATGGCTTTTTTAAAAAATGAGTTTCATAGTTGCCACATTAAAGTGATAGAATCTTGAAAGGTTTTCTTTTAAAATTTTACTTTATTCCTGTATTACAGTTCATTAAATAAATAGAAATGTAGATGTCCCTAAAAAGCAATTTATAACTTGAGCAAAGTTAAAAAGAAAAGAAAAAAACTGTTTCATTCATTTGATGCATCTTATGATGTCCTTGGCCTGAAGCATAGGGCATTTGTCTGGAGAGGTTTTCAGGAAGTTCTAACCAATTAACATGGGTCTATTTTCACTTGTTTTCCCCCTTATGAAATATCTGATTGGCCTGTTGGGCAACACTCTGTGGTTATGGAATGGAATGGTGGTTTTCTAATTATTTTTAGAAGCAGAACTCTTTGCAAGTGCCCACCACCCCCGCCCCTCGCCGAACAACTTACCAAAGGGGTGAGAGCAGAGCTGCTCTGGTTGACCTGGGGGAAGAAACTCAGATCCCATCTGCAAAGCTTTCTTCTTCCTCTGTTATTTGCCCCTTCCTCTCAGCCTCTGATTCAGGACCAGAATCCCGCGGCTCCAGGAAATGCAATTTGAAAACCACTGGAATATAGCAAAGTAACTGGCTCTCTAGGACAAAATCTGGGGTCTTAGCCTCAGCCCCATAATTGGGAGGGGCACAGAATGAACATTTATTGAGCACTTATTGCCAGGGGCTATATCTTCTTTTTCTCATTTAATCCCCATGACAACCCCATGAGGTAGCAATTATCCCGTTTTACAGATAGGAAGATTGAGGCTCAGAATGTCACACAGCTGGCAAGTCACAGAGCTGGTTTGGAAGCCAGGTCTTTCTCATTCAAACCCACCCCATACCTCCTTAAATATTCACCAAGTTTCTACTGTATCCCAGGTCCTGCGCTAGGTGTTTTAGTATGGACTATTTCATTTGATCCCTACAAAACCCTGTGAGGGAAAGAATCCAGACACCAAAGAGCACACATTATATGATTTCACGCAAATTTCAAAAATACATCAACCTAATCAGAAATAATGGTTACCAGCCGGGTGCAGCGGCTCATGCCTGTAGTCCCAGAACTTTGGGAGGCCGAGGTGGATGGATCACCTGAGTTCAGGAGTTCGAGACCAGCCTGGTCAATGTGGTGAAACTCCGTCTCTACTAAAAATGCAAAAATTAGCCAGACGAGGTGGCAGCTGCCTGTAATCCCAGCTACTCAGGAGGCTAAGGCAAGAGAATCGCTTGAAGTGGGGAGGCAGAGGTTGCAGTGAGTCAAGATCATGCCATTGCATTCTAGCCTGGGCAACAAGAGCGAAATTCCATCTCAAAAAAAAAAAAAAAAGAAAAGAAAAAAGAAAGAAATAGTGGTTACCCTTGGTGGGGCGGGGCTGGGTTGGGGGTGGTACTGACCAGGAGGGAGCCAGAGGAAGCCCTGTGGCATGCTGGCAATGTCTGTGGCTTGGTCTGGGTGATGGTTCTGCAGGTGCATACATATGCAAAAATTCAGCGAGCTGTACACTTATGATTTGTGTGATTTATTATGTGAAGTTATGTCTTTATTTATCTTTATTTTTAAATCCTACTATTAATATTTTTAGGTCAGGTGTAGTGGCTCCGCCTATAATCCCAGCACTTTGGGAGGCTGATGCAGGCAGATCACCTGAGGTCAGGAGTTCGAGACCAGCCTGGCCAACACGGTGAAACCCCGTCTCTACTAAAAATACAAAAATTAGCCAGGCATAATGACGCACGCCTGTAGTTCCAGCTACTGGGGAGGCTGAGGCAGGAGAATTGCTTGAACTTGGGAGGTGGTGGTTGCAGTGAGCCGAGATCATGCCACTGCCCTGCAGCCTGGGTGACAAAGCAAGACTCCATCTCAAAAAAAATTTTTTTTTAAGTTTTTCATTGTAAACATGAGAAGATGATGGTTCAGGAAGGTAATCCAGGATCATGCTGTCAGGACTGGAACGTGCTGGGGAGTGTGTGATGTGGTCTCCTGGCATGTGGGCCCATCTGGGGCATTTTCAGTGATGTGTGAGTGGGAGCAGGAATGTCCAGGATTGTCAGCCAGAAAGACCTGTGTGCTGCTCGAGATGGTGATGTTCACTTCAGACACTCTGGGCATCTTCATCCCAGCCCTCCCCTCGCTGTAGCCCCATCCTCTTCTCCTCTCTTTAACTTTGATTTGATGGCTCCTTGGCTCTCTCTAATGCTTCGTTCTAATGCTTTGTGATGGCTACAAAGGCCCTTCCTGGGGATGGGGACGGAGTGCTGGGCAAGGCATGGGTTCAGAGCCAGGAAAGGCATAAGAAGAGAGATTGTGAGTAGGTGAGGGAAGTGGAGCTGGGCCCTCCCAAATGCAAACAGGGCCACTTTGTCCCCTGCCAGAAGGCCTGTCCTTTATGTTCAGAGCTTCCTGGGACAATCCCTATGTTCCCCAGACAGCCCTCCAGGGAACACTTCCATTTAAACCTTGCCTGGGTCCTTTGCCTTTTCCCCTACACTATAAAAGTGGTTTCTATTTTTAGGTCCCATTGTGAGGGAGACCCTGGGATTCAGGCCAGGGATCCAGGGAGTTGGGAAACCACACTCCCAGGGGCCAGATCAGCAGCAGAACTGAGTGGATTAAATGGCAGCAGCCTTGGCACCAACTGGGTGTAAATCTCTAAGCCTGATGATGAATCACTGTGAGGCCTTGAGCAAGCCCCTGGCTCCACAAACTTGTAGGCACTGGGTGAGGGTCATGTTTAGAGGGAGAGGCCTGCCTCCCTCCAGCACCTGCCACCCCTGATCCATCCCTATGAAGCTTTAGGAACACTCAGCCCAAACCCAAATCAGGGCAAATCACTCTTCCTCTTAAAACTCTTCAATGTCCCTTTACATCTTGTAGCAAAGGGGAGGCATCAGTGAGTTTTAAGCAAGGAATGAGTACCGTAATAGAGCTGGCATTTGAGCCAAGCCTCAAAGGACGAGTAGGATTTCAGGAAGTGAGCAGAGAGCTCGCTGAGAGGACTCGTGAGATAGAAAGTTGGAATGACTGAGCAGCATAGGTTCCCAGAGCCAGGACCAGGCTAGAATGTTTGGGCTTCACGTACGGCACTGGCAACTAGTGATGATTCCTGAACAAAAGATAACCTGGCCGTGGAGTTTTTAGAAAAAAAAAAAACACACAAACTACCCCATGTAGGATTATCCAGAGAGATAAGAGGCTAGTGGCAGCAAGACTTATTCATTCCACAAGCACTTACGGAGCACCTGCTGTGTGCCAGGCACTGTGCTGGGCTCTGAGGAAGCAGTGGCGAAGATGGTATGGATCTAGGCTTTCTGAACTTCATTCTCAACAGAAAGAAAAACTACTGAACAGGAAATTACTAATGAGATGAGTGATATGAAGGGGCAGTGTCATATGTAATAGAGGTACTTATCAGGGAAATTTTATCCAGTCCTGGGGTTTGCAGGAGGCTTGAACCCAAGGGCCTGTGTGAAAGCCCACCTATGGTTTTAGAGGTCACTCTGGCTACAGGAGAATGGAAGGTGGTGGGGTGCAGGGTAGCCCTATAGGAGGACATTGCAATACTGGGAGAAAAGCGATGAAGGCCTGAACTAGGCCAGCTATGGGCAAGAGTGGCTGGATTCTAGGGCCCTGGGGGAGACAGAATCTGCAGGACCCTGTGGGGAGGGAGAGGAAAGAGTCAGGGAGGACTCCAGGGTCCCTGGCTTGGAGATGACTACAATAGAACAGTGAAAGCCTCTGTTTCCTTTAGTCCCATCTGAACACCCAAACATGCGTTTCGAGTTTTGCTCTTTAACTGGATCATAAACAACTTGAAGCAAAATACCAGGTCTCACTTTACCTTGGACAGCGCCAGTCCCAAGACCTTCCAGCTAAGAGATGCTCAGTAAATGAATGAATGACAGCTATTGAAGAAATATTTGCATTGATCCCAATGGCAGCCAGTCATAGCCAGACTTGCTTTCCCTCCTCTCGCGGCCCTCTGCTCCCTCTGCCCTGCCCCACTACTGTGACAGGCTGAGCTCAGGGGCAGCAGGCAGAAGTGGCTTGTGGGCACAGTGCCACCTGGAATACTTAAAACATGAACTGCGAGTCAAGTGGCCCCTCTCACAGTTAATCGATGGCAGCATATCCTGATCGCTTTCATTATTATTATTTTCTTATGCATGTGTGATCGGGAGATTTATTGTTGAGGCTACAGAGGCAAAATCAATTATTCATGTTATAAATTAGAAAATGATTTATGTCTACAGGAGACGGGGCCTCAACGAGCCGAGCCCATTACAGATAAGCTTTGCTGAAAGGACCAAGATTTATCTGTAAACTTCACAAATTGCTGCTCGCCATTCCAGCCCTGTTCCCAACCCCTCCCCCCAGGGCACCCATCCCTCTTCCTGAGTCATTCTGTCTTTTTCTCTCATCCACCATCCCCTTGACTCCTGTTTCCTCTTTCCAATTCCCACTGACTTCTCTTTGTTCTTTTTTCCTGTTTTTTTACGTCTGACAAATGCCCCCATTGCTTGCTCGTATCTCTTTTCTGGGGGGAAGACACTCTTGGAACTTCTAAATAAACTTTCTGGTCCCTGGGCATAGCCTGCCCTGTACAGGGAAGAGTTAGGTAACAGATTGGGGGAGAATTCCTCTTGGTTCAGTTCATCTGCAAACCTGTTGAGAGGATGATGGACTGAGTCACATTTCTCAGAGCAGCTGACCCCAGCCTCAGGCAAGACAGCCATTATCCAGCACCTGCATTCTGTCTTTTGGGCTCTTCCCAGAGAACGTGGTAATGAGAAGCAATGTGATAATGTGGAAAGCCCTCGGGTTTTGGAGTCAAAGAGACAGGAAGCTGAATCCTAGCTGTACTGCCAATGGTGTGACCTTGGGCAAGTCACTGGTGCTCTCTGGGCCTCAGGTTCTACATCTGCAAAATGGGTTTTCAGCATCAGCTCTAGCTCATGGGACTGTGGAAGGGCTAAAGGAATAACAAGGATGACAGCTCCAGTGCTGTGCCCAGCACACAGGCAGTGCCCCGACATGTTAATTTTATTTGGGTGGGCATGAGATTGCAAGTGGAATGTTCCTCTTCCTGTCTGTCACTCCTCTCCTCTGCAGAACAACACAGCTGCCCTGGACATTAAGGAGAACGCAAGCTGGGATCTGAGGATAAGGGAGAAGTATGTCCCAATGATGGCCACTTCCAGTGAAGGTACCATGGGCAAAGGGGAAAGGGAACCACTCAAGGAGTCAGAAAACCAAGGTTACAGACCTGCCTCCCTTAAGAAGCTGTGACCAGGGCAAATCCAGAGCAAGACTAGGGCAAGACACAGCCAAACCATATCAATGGCCATAATCAAAAAACACTAGATGTTGGCATGAATGCGCTGATCAGGGAACACCTCTACACTGCTGGCGGGAATGTAAACTAGTACAGCCACTGTGGAAAACAGTGTGGAGATTCCTTAAAGAACTAAAAGTAGATCTGCCATTTCATCCAGCAATCCCACTACTGAGTATCTACCCAGAGGAAAATAAGCCATTATTTGAAAAAGATACTTACACACGCATGTTTATAGCAGCAAAATTCACAATTGCAAAATCATGGAACCAACCTAAATGCCCACCAATCAATGAGTGGATAAAGAAACTGTGGCATATTTATATGATGGAATACTACTCAGCCATAAAAATGAATGAATTAACAGCATTTGCAGCTACCTGGATGAGACTGGAGACTATTATTCTAAGTGAAGTAGCTCAGGAATGGAAAACCAAACATGGTACATTCTCACTGATACGTGAGAGCTAAGCTATGAGGACCCAAAGGTGTAAGAATGATATGGTGGACTTTGGGGACTTGGGGGGAAGACTGGGAGGGCGGCAAGGGGTAAAAGACTACAAATATGACGTAATGTATATTGCTCGGGTGATGGGTGCACCAAAATCTCACCAATCACCACTAAAGAACTTACTCATGTAAGAACTTACTCATGACCTAACCATCTCCCAAAGGTCCCACCTCCAAATACCCTCACAAATACCACCTGTACCCCAGTAACCAAATGTAACCAAATGCCACCTGTACCCCAATAACTTATGGAAAAAAAAAGAACCTGTGACCATGGCAAGTCACTTTCCTCTCTGAGTCTCATTTTCCCCTCCTGTCGAATGGGGGTGATAACACTTGCCCTGCCTACCTCATAGGTTCTTGTATCCAAGGAAAAGAGGACAATCTTAATAACAATCACTGCTTCCTATAGCACTTCTTACTGGATATTGGTATAGGAGTAAATTGGCAAAAAAAAAAAAAAAAAAAGATTTTGGTCAGTTGGAGGGCAACTGCAATGGAAGTCCACTTAAGAAGAATCAGCCTTGGCCGGGCGTGGTGGCTCACGTCTGTAATCCCAGCACTTTGGGAGGCCGAGGCGGGTGGATCACGAGGTTAGGAGATCCAGACCGTCCTGGCTAAGAGGTGAAACCCCGTCTCTATTAAAAATACAAAAAATTAGCCGGGCGTGGTGGCGGGCTCCTGTAGTCCCAGCTACTCGGGAGGCTGAGGCAGGAGAATGGCATGAACCCGGAAGGCGGAGCTTGCAGTGAGCAGAAATCGTGCCACTGCACTCCAGCCTGGGTGACAGAGCAAGACTCCGTCTCAAAACAAAAAAAAAAAAAAAAAAAGAAGAACCAGCCTCTTTAACAATTGAGTAAATGCCCCTAGAATTCCCTGAAATGGCCCCAAAGCCTTCTGTGGCTTCTTCACACTTCACCAGGGGCTGTGACGGCCCTGCCAGCCCAGTGATGCCTGTGTCCTGGACCCACAGACTCACAGCTCTGAGGCCAATGTGATAGCACAGGGCACTCTTGTGTCTGACTTGGTGCTGTGGTGGGAAACGCTGACCCTGGAGAGGTGGGTCCTTAACAAAGTGTCTGCTACATGCCAGGCACAGGGGATGCTAGTGAGCAAACCAAGCTCAGAGGCTGATGCTTGGGGAGCCTACAGCCTAGTCGAGGAGACAGATATGAAACATACATGTAAATTGCAAGCCGAGAAGATCCTATGGTAAAGAAGTACAGGAAGCTGTGAGATCCAGGCAGGGGACTGGCTGAAGCCTGGGGAGTCAGGTCAGTCTCCCATGAGGAAGTGAGTCAAGGCCAAGACCTAAAAGACCAAAGAACGAGTAAGGTTTGAATGTTTGTGTCTCCCCAGGAGTCATATGTTGAAACCTAAGGCCTAGTTGAGGGTATTTGGAGGTGGAACCTTTGGGAGGTGGTTAGGTCATGAGGGCAGGGCCCCCATCAATGGGATTAGTGCTGTTATAAAAGGATCTCCAGAGAGCTTCTTCACCCCTTCCACCTCCTGAAGAGACAGCAAGATGGCACCATCTGTGAACCAGGAAGCAACCCTTAGACACCAAATCTACCAGCCCCCTGATCTTGAACTTCCCACCTCCAGAACTGTGAGAAATAAATTTCTGTTGTTTACAAGCCCCTCATTCTGTGATGTTGTATTATAGCAGCCTGAGTGACTAAAGCAGGGTTGTAGGGAAAGGGACAGACAGGGTAGGCTGTGTGAATCCCCTGCAGGGAAGAGCAGAGGAGTTCAGGGACCATAGTAGGCCAGTGTGGCTGGGTACAGAAAGCCAGGGGGTTGTGATTTGAGGTGAGGTGGCAGGCAGGCATGGGTCAGCTTTTGGAGAGAATCCAAAACTGCCTTCAGCTCCATGCCTGAGAACCCACCTGCTTTTTGACGATTGCCTCACTGAAGCCCAGGAGCCTGATCTTAGGGGCATAGCCCTGGCCTGGGAGATAGCCACATCCTCTTCCAAGGGGCTGGAACCCAGATATCTGCTGGGTCTCCTTCACGGGATCTAATGTTGAAGGACAGAGCTCCCTCCCCTTCTCCCTGGAAGATCACGGGAGACCGAGACCAGATCCCAGGTTCCCTGAGTTCCATGAAGCCCACTCAGCACTGCATCCGGAACTCTTTCTCTATTTCCATGGGAGTCTGCCTTCTTGGAGCCCAAGGCCTATAAGTAAGCTTTCCCAGCCCTCCCTGCACCCCATGGCTCATTCCTGAAGTCCTGACACTTGCTCTTTCAGCTGTTGGGAACCCTGTGAACTCCTCCTGTCCCTGTCCCCATGAGACAGTCTCTAAGCCCCCTGTCTCCTCCAGGCAAGAGCCACATCATCCAGAGTCCACTTCTAGTGCCTCTCGGAACACACAGATTTTATGATGTCTCCCCTACTGCTGACCAAGAACCCTCAGACTTGCCCCAGCACCAACCCAGCATTCTCACTGGACAAAACCACTAGATTCAACTTTACTTCTTTCTGATTCTTCAGAGACTGAAGTGTCAGATATTTCCCTCAGAAATCCCACCTACGTTAAATCTTAGATGAGATGAACCCATTTTCCTCTTAAAACTTCCCATTGGCCATGACTGTGACAAGGTTCAAAGTCATTAACCTGGCAGAGAAGGCCCTGGAAATGGGGCTCCAGCTTCCCCCCATGTCCCCTGCCTTGCTTGTCCTCCAGCAGGACCTGCTGCCACACACTGTCCCACTTTCAAGCCTTTCCCACACCTCTCCCTCACCGTCAGAACACTGCTTGTGCATCATTGCCCCCATGACTGCTCTGCAGAGAAAGGGAAAACACAGCGTAGCAGAGACAGCCCTGGGCTCGAATCTCTGCTTCTCTACTTAGTAGCTGTGTAACCTCACTCAAGACAACCTCTCAGAGCCTCAATCTCTCCATATCTTAGATGAGGGTAGCACCATTTCTTTCCTAGTAGTTGTGGAATCTACCTATTTGGGCAATGAGCCAAGGCTTGAGGTTGAAACCAGCTAAGGTGATGGGTAAGGTGAATCCAGGCAAGGAGGCAGGGAACAGCACTTCAGAATGTGGTCCAGGCCCTGCAAGGACCATGAAGCTCGCACCAGAACAGGGTCTCATTACTAACGTGACATGGATTAAACATACCAGATGAGAGGATGCCTGTGAAAATGTATCATAACTGTTAGACTGCTGTACATATCACGGCCATCCTTATCTCTGGGTTATCAAGGGAGGAAATTAGGGGCTTTGGAGAAAGAGAATGTGGCAGACACAGACTCACAGAAGGAGCCAGCAGATGCCCCGGGGACACCAACTTGCTTGGATCAGGATAGGAGCTTCGACTCCTGCTAGAGAGGAGAGGGCAGGAGGTTGATGAACTAGCTTGGCAATGCTTGGTTACCTTGTCCTGCCAATAAAGTCACCAGGATTGAAAAATGGAACCGACTCCCTCCCTTGCCCTTGTCCTCGGGTGTTCTATGTGTCTGAGCTCTGTCCTTTTTGCTGCCAAATTACCTTTGCCTCCCCTCTCTCTGAAAAGCTGGTGGTGAATGATCCCCCTACGTCGGTAACACAGTTATGCCTCGATGTATTAAGGATGTGGATGGGGCTGGAACTGAAGGTGTCTGGATGCACAGAGGAGGAGAGATGGGTCTGAGGGGAAGGGGCCCATCTGGTGGAGAGTCATCCCTGGGGAGAGACAACCTATGACTCTTTGTTTAAAAACTAAAGGGAGTCAGTCTAATGTGTTCATTAGCCCAGGTTCAGAATCAGGTCAGCCTGGAGTCAGATATGAGTTCTGCTACCGAGTAGCTGTGTGACCTTGGGCAAGTTAATCTAATCTCTCTGAGCCTTAGTGTACCATTCTGAAACTTGGGGAAACAATATCCGCCTTACAGAGTTATTGTAAGGATTAAATTAAGTGGCTTGTTTACCACAGTGCTGGCATTTTAGTAACTGCTCAGTAAGTAGTAGCCATGACTATTCTTACTCCTATTATTATTGTCCTCCCTGATGAACCCTCCTGCTTTCTCTCAGAGCCGTGAGAGAAGGCCACTAATCAAAGATAAGCAAACTGGGACAAAGAAGGTAAGATTGGCATTAGCAAGATAATTATGACTAAGAGGAAAATGGGCCTGTGTGAGGAGCAGACTTTGCCCAACAACTTGAGAGCCCCCTCAAATCCCCTTTGGGAGGCCATTCATGAGGGGACTGGGCATAGGACGAGAACAGTGGCAAGATTCATCCTGCCCACCCTCTGTGGTGCGGGCATGGCTTGCAAAGACTCTGACAGGCTAAGTGTGACTGGAACTGGGTCTGAGATTTTCCTCTTTAATAGATCTCTAAGCTTCTGTGCAAAAGAAAACCTAGTACCAACATAATCAGTGCCTAAGTAAATTTTGTTGAATGGAAGGAAGGGTGATAGGGAGAAAGAGAGGGAAGAGGAAGGGAGTAGGGCAGGAAAAGGGAGGCAGCCGCTCAGGGAGGCAGCCAGTGGGAGCAGCGTGAGGTCTGGGCTCTGTACCTGGTCAGTACCTGCCAGGTAGGCAAGCTGCAACTGGCCAGCCTCACTGCTGCAGCTTGGCTGTATGTGTTACAGTCTGCTCAGCCCCTGTGCTGCTCGGGGGCCTACAGCTGTCCCACAACCCAGCTGTGCAGATTCTGGCAAGCCCCACAGCCCCCTCACCTCCAGCCCCAGGCCCCAGGCAGGGCAGCATAGGTAGGAGCTAAGAACTCCCAGGCTGCTTACTGCCTCCCTCCTCCTCTAACCCCACGTGTCTTTTCAGCTGCCATCCCAGCTCCTTTCCTTGCTTCACTGCCCAAGCAGCTCATCAGCGCACTGTCCCTCAGGCTCCGGAGCCTTCCACGCCTTTGCAGTGTTGGCCTGCTTCATCTTCTCAAACAGCTGCGCTGTCCGAAGCCTCCCACACTTGCCTGCTGCTTATAACTGCCTCTTCCCTTGCCTCTCCCTAGGGCTGACACCCACTACCCACCATCACCAAGAGTAGCTTCTCCTGTCCTCTGGACATGGCACCACTTAGTTTTGAGTTAAATCAGAGCTTCTGTCCTATGTGAGCACTTGGACACCAAGGGTCGTGCTAGAAGATCCCTCCCCACAAGCCTCCACACCCAAGCCACCTCCAAATTTAATTATGTCCTTGGCCTAGAATATTCTCCATGCCTAATGCCACCCTCTGTCATTCTCCTCCTGCCAAAGCCTGTAGATGATGCTTCTGTAAGCCCCTAAATTTTGCTTACCTCTTCCAACACAGATTGCCCACAGGGCCCAGCTTAAACATCACCTCCTCCATGAGGACCTCAGAGAGCCTGGCCATCAGAATTACTCACCAGCACGATGCGTTAACACTGTTTTATGTCACAGGCTTCCTGCACGAGTCAGTTGTGTGTCTGCCTCCCCACGCCTACTCTAATTTTATGAACAGAGACCCTCTCCTATTCATCTCTACATCTTTGGCACCTAGACTATTGACTGTAACATGGAAGGTACTAAAATAGTGTTTATCAAGTTGACTAAATGGTGGGCACTTATGGTTTGGCTAGGTTACCACGCACTCGGCTCCTTTAGAAGATGAAAAACTGTGTTGTGGAGAAGGACAGCATTTCAGGTTCACAATCCCTCAGGGATGGAAAAATGACCTGGCAGTTTTCCTCTCCAGCCCTGCACCCTCCAGGGCACATGGAGAACGGCCCTGTATGTGCAATTACCACTGCTCATTGTACCTCCATATTGCCAGTGTCTTCTCCCAGCAGTACTCATTTCTGGTGTGGAGTCAATTTATCTTCTACTAAGACCTCTGGATCTTTTTCATCCATATGCATATACAGCCACTGAGCATCTCCCGCCCCCAACTCTATACACACACGAACACACACCTTTTAATTCATATAGTTTATTTTTCCTTCTTTGGAGAAAAACATAGCTTTGACCCACCTTCTTGTATAATTACTAAGAAATAATTTGTTCTAGCGTTCATCTTTTTTCCTTTCCTGATTTCCTTTTCCTTGTCAGTGACACCTTCAGGTTAAAAACCTCAGGCATTTTTGCTGCTTCTAATTCACTCCTTCCCCATAGCCGGTCAATCAGTTCCTTCTTGAGGATGTTTCTGGATTCACCCCTTCTTTTCCATTTTTAAAGTTGCACTGTTATGATCTAGGTTCTTCTTACTTCATACCCAAGGGACAGCTCCTATGGAACGCTAGAGGAAGAAAGGACATTAAAAGAAATCATAGCCCAAACTTTGTGCTTTAAAGATGGGGAAACTGAGGCTTGAGTGAACTGAGGCACCCAGAGAGAGTGGACACCCCACGAGGGCAGAGTCCATGTCTGCCATATGCAATTCTATCCCCAGCATTTGGCAAAGTGGCACACAGCGTCATACTCAATATGCACAGGGCTCAATTGACAGAGCAGGTTCATGGCTGGGGCTTCTGACTCCTGGTCCAGGGATCTTTCCACCTGCCAGCACAGTGCCTGCCTGGCTCATCTCCCAGCCACCAGCCCATCCCTTTGCAATCTAAACTATGCTTCAACATCCAACAGATGCTTCCTTTGACAGGCTAATCTCCTGCCTCAGAACTTAAAATGGATTCTTATTCATTTCCTGGTAATGAAACATACTTCCCCTTCTTTCTCAAATTATATGGACATTAACTTTTTTTCAAAAAATGACTGAATAGTATATATTATTGAGGGTGATGGGAAGAAGAGAATGGGTTTTGACATCCTGAATTCATGAAAACCCAGATCTGATCTCCTGGCAATAGAATTCCTTGCTGGGAAATGAGGAACCACTTGAATTGGCCTGATGGGGATGAGAAGGGAGGTATAGAAGAGGGTGCGGGGCCAGGCAGTAGAGAGTAGAGGACTCAGAACAGACAGAACCTTAGCCTTGTCTGGGGAAGCAGGGGTCAAGGGTCAGGATCTACCCCACACTTAGTAAGCTCTGTCCAGGGATGCATCAAGAAGGGAGGTTAGGGTGTGCTCAGCCTTCGGAGTAGAAACCAGGTTTCTATTCACACAGATTGGTGTCTCCCTGCATTCTTTCCTGTCTCAGGGTCTGGAGCTCTGGGGCTGAAGGGAAGACTATCTCCAAGCATCCTGGTGTCTTTAGTGGAACATCCAAGACCGGGCCTACCCCTCAGTATTCATTTTCTAGGGATGTCATAACAAAGCATCAACAGAAATCTATTTTCTTTCAGTCCTGGAGGTCAGAAGCCTGTGGCCAAGGTGTTGGAAGAGCTGGTCTCTCCTGAGGTCTCTTTCTTTAGCTTGCAGATGGCCATCTCCTGCCAGTTTCTTCACATGGTCTTCCCTCTATACTTGTCTGTTTCCAAACTTCCTCTTCTCATAAGGACACCAGTTTAACTGGATTAAGATTCACCCTAATTACCTCATTTTAACTTTATTATCTCTTTAAAAATGCTGCTCCAAAGACAGTCATATTATGAGGTACGGTGCTTAGGATTTCAACATATGAATTTGTAGGGTGGGGCAGGGGGACACAATTCAGCCCATAACACCCTTTCAGAGGACAGAGTCCAGGGTGGTATGGACACAGGATAGAGGCTGCAGAGGATATCCTACCTGGTTTCTCCTTGACATACATCCATGGACAGAGAAGACTTGGAAGTGAATGGCAATTGATGAATGCCCATGGGTTTAGGAGTTTCCAGCTCAAGAGTTTTAGAGGGTACTGCTTCTGGGAGTGTCTTCATCACTGTCCTTGGAAAGGCAAACCCAGCCTAGATGGACTCTGAGCAGCAGAGAGCACTCAAAGCATGATGGTTGAGGGCCAGAGAAGCAGTTCACTCAGGAGGACCAAGATGGTGGGAAGCAGAGCAAGACACCAAAACTGAACACCCTGGCAACAGAGGTGCAGTAGTAGATTGATTGAGCTCATGGCTCCAGTTAATAGTTTCACTGAATTATGTCCTTTATCCTATAATTTTCTTGTTCTGCCCATTCTGATTCTAGACTTGGCTATGTAATTTGCTTTGCTATGACATGTTAGCAAACATGTTTAGAAGCAGAAACTTGAAAAGCTGGTATGTTTCCATTCCTTGCACAGTTGAGCTTGTTTGTCATGCCCCGCTGCTGTGCCATGAGAATATGCCTGGCCTAGCCTGCTGGACCCTTGGTAAAGGACTGAGTCATCTCATTTATTCCAGTCATCCAAGCCATCCAGTAAAGGCTTCCTAGATCAGCCAACAGCAAGCCAACCTCCCCATGAATGTGAAATAGTCCAGCCATTATAGGAAACTCTCCCAGTTGAGTTCAGTCTCAATAACTGACCCACAGCAAGCTAAATAAATGGGTATTGGTTTAAGCCTCTGAGCACTGGGGCAGTTTGTTAGACAGCATTATTGTGGCAATAGAAAACTAATGTAAGATACAATGCAAGACACGAAGAATTCAAGTACTAGACCATACTCAATGTGATCCAAAGACTCTGGGATCTGATGGAGTCTGAGAGCCTAAGACCCTGGAAAATCAGACTGGTAGAGTAATGCAGGCCAAAGCCACAGCAAGACTCAAACCCTGATGTCAAGGCAGATTCCTCCTTAGCTTGAATCTCTAACCCTCCCTAAGTCCTGCCTTTTACCCTGGCTTCAGCCAAGGTTATTTGTGTACTCACACTAGATTTTACATCTCAGTTTATCCATCACTGTTTCTCCCCTTCTCCCCATCTTCCATGAGTGCCAGAAAGACACACTGCACTGAGAGCCAGAAGCCTAGGGTCTAGTCCCAGCTCTGCCAATACTAAGAGTGACTTTGGTCAGCTCACCCCCCATCACTGATATTCACTCTCATTGTCTGTAAAGTGAGCATGGGACCAGATGATATCTAGGGTCCCTCCAGACCCTAAATGTGACCCCAGACCTTTTGTTCCTTATAGGTACCGTGCCTTCACCCTCCACACTCCAATTGTTTTCCTTGCCTTCTAGACTGTATGCAGTTTGTTCCAGCTACCTGGGGAATAGAGCATTAAAAACCTATGCATTTCTGTTGTCATCCATTATCAGCTTTCCTTCATCATCTATTAGGAAGAAACGTTCCCCCTTATCTTTCTCTTGTTCCCAGTGTATTTTAAAGAATGTTTTTCCATTCCCTTTTATGTGTTTTGCAGGTTACATCTCATTTCTTTCTTTGATTTTTCTCTTCTCGTGCCTATAAATTCTGGCTATTTCTTTGTTCTCTTCTTGCGCAACTTAGCCAAGCTTCCTGTTTTTGTCTTTCCAACTGGCAGATCTGTTCCCTCTGCAGCTTTTTGTCTGGCCAATGAGACTTCTCATTCTCACTTTTCCAATCTTGTTCACGTTGGAGTTTTTTTTATAGGACTTTAATTAATTCAGTGTGCTGGAGAGCGGATTGATAGCCACGGCTCTGCAACTTGACCAACTCCGTGACCTTGGAGAGGTCACTTAGCATCTCAGAGCCTCAGTTTCTTTACCTGTAAAATAGGGAAGTAACACTTGCCTGCTACCTGCCAGAGTTGTTATGAAGCTCTGAGGAGAAGATGGTCAGACAGCCTGTGCTGAACTGCAGAGAATAGAGAGGTTATTGCTTTTGTGGATATGCTTATAAAGGTGAGCTCTGCAGGTAAAACCAGGGACCAGAACTGCTTCTGTCCCCAAAAGTTCACTGAGCAGGGCTGCTCAACTTTCCAATGAGCTGCTTCTCACAGCCTCCCCACTTCCCTCTCCAAAGATAAAAGCCATCCAGGGAGCCCCTGACCTAACTGGCTGGGGCTCTGCATTTCTACACAGGGGGCCAGGGTATTTACCACCTTTGTTTCTCCAGCTGGATTCCCCACTGTCTTTCTTCTGGTTTTTTAGGGAGCTCCTCCCTCACTTTGGGGATGTGGTCAGAGCTCTCATTCTTGTTCCCTGTATGCTCTTTTGTCTCCACAGGTGAGGCCATACCACTCAGGCTGATCAATCAAAGTACATGCACAGGACCTAGGCAGAGCCACTCAGAATCTCCACTGTGACTGATGCATGGAAATTGGAAGGGAGATGGTACCTTTCTGTTTGTGTTGCAAATCAGGGATGGTGGGATTCTGGGTCTCATGGCAGCCACCTTGTCTCACATGATGGGAACTGATCTTCAGAAAAGCAAATTGGAGAACAAGGACTGGGGAAAGGGACAGAGTCATGATGACAGCATATAACACTCCCTCCACACACACACATACACAAATTCAGCATCTCTGAAGCTAGATCTATACCCAGACTTTTTAATCTTATGAACTAATAGCCTTTCATTTATTAGGCTTATTTGAGTTGAGGAAACTATTATCCTACTGAAAGATCTCTGACTAATGCACCTCACACATTTCACATAGCTCTGGAGTCTCTTCACTCCCTCTTACCCCAAGCTAGTGCTGTCCCAAGGCCAAGATGGTAAGAAGACACTCTGAGGATGAAAAGGAGCAAAGGAACTGACCTTTCTCTCTACAAGCTCCATAAGCAAACTGTAAAGACTAGTATGTTTCTTTCTCCCATAGTCCCCTAATGGGGAATTATAATGATATAGGAAGAATCCAGGCTTTGAAGGAACACAGGCATGGTCTCTATCTTGTTCCACTACTTACAAGCCATGTGATTCTGAACTCATACTCTCTCTGTGTCCCTGTCTTATGGAGCTATTTAGAAATAATGTATGTACAGAGCCTGGTTTATAGTAGGAACTCAATAAATTATATCTATTATGATGTTTCCTAATCTTTCTAAATACAACTTTTTAAACTTAAATAGTCTTTCTTTTGTGTTTCCTTTCCTGTTTTTCTTGGAAACCTGTGTTGTAGTAGTTTCTGGTCATTTCCTTTAAGGTTATCTTCAACTTTAAAATACTCAAAGACTGCTTCTTCCCTATTATATCTAGATGCTGCCTGCATGTAATGGGCCCTCAGAGAATGTTTGTGGGATGAGTGAATTGATGGACACTGAATTGGAAACTACATTGCATTCACCTCATTACAGCTCTACCTTCAGCACCACGGAGCTGTCCACAGCACTCTCTGGAACTGGAGAGTACGGTCAGAATTTCAACTTAAATATGGATTGTCTGCAGACTTAAAAAAAAATTTCAAGAGTATTTTCTGATTGCTCTAACCTAGAAGTAGGCTCTTTTCATATGTTTTATTTATTCCTCACTCATTTATTGTTTCATCAACAAAACTTTATGCAACTTTATGCTAAGAATATATCGATTGTCCTCAAAGAGTCTATAGATTTCCAAAAGTAAAACTAAAATTAAAGATCCCAGCACATTTCTAGGTACATAGTGACCACCGCATGGAAACAGAAACACATGATATTAAAGGTGGAAAAACCATTATAAATAATTAAACACCACACTCAGCACCTCATTCCACCTTCCCCACAGTATATTTATTTATACATGCAGAAACTGATACCTTGTGCCTTTCTCAAAGCCATACCTCTAATTTGTTAATTTTCACTTTATCTTATTTTTATTTTTTATTTTTAAATCAACAAATAATAATCGTATTTATTCATGGGGTATGTAGTGAGATTTCATTATACATAATGTGTCGTGAGCAGATCAGGGTAATTAGCATATCCATCATCTCAAACACTTATCATTTCTTTGTATTGGCAATGTTCAAAATCCTCCTTCTAACTATTCAAAACTTTATAATATATTATTTCTAACTATAGTCATTCTATAGTGGTATGGAACATTAGACGTATTTCTCCTATCTAGTTGTAATTGTGTATCCTTTAACAAATTTCTCCCTATCCCCCACACTCCTGTTATTTGTTTTTTAACAAATTCCATGTGCCTATATTCAGTATTAAAAAATTTCTGTCCTTGGAGTTCTGAAAGTGGATAAAAGTCCTTTCTGATTTTCCCTTTCATCAAGAGCCCCCTGCACCTCTTCCATGGATCTACATGCTCCTTCTCCTCCATCTTCTCCTGAGATGGCCTGTGGCTGGGTTCAAGGCCATGCCACCATCCCTTTCTCCTTTTCATATATTCCTTGCTCTCCTGGTCTCTCAGATTCGACTGGCTGCAGAACTGACTCAGAATTTCAATCATATACATCACATGGTAGTCACCAGCTCCAGGAACCCCTCTGGGGTGGACATTTTACAGATTGCCTCTGAGAAGTCAGGATTCTCCTGCCAGAATATTCTGTCCTCCTCCCCATCACCTTTGGATATAGAATGTATTCACCATTCTCCTCCTCCTTGCTTAGAACAGAATAACACCTCCATCCTCCTATAGTTCATGCCATCCAGTGGGGGATGTTATTCAGATATGAGACTTTTATCTGACCCTCAGAAAGGGAGACAGGAATTACCTGGCAGGGTCAAACAAATGGGAATCCCAGTCATATTTTCAAGACTGCCTCTTACACATAGAAACCACCCATTATTCTTCACTCAAGCACCCCCAGGCTTGTATGGCTAGAACCCTCTCCTTTTAATAAATACATCAGCCCACATTCCTCTGTCCATTTTTGGCAAAGGCTTCCTGAAGGAGGGCTATGCTTGGAGAAGAAGGGAAGTATGTGTATGTTTGTTAGTTAGCTTATCGCTTGCTGTCTCCTCCTCCAGACCATAAACTCCATGACGACAGAAGCTAAGCCTGTTTTGCTCACATTGTTTACTCGGCACCTGACACATAGCAAGTGTTCATTTAATACATGTTGAATGAAGACATACACAAAAAACAAAGAAGAGAGAAACCAGAAAGGCAGGCAGAGGAGAGGCATTTTCCAGCTCTTATGCCTCTGTCTTGTAGCTAATGCAATGGGATGGATGAGAGGGCAGCCTCTCCCTGGAGACTTGTTCGAGGGGCTCACATGCTCCCCCCAAAACCCAAAGGCCAGGGTTGCTCCCTGTGATTTCTGATCCAAGGCTGACATTAGTCCTCAAGGAAGACACAATGGACAGCTGACTCTCTCTCCTTATCTTTGTCCAATCATCTGTAACTGTGACAGATGGTGGCCAGGGAAAGCAGAGGCAGTCAAAAGACCAAGGCAGAGAGAAAGGAACTGCCTTGGGACTTCAGAATCAGGTTACTTTGTTGTTGTTGTTGTTGAGATGGAGTCTCACTCTGTTGCCCAGGCTGGAGTGCAGTGATGCCATCTCAGCTCACTGCAACCTCCACCCCCAGGGATTCAAGCAAGTCTCCTGTCTCAGCCTCCTGAGTAGCTGGGACTATAGGTGCATGCCATCACGCCTGGCCAATTTTTGTATTTTTAGTAGAGATGGGGTTTCACCATGTTGGCCAGACTGGTCTCAAACTCCTGACCTCAGGTGATCTACCCGCCTCAGCCTCCCAAAGTGCTAGGATTACAGGCGTGAGCCACTGCACCTGACCAGAATCAGGTCACTTCTGAGTTCTGAATAGGCAAGGTGGACAAGACTTTCTTTGCTCCTCTGACAGGCTGAGATCTCTCTTCAGCCCGCCATGCAGAGCTCTGGGGACATGGGTGTTCTGGCCAGTCTGTAGCAGTCTACGTGCAAGGCATTACAGACAAGTTTCTTAAGGGAGGGGCCTGGATGCCAAAAGTTATCTCAGCTCCTTTAAAAATGCCCAGAAGTGCTGTGGGCTCTGCAAGTCTTGGCTAGACAATCGAAGTCTCCATCATTTGACCTTCAAACTACTTTGCCAGCCTCATGGTCCATTACACTCCTCTATGCCTCACGGCATTCCTTTCATACCCCCTGTGATTTCTCAGGGAATTTGATTAGCAACCTCTAAAATTCATATGGAAGAGTCAATGTGCAAGAATAGCCATAACTATTTTGAAAAAGAACAAAGAGAGGGTCTTGTCCTACCAGATGTCAAGACATATTGCAAAGCTTTATGAATTTAAATAACGTGGTACTGGCCCAGATACAAAGAGGTCAATGAAACAGAAACAGAATTCAGAAACAGACCCAAGTCTTTAAGGGAATTTGATATATGAAAAAGGTCTTATTTTTAATTAGTTGGGAAACGATTGACAATTCATTAAATGGTGCTGAGGGGAGAAAGTATAAAGTTATATCCCTACCTCACACCACATAAGATATATTACAGATGGGTTGCAACTTTTAAATACCCTCCATTCTAGTGCTTACACATCTTTAAATACGGATTTTCTGAAAGCATGTACTTCCATATCTCTCTGCCTTTGCTTATATTGTTCCCTCTGTCTGGAATATTATAAATTCTAACAATACTCCTCTTCTCTTCCAAACAACTTTACTTTGAAAGCTCAGGCTAAACTTCCACATTGAAGCCTTCCCTGGTTTCCCAATTGGATTGAAAACTCTTCAAAGATAGGAACTATATTATATTGCTTTATATCTATTCCAGAATCTAGAAATGTATCTTGCAAGCATAAAGATCTCCGTACCTATATACTGGTGGTGATGCTGATGATGATGGTTGTGGTAGTAGTAATGAAGAAGCTTAGCTGAATGTCCTGGGAAATGAAATGAATGATTCATAGTCTATAAACAAAATCGTCATCAAGCTCCCTAATTAGATCAAGACTCAGGAGCTCTAGTTCAGCTCCTTCTCTGACATCTATCTATTAATTCCTTATTTGGAATCCAGAACTTAAAATGATACTTGTCAACAAAGGCCATCCCAGGTCTTTAATGACTTATACTCAAGAAGGCTAAAATGCTACTAGTTGGAAATAAATAATAAAATCATAGGAATCAAATTAAGAAAAAACCCTCACCACTAATCAACTAATTAAGAGGCATTTATTGAGCTTTTTGTATATGCCAAGATCTGCAGAAAATACAAAGAGCTAAATTCAAAGTAGCAAGTTACACAGGATGTATAGCAATACATGCCAAATGCCAGTTCTGGGATAAAGAACTTGAGTTTTGAAATCAGAAATATGTGGGTCTAAATCCTGACTCTGCCACTGACTGTCTATGTGAACTTGAATGAATTCTTTTACTTCTCTAAGCTTATGTTTCCTCATCTATAAAATGGAGATAATATAGATATCTATTTTCAGGTTGTCATGGGAAAAGCAAAACTGATCTAAGGCGAGAAAAGAATGTCATCGTTCACTTAATCACTTGATATTGTACCAACTTCTAAGCTACAAAAAAATTAATCCAAAGGCAGCATGAAGGTTTTGCTTATTTTTCCCTTGGGAAACTCAGACACTTGTGCATGAGTAGTGAGCAAAGGACTCTAAAAGACCATTCTCAGCATAAGAGTTTTATGACAAAATCCCAAAGTTAAGGATTTGAGCTGAAGCTTGTGCCTTTCTATCACTAACGTTCCTTTCCTTGTAATGACTTGCAGTTGGGAACCAAATGACAAGAACCCTTCTTAATATCAGTGCTCATCATAGGGTGGCTGTCCCACTGCCTATCCTCCAGTTTTCTCATAACTTTATTAGAAAAAAGAAGAGAAAGCCCCAGAGCAAAAACAGGTCTATCTGGGGAGAGTCCTGGTGAACAGAGACCCAAGGAAATGTTAAGGGCCACTTCTTAACAGCACATACGGATTTGGAATCACGAAAGGCAACATTAAGATTGATTTCCCTGCAAAGTGCCTTTTTCGTAAATGCTATCTTTGGGTGTTTAAGTAAATAATCTTTATTTTCAGTAACTTTTCTGAGGGAATTGGACTTGAATGTTTTCAATGCTAAAGTTTCATTTATTGAAACCCCTGCTGGTCTCTGGTGGCACAACATTTTGGTCTCCTCTAAAGTTTGCCAACTTTAGATTTCCCAACTAAAAAATCCAGGCATCTTTTGGGAGGTGTGGCTGAGAGGACACATATAGAAAGCTGGGGTCAGCCCAAAGGGATTGTAGACATCTCACAAGGCAAGATCCAGACACTGAGGCCAAGTGCTCAGCCTTCCAAGCCCTGGACAGTACTTCATTACACACACACACACACACACACACACACACACACACACACACACACACACACACACACGGGAGGGGATTGCTTTATCATCAATTCCCAGAGTTACAGAATCAACAAGCCACTGAAGTTCAGAGAGGAGCGACTCTTTCCAAAGGCCAAAGAATGAAGGTCTTAAAGAGCTAGGATTACAATCCAAATCTCCTGGCTTATCAATTAAACTCTCTGACTCTGTCATGTAGGGAGCAAAAGCTATGCTGACTCACCTTTTCCCATGCATCTCCTGATTGGTGCCAGAGTGAGGATTTGGGGGAGTCATAAGACAGAGAAGGAAGGAGACTAAACAAGTTTTCCTATGGGATGCAGCTAGTCACTCTAAAAAGAGCAACTATTGATTGCTGATTCCTGTTGCATCACCCCCAGCAATACTTAAGGCTCAGGCTTATTAAATGTTCAACTTATTTAAGCCATGGAGACATCCTTCTCCTTCCTTTATACAGGAGCATGGCATCCAGATATCCAGATATAGAGACTTGAGAACAGATTCAATAAGTTTAATGATGGAAGAAGAAGTGGCTCCTGGCTCATAAGTTTTTGAATACTAGGTGTCCTGAGCTTGTTTGAAATCTAACTTGGTCTCTTCTAGTCAGTATATGGGAATGACGCAATGACTCACACTTGGATTTACTTTGGAAGACAGGGTACCCGGGCAGGGGCTGCTCCATGAGGTCATGCATAATTATGGAATAAACCAGGATATACTGAGATGCTTCTAAAGCCCCCTACCCATCTCTCCCACTCAAGTTAATTCACTCCCATAAAAGGCAGAGTTGGAAGAAGGGTACCAACAACTTCTGTCACCAAATTTAAAGGTTTTAGAAAAATGATGAAAATGGGGAATGTTGTCTCTGTTACACATTCTGAGTCCAGCCTCCTGGGAAGGCACCCCAAATTTTCATCTCTCCTCATCTTGTCTTTCCCCCTGTTATGGTTTGATGTGTGCCCTAAAGTTCATGTATCAGAAACGTAATCCCCTGTATTGGGAGATGGAACCTAATAAAAAGTGATTAGGTCATGAGGACTCTGCCTCTCATCATTTCATGGGTGGATGAGTTATTGTGAGTGTGGGTTTGTTACAAAAGCACTTCTCTCTGCTCTCTCATGCCCTCTTGCCTTCTGCCATGGGATGACACAGCAAGAAGGCTCTCACCAGATGCCAGTGCCATGCTCTTGTACTTCCCAGCATCCAAAACTATGAGCTAAGTAAATTTCTGTTGTTTTTAAATTGTCTAGTCTGTGATATTCTGTCATAGCAACATAAAATGAACTAAGACATCTCCCTTTGAATGGGCCTGACCTCTCTATCAAATGCCAAGCTGAAGATATTGACTTCTGTCTCCAAAATCCATCCAGTCACCTCCCATTTGCTAGTTTTGACCTCTGGGCATGCATTCTTGCTTTTTCTGGTTTTCCAACCCTCATTTAGTTCTGCATCTGATCTCTGGGTACTAATATCAGCACTCACCCACTCTTTGTTGATAATCATTGTGGATCTCTTTCCCTGGATCAAGCACCACTCTCTTCCATATAGTCCACCCTGATCTTCCCCCCGCCAAGCCCTTTGCACAATGGCTCAGAAAAGATGCATAGCTCTTCAGTTTGCCTCTGCACTAGGGAAGCAGAATAGGCCATCTTGTTGTTCAAGACCACCTTGCTTAAAGTGAACACTCTTGGCATCTTTTCTCTTTGGCTGCTACAGTTCAGTACTGAAGTTCTACTATGCTAGATACTAAGGATATAAAGATGAATAAGACAAAAATTCCTGCTTTTAGGAAGCTTACAGTCTGGTGGGAGAGAAAAAGGAGTAAACAAGTAAAATATATCGAATCAAGATTCAGTTTCAGGTGACAAGCTTAGGTAAAAAAGAAAAGAGAGGGTGTTAGGAGAGATGAAGTTATTAGTTCATTATATCATATAAAAGTTGAAAGTAAATTGTTTTTAGGCATGACAAGATCCAGGGCTTCTAATGTCCTGAGGACTGTGTCCCTCTTCTCTTTCCAGTCTCCTTTCCTCTGCCTTGGCTTTACTCTCAGGCAGACTCTTCCTCCATTACGTCTTTCACTCCCACCCAGGTGTTCCAGCCTTGCATTCCACCAGCTTAGGAACCTGCAGGAATACAGCTCTGTCCCAATAGCGCCAGCACAATTCTAGATAAGGCCTCCTATTGGCTTGGATCAAGTCACATGCCTATTCTTGATCCAATTACAGTGCCCAAGAGAATGCAGAGCTCTGACTGGCTAAGCCTAGGTCACATGCCCACTGAAATTCCATGGACTAAGCTTAGAGGAGGGATGGTTCCCCAAATTAAAATCAGGATCCTATGTCTAGAAAAAAATATGCTGCTGGGCGCAGTGGTTCACGCCTGTAATCCCAGCACTTTGGGAAGCTGAGGCGGGTGGATCACCTAAGGTCATGAGTTCGACACCACCCTGGCCAATATGATGAAACCCCTTCTCTACTAAAAATACAAAAAATTAGCCTGGCGTGGTGGTGGGTGCCGTAATCCCAGCTACTCAGGAGGCTGAGGCAGGAGAATTGCTTGAAACCGGGAGGCAGAGGTTGCAATGAGGTGAGATTGTGCTTTGCACTCCAGCCTGGGCAACAAGAGTGAAACTCTGTCTCAAAAAAAAGGAAAAAATATGCTGGGTGAACAAAAGCAACAAGACTTCACAGCCAAACCATAGCTTATCACCTGTATTCTCCAAGCTTTCCCAGGGCATCAGCTTGCTAACTTGACACCTAAAATGACTGAGTGTCACTGTGCACGAGTGCATTAATATGCTACCACTTACTCATCACCTATATATACCCCAGATCTTTGATAAAAGGCCCAATGTTATACCTTCTACTAGTGGCCAATGGTGAAAAGTCACAGCCCCCAAAGCAGAATGAGGGTGGGAGGTTTTTGAGAAAGAACAGCCTTTGAGATGTCTCTCAAAAACCATGCCCCATCAGCAGCTCTTCCTCTGATTCTCAAATAGGACCCTAGCTAAGGCCACACTCTACTTATCCTTAACATTATTTTAATTGCATCATTTAAAGGCAAACACAGCTGTTTGTACAATAAAGACTGAGGTTTTTCATCACAGGGTGTTTGTGTATTTGTGTGCCTGCCTGAGTCTTATTTCAAGCACAAACAGCCCAGCTTGGATTGTTAAAAGACATCCTTTACAGTTTACAAATATACCCCCTCTGTCTTCCACCTACCTCCACCCACCCTTGAGATTTTGAAAGCATTCTGCAAGGATTAAAGAACTGCCACCGCTCTTTCAAACACTCCCTAGAACAGAGTTAAACTCTGTGCTGTGTTTAAAGAAAACCTATAGGTTAGATAACTAAGCCATTCGGCTCACACCAATTGTCCCAATTGCCACAACATTGGCAATGTCCTGCCAAGGAATGACTCAACGTTGTCAAGAATTCAGGGGCAGCTAAAAAAATTAAGAGAGGTCTACCCGCCAACCAAGGATGATTCACCCAATCTGGAAAAGAACATACTGGCAATAAAAGTCAATGGGCTAAAGGCACAGTGTTTGTGAAGCCATACTCTCCCCACCACCACTGAATCTGAATACCTTGATACTTTCTACAACCAGGGTACCAGATGAGTCCTGAGACCACCATGAGTCTGTGCCTACACCTGGGCTCTCCTTTTGTGTGAGGATAATGTGAAAGAGCCACCTTCCTCAGGCAGCTTCATAGAATAGAAAACTCTCAGGTTTGGGGATCAGACAGATCTGGGTTGAAGTCTTGGCTCTACCACTTATTTAATCTGTGACTGTGGGCAAGCCTTAGTCTCCACATCTGTAAAATAGGAATGATATCAACCTTCCAGTTGGCTGTGATGACTTCATAATGTTGACTGTGTACTCACGTAGCATCAGACCCTGGGGGCATAGCAGGGGACCAGATACACAGTCCCCATCATCATACAGCTCTAATTATTTAAGTTGTATAACCGTGTATGCAAAGCAATCATCCCCCATGAAAATGATAGTTATCAGTTATGATGGAGACCTAGAGTTAAGGAATTCCAAAGCCTTACAGCTCTTCGGGCAGGGGGAATGACTGGAGGTGAGGAATCATAGGAGAAGGCCCAGAGGACCTGGGGAAGTAGGCAGAGCTGAAGTTCTCCCTCAGGTGAAAAAATTGTTTGTTGATAAACAATTAGTGAGTGCTGACCCTTAAGTAAGGAAAAGTCTTCATCAAGCCTTACTTGGGGTCATCGGAAGCTTCTCAACCTTAAAACCATTCTGAGTGGTAGATTTTTGTCCTCATTTCACTGATGAGGGAGCCCCGGCACAGAGAGGTTAAGTGCTTTGCTTAAGGTCACACAACTTGTAAGTGATGGAGCTGGAATCAGTACTTGAGTCTGTCTAATGCCAAATCCTATGCTATTAATCCTTGCACCATAGCACCTACTTCTATAGCTCCTGGAAAGGGATGTGAATTTCTCAAGCTCTAAAAAAGGGAGCCCTTTTCCTGAGGTCCACATAGCTGCTGGAGACACTGAGCCCAAAGATTACCCTGAACAAGAGCCACTCTTTATTCATTCAACAAATAGCTATCAGGTGCCAGGCACTGTTTGGCTTTGGGAATACAGCACTGACCAGGATAGACGAAAATCCTGCTAATGCTCTCATGGAATGCTACCTTAGTAGGAAAGAGAGACAATAAACACAATAAATAAAAACATATGGTAGGTTAGATAGTGATAAGAGCCGGGGCAAATATACACAGGGAAGGAGGCGTGTATATTTCGTTGGACAGAAAGCTATAGTTTTTTTTCTTTTTCTTTTTTTGAGATGGAGTCTTGTTCTATCGCCCACGCTGGAGTACAGTGACGCAATCTCAGCTCACTGCAACCTCCGCCTCCCAGGTTCAAGTGATTCTCGTGCCTCAGCCTCCTGAGTAGCTGGGATTACAGGCATGCATGACCACACCCAGCTAATTTTTTTGTATTTTTAGTAAAGACAGAATTTCACTATGTTGGCCAGGCTGGTCTCAAACTCCTGGACTCAAGTGATCTGCTTACCCTGACCTCCCAAAGTGCTGGGATTATAGGAGTGAGCCACCACTGACAGCCAGAAAGTTGTAATTTTATATGGAGTAGCCAGGGGAGACTTCGTGGAAAACGGGATAGTGGGAGTGAGTTATGTGGCTATCTAGAAGACCAGAGAAAGAGCCAGAGTCCATTGAAAAAGGGTAGAATCTGTCTGTGGCTTGGTTTCAGACATCCCAATGCAGACAGGGTTATGGTGGCCATAAGAATGTGCCTGGCAGACCTCCAACTGCAGGCAGCAGAACTGACCAAGACTCTCAGTGCTGGACTCTGAAATCCATCACCTAGTTTGCACTGAAGCCATACTTCCTAGGCTCTGCTCCTCGCTGAAGACTAAGCACAACAGGAATACAAAAGCAGGTCCCTTCCTTGGAGACATCGGACTCCTCTGACAGCCAACTTTGGCTTGAGGACTCTACAATGGCCTTGCTGAGCCTTCCTCAAACTGCAGAGCGGCCAAGCATTCCCCTACTGGACCTGTCTTCTTCCTCTTCTTCCTCTTCTTCACTTGAGGTTGGACTTGCATTGCTTCTTCCAGCCTTTTATAGTTCCCTCCCCATTTTCTCTCTCATAGGTATGTCCCCCTAGTAAAATCCATGCTTCTTTAATCCCATCTTGGCATCTACTTCTTGGGAGACCCAGGCAAAGACACAGTGGAGGCAAAAGAAAGAGAGAGAAGGAAGGAAGGAAGGAAGAAAGAAAGGAAGGAAGGAAGGAGAGAGAGAGAAAAAGAAGGAAGGAAGGAAGGAAAGAAAGAAAGAGGGAGGGAGGAAAGAATGAAGGAAGGAAAGAAAGAAAGAAAGAAAGAAAGAAAGAAAGAAAGAAAGAAAGAAAGAAAGAAAGAAAGAGGGAGGGAGGAAAGAAGGAAGGAAGGAAGGAAAGAAAGAAAGAAAGAGGGAGGGAGGAAGGAAGGAAAGAAAGAAAGAAGAAAGAAAGAAAGAGAAAGAAAGAAAAGAAAGCGAGAAAGAGAAAGAAAGAAAGAAAGAAATGAAAGAAAGAAGAAAAAGCGAGAGAAAGAAAAAAAATTAAGAGGCTGGGCTTTTAAAAAAATTTTTCCTCCTTTTAATTGCTGAATAATCATTTCACAAGGCTTATGTATGAGAGCCTGGGTTTCTAGTAGGCCCTGCTCACTGAGCTAATCTTGAGTTATCTCGGATGGAAGAATCCCTGCTCTACAAATGCATCCATTTCTAAGCTTTTGTACTTTGTTTTCCTGATTTGTTTTTGTAATTTACTAGTGGAGTTCCTTTTAAGTAAGCGACAACAACAACAAAAGCTCCAGTGTGTCTCCACTAACCCAAGGGGGTGAAGGCATTCATCCACATCCTGACACACAGTGGAGGCCTTGATGACGGCTGCAAGGGGGGATTGCGATCAGATGGTGGTGGTAGCAGCAGCCAGCCCGGTGGGAGGCTGAGGAAGCCATTAAAGCTGGAGGCCATCCAAGGTAAGGAGTGGGGAGGGAGGAGCTGGGTGGCTGGGAGTATCTATCCCATCCTCCAGACCAGGGTTTCAGTGGTGTTGAGATGGCTGGGCTAATGTGTAATTGGTATTTCTGGGAGGGAGGGGAGAAGGGCAGGGGACACAGAAACCCTTTGCAGGGCTTAGCAAGGTCTGTCCTAGGCTCATTGACTTCAGTTTCCCTATTGGTTTTGAAGTCAAGTAAGTCATTTCCGGCTGTTCTGCAAACATCAGCTCCAATCGATAGCATCGGAATCGTTTCTTTGCCCCATTTGTTTTCAACAGCCTGCCACTGGTGGTCCCCATGCTGACTTCCTCCAGCAGCAGCTGTGCTCTCGGGGCTCCCTGTTGGTGTATGGCAGAGATCCCCAGCCAAGCAGCAATCACAAGTTCAGACCTTTAATCTCTTGCTCAGAGGGATAAGGCCCCGGGTTCACCTCCCTGAGCAGATTATAGGCACTTACTGTGCAAGCAGCAGCCAGCCTTCCTTTCTCTGGTCTGTCCTTGCTCTTAAGAAAGCATTCCTAATTTACATTCCCATCAATGTATAAGGGCTCCCTTTTCTCCGCATTCTTGCCAACACTTATCTTTTGTCTTTTTTGTTTAGCAGGACCTTCTCTCACTCACAGACACTCCCAAGGACTGTGTAAATCCCAGCAGCTGCAGAGGAGGCTAACAACTAGGTTTCTGGGAGGAAGAGACCCAGCAAGAAGCAAGGGGCCATACTTCTTCCCCTCATGTGAGAGCTCAGGATTAGATCTGCTCTAGGATAAGCCCTGCCACGGCCAGACCTCCCAAATCAAAGCACACCACTAGACTGCCTGGTCCTGCCCTCACCCAAACAGTACCAACAGGCTCTGATTATCAGTTTATCCATTTACACATATTTATTCGGCAAATCTTTTTGAGCCCCTACTGCATACCCAGCACTATTCCCCACAGAGCACACACGGCCCTGCCCCCAGTGACTCCACAGAACGACAGAGGAGAGGACCATGTAGACCCCTGATTGCCACCGCTCTTTAACCAAACTGAAATGATCAAGTCCTGGAAAACAGCATGGTGGGTGTGGGACCTGGGGAGGAGAGTCATCGGCTTTGCCACTTATTCCGCTTTCTTTTGAGTGTTAACCAAGCCTTACTATACAAGACAATAGATTTGAGCCATGGTAGGGATTATTCTATATGGAGGACCACTGATATACACGCGCGCACACACGCTCGTGCGCGCGCACACACACACCAGCCAAGGAAGAAAGTAATAAAAATAGAAACTAAATATATTCAGTGAGGGATGTGGGTGGAGGCGGGTAATTATCCCACTAGAAGATAAGTTCCACATGGGCAGGGAATTTAGACTGCTCTGTTCACTGCTATATCCCCAACTCCTGGCACAATGACTGGCACATAGCAGATGCTCAATAAATACTTGTTGAATGAATGAGTATTGAATAAATTGACGAAGGGGGTGGGTAATTTTAAAATTCAGATCAGAGGCTATAGTGTATTATTCATTAAAAACAGAAAGTAATGGTGAATGTACTTCTATTTATGGCTAAGTAAGAGTGGGGAGGAGATGCAGGAAGGAAAGTCATCAAGACAGTGAGAAGGAGACACTAAAATGGGAGAGCAAAGTGCACCAGCAATGGGGAAAGGTCCATATTCCTTTCCTGCTTCTCTGATCCATCTGTGTTCTCTGTTCACTGCATATGCTCTGCTACCCAAATGCCTGACAAAATCTGCCCTCAAAACAACCCAGATTATGAATATTTTGAGTTTCTGGATCCCTTGCATGGTAAGACTGCCCAGCCTTGAAGACTGATGAGCGCAGTGGAAAGGACACAGATGGAGCATCACCCAGTGCTCATTCAGTCCTCAAAACAGCACTACAGGGTAAATATTATCATCTCCACTATACTTATGGGGAAAATTGAGGCTCTGAGGGTTAAGGAAGCTGTCCAAGGCCACAAAATCAATAAGCATCCAAATCCCTAGTTATTCCAGGCCTGACTTGAAACCAAGTTCTAGTTTTAGCTCTGCCACTACCCATGTGACCCTGGCCAAGCCATTTTACTTACTTGGGCCTCAGTTTTCCCATCTGTAAAATGGGAAACTCACAGAATACCCACCCAGTATAGCCCCACTTCCAGATCTATCTTTCAATCCAAGCAGGCTCCCATCAGTCCTCTTTCTGCTGCCTGGATACCCCACATCTCTCTGCAGCTTGGACCCCCAGCCAGCAAACAGTGAGCCCAGCAATCCCAACATGGCCTTTCCCAATCCCTGCTCACCCAATTCCTAGAACTACTGCCCCACCATGAGTTTCCTCTTCTCCACACCCCTTCTTCACTGAAACTACTTCCTCTCTCCATCTTTTAAAACCCAACCAACTAGGAGCCCCTTCTCCCTCTAGAAGCCTCGCACCTCAGTGAGTGAAATGCCTGGCGGAAGGTGGGCCTCCTCAAGTGCTGGAGCTTTCTTTTGTGCCACCGTTAGAGCTGTTGGCCAAATAAGCAGATGCTCAGTTGAACCTACCACTCCAAAGAGTGGGAGGCGGGCAGAAAGGGACAATCTTAGAAACACGACATCGGAGGGCTAACTATTTTCTTTCTTCTTCACTCCTTTTTCTTGTACCCTGTGTCCCAGGACCTGGAGTTTGGACTTTTCAGAAGTGCAGTGCAGCATCCATTTATGACAGACACTTCAACTGTGTGGCAGGATGGGGTAGAGGGCAAGTGAAAACAGAGATGGGGAAACGGCAGCAAGTGGCTGGTAGAGGCCGGCGACGATTGATTGCCAGCGTTGGGAGCTGTCCAGGGCACCAGCGCAAATGTGTTGGCAAAACCGCTCAGTGTCTTGGTACATCTTTTCCTCCTGGGATTTGGGTCATGTTCTGGGCTGGAAGACAAAATGCCTTCTCTTGACTCTTTTTTTATTTTTTTGAGACCGAGTCTTGCTCTGTCACCCAGGCTGGAGTGCAGTGGTGCGATCTTGGCTCACTGCAACCTCCGCCTCCCAGGTTCAAGTGATTCTCCTGGCTTAGCCTGCCAATTAGCTGGTATTACAGGCATACACCACCATGCTGGCTAATTTTTGTATTTTTAATAGAGACAGGTTTCACCACGTTGGCCAGGCTGGTCTCGAACTCCTGACCTCATGATTCGCCCACCTCGGCCTCCCAAAGTGCTGGGATTACAGGTGTGAGTTACCATGCCCAGCCCCTTCTCTCGACTCCTCTGAGGGAAAACTAGGAATGAAGGGGATCTGGGCCTTGGAAAAGCAGGTGAAGAGATCTCTAATCACCAGCTCTAGCAGCCTCATAGGCTGTATATCACCCCAAGCAGCTGAGACTCTTAGAGATGCTCAACCAGTAATAATAACGGTGATGCCTCGTATTGGTCAATACTCAGTGTTTACAAGGCCTTCACACCCAAAGGCTCATTTGATCTACACGATAATTCTGTAAGAAAGTAGCGTATGAATAGTCTCCGCTTTACAAATGAGGAAACAGGCCACATTTACCATTCAAACTAGCAATACATAAATTCTGCCTTGGCCCAGGAACCTCCCTTCCTAGCAAGACCCTGGCATAGATATGTGCAGAAATGTGGCAGGGCCAAGGAAATGGTGATTTCCTCTTAGAGAGGCAATGTGGTGCAGTGGTTAAGCATGTGGATTTACTGAACCAACTGGGTTTGAATCCTGACACCACTAGTACTCACTGTGTGACCTTGGGCAAGTCGTTTGCTTCCTCTTCTCATGCCTCAATTCTCTTCTCTCTTAGGAAGGGGTTTTAGTAGTATTTATTTGATAGGTTGTTTGGGAGAATTAGATGCATTTAATGCTGGCAAAACACTTGGCACCATGCTACATTACTACATAAATGTTAGCAATCACTGCCATGACTAGCTGGGGTTTGAACTTATATCCCAGTATGCTAGACTGTGCAGGAATACTCCTTCTCTGTACAAAAGGAAACCATCTGTTCTTCTTAACATCCAAACTCAGGTGTAAGAACATGATGTTCCTATGGGATGCAAGGCCACCCCACATCAAATGAAGGATGAGAGAGTAAGAGAGGGAGCTTGTCCCAATGCCTAGAGTGAAGCTGGTCTAAGCCTCCTCCCCAAGGCTCCTTAAGCGTGGGGAGTAATCCACGTGTGACTGCTTCGTGGAGAAATGAAGATGGGGAAGAGATAATGGCATCGTCTGCTGCTGGACCATTTCTTCATTATCCTCAGGGGTGAGTGAAGAAGTGAGGTGACCAGGATCAGACACTGTCATCTGACAAGGGACCCCTAACTGCCCTCAGCCTCTTCACCAATACTCCGCAGTGGCAAACAAGAGTCCTCGAATTAGCCTGTTCTGTTAATCATATGGCTGGGGGTTGGGTAGGGGGAAAAGAACTTGGTCTCTAACTCAGATCCTCCAGTTCTTGTCCTGACTGCCCATGTGCTAATTCTGCTCTGCACATAAACTCTGCTGGCCACTGTCCCAAGCATTGCTGAACCCTTTTCACTGTTGACAAAGTAAGGGTCATAATTCTAAATGAACTCACAGGCTTGTTTGGAATTACTCAGGAATGGCATGAAAGGCCTTTGCAAATGGGCGGAACTATTCAGAGGGAATGAATAGCTAGTCCAGGCTCATGTGCAGTGCTTTAGAAACAAGCAAACTGACAAGGTAGGACCTTGAATTCCTCCATGCTAGAGAAAGACTCAAGGGAAATGAACCCAGATATGGAATTGTCCCAGATGGTCACAGTATTGACTATTCATTCTGAGGGACTTCCCATACCCAGATTTAACAACAATGTTGGGAAACTATAGCTTTCCTATATTTTCATTATCCCAGGGCCATGTTTCCTGACCTTTTAGGGAAGACGGACCCCTTTGAAAATATAATTAAAGCTATCAATTCTCTCACCCGGAGAACATGTTGTGTGTGAATATTCACAACACTTTGCAAACAGTTTTGAAAGCATCACAGAGCTCCCTGAAGACTGTCCCTGGATCTCTGACTCAGGGCACATCTTTGGGCTTGGTGGGTATATAAAATAATGAGACTTTCCTACACTGTCTAAGCATCCTGTAAGTAATAATAATTTTGTATGTTTATTGAGTACTTCATACTTTGCAAAATGTTTTCCATCCCATATCCTCACAATTCTTATAGCCATTCTGTTCATGATGAAATGAGGCTCAGAGGAGTTAAGTGACTTTTGTCCAAAGTCACACAGTTAATAATGATGGCTACAGTTTATGACAACTACCTGCCAAGCATTTTAGATATGTTAAATCTAATTTCCTGGCAGTACCATGAGGTAGACATTATTACTTCCAGTCTGCAGGTGGGGAAACTAAGGCTTGGAAAAGCTAAGTAACTTCCCCAAGATCACACAGTCACAAGTGTCAGTCCTGGGATTTGAACCCAGGACTGCCTTAGTGCAAAGCCCATCCTGGCTTGGAATATAAAAAAAGGTATTTTTGTAATAACAGGCTGATCGGTTAACAAAGGAAAGGATTCTGTTTAAAAGGAGAATTTGGATAATGCCAGCATTTCTCCAGCACGGAGCAGGGGGAAATGTATATTTAGATGCATCTAACTGTCATAACAGCCTATCCAGATCCAAGTCTCCCAACCTGGCCAAACCACCCCAGGACGCATGCAGCTGGCCCCAGTAACAGCAAGGTCTTGGCATATCAGCCATATTTGCAATAAAAGTCCTGGTCCATCTCAGAGCATGCCCACTTTCACTCCTTGATTTTTCTAGCACTTACTTGGCACCTGCTCTCTTGGATTGTCTCCCACTTCGATCCCATGCCCACCTCTTGGACCTAAGACCAACAGAACTTTATTTCATTTGGAGCCCTGGCCTCTCTATCAAATGCTCTTTGGGCTCATCTCTGATCCTGCTCTTGCCCTCTCTGGGATCCCCTGTCCCTCTCCCAACACCTATTCAATTGATCTACATCCTCTAGCCAGATGTGCACTATCTCCCCTTGAGTTGGGGTCAGACAATAGTTCTCAGAGCAAATTAATATGTGGTATTCTGGTTTGACAACTGACCTCTTGTGAAGTTGGTTTGGTTGACATGAATCAGATATGAACTGATTGGACTCAGTTCAACTATAAATCTGTGTACCAGGTCTCCTCATGTAATCATTCCCATGCGTTTACTATTTCAGTCTGAATGCCAAGGAGATATGAGACATCCACATCCACTGTGGTCCTTCAGGCACGGGTGCATCCATTCACCCATTTACTGAGCATGTGCTGAGTATAAGGCCTTGAGCCATGCTGTGAGCACACAAAGGAAACTAATACTTTTTAGACTCCTACATTTATCCAAGCTCTGGACTGGGTACTTTTCATATATTCTTATTCAATTATTAAGATGCAGTCCTTGACTTAAGGATGGTATTTTAAAAAATATTTGATAATAAGAGAGATATAGAGCTGGCTTAAGAAAAAAAAGAAAAGATTTAAAGGTTCATGGGGGACATAAAAATGTACACAATAATCACAACACATGATAGGCTATTATAAGAAAACAATATGCATATTTGGGGAAGTAAAATGATACTTTCTAGGAGAGGTTTATGTACCAATCCTTCAACTTTAAATAAGTTTCTCCCTATTTTCATAGTGAATCCCCATCTTCTCAGTCATTTACACATTTATTTTTTTCTCCATCTCCCCGAGCCATGTAAGTATCTTGCCCATTGCATGTCAGCAGCATTCATTCAGGCAGAAGATCAAAGCAGTGATATGGACCCAATGTGTCTTGATTTCAGCATGGCATTTGACAAATGCTTTACCTGGTGCCCTTGAGGACATGATGGGGAAATGAGAATTGGGTCAGAGGACAGGAAGTGGAGTCACAGCTGGATGAGCACCACAGTCAAAGCATGTTGATTAGTTTTTTCTGTGTCAACCCAAAGGAGGTCTGTAGGGGCAAGCCATCGGGCTCTGTCCTTGGTGCTGACCTCATTGGCACTGTTACCTGTGACTCAGAAGACGACATACAAGGGGTTCTAATCAAGTCTGCAGCTGACACAAAGCTGGGAAGTATAGTTACCACCACAGATGACAGAATGGAAATAAGAAATGACCTCAACAGGAAGGAACATAGGGCTGAAACCAACATGATGGAATGAAACAAAGAGAAATGCGAAGTCTTACATTTAGGTTAAAAATTAATTGCACAAGTACCGGATGGAGTAGGCCTGGTTTGGCAGCAGTCCATGTGAAAATGACCTATTTGTTTGTTATTCTGTAAGTTGGCCACTAGCTCAGCTTGGTCCAACTGTTTTATGTGGTTGATACATGATACATAAAATGAACACAATCTTGGCCCACAATTAAGGGAAGCAAACGTCTCTGGTCTAGACTACAACATGGCCTCGGTGTGCTTAGAACTGGTTAGTCCTGTCTGGAACACCATGCTCAAACCTGGGCATTATAGGATAAGAAGGATATTGAGAAATTGGAGCATGTCCTGAGAACGGCAGCCAGATGGTGCAGGAGCTGAAAGCCATGCCTATAGAAAGTGTGAGGGAGCTAGGAAACTTGGGTCCAGGAGCACGCAATTCAGGGGAATATGAATGCTTCTGCAAACATGTGAAGGGTTGTTGTGTGGGAACTAGAGTAGATTTCCTCAGAGGATCCTCTAAACCAGCCATTCCCAACCATGTTTATTCACTGGAATCCATGTGACAGATAATGTTCACATACTCAACACATTCCCATGACAGACCCCTGATTTTAGACACCCCCTGCCACTGTATACTTGCAGGAAAGTAAAGAACTTACAGTAATGTGTCATTGTCACAACAAAGTCACATTCATTGTGGAGACTTGGTGGTCTCCAGCAGGGATCTGGTGGCTGAGAAAATGTCACAGCTTCTCTGCCTGCCACCCCATCTGGCATTCTAGGAAGGGCAGAGCCTGACTGGGGTGGGGATAAGTAAATCCACACTGCCCACATACAGCATTCTCTTGGTCTTTGGTGCTTTCATCTACTTCTTGCTGGCAAGTATGGCCTTTCCTCATGTTGAAATGTTAAAAGCCAATAATTGGCTAGACACTTTGGCATGGACGTCAGCAGAGCAGCCCTTTTAGCTGGCCTTGATTCTAGGCTGTCCTCATTGAAGTAAGAGTTCCCCAAGGGGTCCAGGACAGCTCCCCAGCACCCTGCACTGGGGGTTGGGGCCAGTGTCCCCAGAATTATAATGTGTTCCTTTGCCTCACCTTGGTCCCGTTTTATGTCCCTGGGGTCCTCTTAGGGGGAGATGGCAGCATTCCCTTATCAAAGTCCCTGGACAAGGTTTATATAAATCTCCCAGCCATCTCTAATTGTCATGGAACAATTAAGGTCTAACAAGACAGACAGATCTACCTACCTATCAAGGTCTTATTCTGTTTCATTTGTTTGTTTCCCAGCTGGGTTAAGCAAGTTACCTAACCTCTCTTCTCAGTTTCCTTCCTAGGAAAATGAAGCCAATATTGGTTCCCCCTCCAAGGATTAGCGGGAGAGTTACATGAAATAATATGCATAAACTTCTTAGCACATTGCTGGTTACAGAGTCAGCCTCAATATTAGTAAATTGCTGACCCATCCGTCCCTCCTTGATTGCTGACATCCCTGGGCAGAGATAAGGTGTGGATATGCACAGTGCTCATCATGACAGTAACACCACACCCTTCTCTTCTAATCAAGAAGGTGTCCCAGAAGGCAAGTGAGTAAAAGCAATACTACTAGAGGAATAATCCTGAGTCTGAGCAAGTTAATTTAAGAGGTAAATAATTTTAAAATTTAGCCACTTTATTTTTAGGAAAAAATACTGGCAGCACATGTCACAACTGATCACAGTATTGGGCACTGTGACACCAAGACTGAGAGCCCCTGCTTTTGTGTGTGTGTGTGTGTGTGTGTGAGAGAGAGAGAGAGAGAGAGAAACAGACTGAGAGAGGGAAAGATGCAAATTCCTAGGCTTTCACTCCAGGAAATTTTAATTCAGCAGGTCTTAGGGGGTACTAAGCTCCTTGCCCTTTTTTCTAGAATTTTGAAAAGCACAGTTCCAGAAAACAGAACTTAGAGTTATTTTTAGAATCTGAGCATTCTGTAAAGGGTGGCTCAATAAAAAAAAGAGTTTTCTAAAAAGTAGAACTGTCCAGCAGTGGGGCAGACAGGGCATTGAGCTCCCTGTCATTGGAGGTACTCACACAGAAATCTACCAGAGAACCGGGGCAGAGCAGATTGCGGCTATCCCGAGGAAAGCCAGTCCCAGGCTGAGAGCTTGCCTCCCTCTCCCACCGTGGGGGTCTCTGAGCAGCTGGTCGGGATGTCAGTTCTACTAGATGTGAGCCCTCATCCTGCCCAGGGTCAGAACTGAGAAGCAAAACTGTGTCTTGGACAAGATCTCTTTCCTTTCACTGCCTCTTCCAAGTTTGGGCAGCAGGAAGGTGAGTAAAGACTCAAGGTCAAAGACTTAGTCTTTGTGAAGCTGTTCCTAGACTGCCCTAGAGAAGGCTTGGAATATCATTCTGTCAGAGGTGTCTACACTTTAGGAAGAGAACCCCTGATATTGACAAAACCCCAAGAAGCCCCCCTTTAGGAGCTGGCAGTGACTTTACTCTCATATAACCTAGCACTTCAGTATCTACACATCCTCACTGCTTCCACAGTATAGTAGGTGGCTATGAGTGGGGGCTCTGGGCCATGTGGCCCAAAGAAAAGATAATGCAAGCCACCTGTCATTTTAAATTTTCTAGTAGCCATGCTAAAAATCAGACAAAGAAACAGGTGAAGTTAGTTTTAGTAATATATTTTATCTAACTCACTGCATATCCAAAATATTACCTATTTAACATGTAGTCAATATAAAAGTTATTACTGAGCTATTTTACATTCTCTCTTTCTTTTTGAAATAAGTCTTTGAAACTGGGTTTATAATTTACACTTAAAGCATATCCCAATTCAGCCACATTTCAAGGGCTCAATAACCATATCTGGGAAGGAGGCATATTATTGGACAATACAGTTCTGGACCCTAAACGACCCTAAAAATGTCCTACCTTTCCTACTTACTAGCCCATGGCCTCAGTCATGTTTTTTAACTTTTCTTTATCTGATTCTCCTCCTTCATAAATAGTAATGATAATAATAGTGTCTCCATCATAAAGTTGTTATGGGAGTTAAATGAGTTAATATGTATAAAGTATTTAAAATAGTGGCTGGCATATAGCAATTGTTCAGAAATTCAACCCCTCAGCTCTGTTATATACAAAGGGCAGGAGTTTTCATCTCTTTTTTTATGGATAAGATATGAACATTTATTAAGTACCTACAATGTATCAAGCTTGGAGCTAGAGATATGATCTCATTAAATTCCCCAATATCCCAAAGAGGGAAAGATTATTGCCATGTTTTAAGTGATGAGGCTCAGAGAGGTTATCTAACTCATCTGTGCAAGTCTGCACAGTAAGTGTGGCAGAGCAGGGATTCAAACCCAGGTCTCCCGACCCCCAAGCCATGTTCTTTTGCTGAACTATGTAGTCTGAGATGAAAGTGACCTAAGGTCTCACAGCAAATAGTGACAACTCCGGGCCTTAAGTCACTACCTGACTCTTCCAGTGCTCTTCCCCTCCACAAGCCACCTCCCTAAGGTGGAAGTATGACACCGTAACAGGACGAAGAGAACATTTTTGGTAGGCGGACCCTTCCAGGATGCCTTCAAATGACATCTCTTTTGGTGGCTTTCCTGGTCTGCCAATAAAAGTGGGTCTTAGCACCTGAGCTGAAGATAGAGAGAGTGGAAAGAATGGGGGTTATTTGGGTTTCCATCAAAAATAATTCAGAACATTAGGACCCAGTTCTCACCCAGATTCTGCACAGTTTCTATACCCTTGCGTGCTCAATGCTTTGAAAGAAGGAAATGGGTGCTCTGGCCAGAATGACTCTGCAAAAGGATGTGTCCAGGTGCCTATCCCTGGCTGCTCCTTGCCCCAGGACACCCCAGCTCCCAAGCCTGCAGGTGAAGGCAAGCAGAGAAAAGGACCCAAAGAAAAACAGAAGACCCAGGAACCAGGATCCAGTTACAGAAAGAAAAAGGGAGAAAGAGAGATAGTGAGAGCAATTGAGAACAGCTATGCAGCAAAAAGGGCTTTTAGTGATAATTAATAATTAACATTTCTAATGAAGTCCCGGCGACAGGAAGAGGCCAGCACAGGGCTCCGGGGCATGACTGGGGGTGACAGTGACCTCCATGAGGACCAGCAGCCTGAACCTCATTAACCTTCAGGAGCCCCCTACCCCCATGCAGCCAGTGAGCTGCCCACTGCTGAGATGGACATTTTTGTGGCAAATCCAGGAGAAGGGGTAGATGAGGGAGTAATTTCAGGGGGAGAGGCTGTGAGTAAGAGAGGGTTCTAGGGGATTCCTTTTCTGCACAGGCAGATCCAGCTCCTTTGAAAGCCTGGCTTTTCCTTGGTCATGCCAGGTACCTGGATTTCCTTTGGCCAGGCAAGCAGCCTGGAGAAGGCATGTTCCAAGACATAGAACATTCCTACGGAGCAGCAACATGCTAAGAGCTCAAGGAAGAGGGTAAGAGAGCAAAGGCAGGGAATGCCCGTGAAAGTGGGAGCTATCCCAAGCGGGGGCAGGTGCAGCCAAGCAGAGAGCCCTAGAGACTGGCTACACAGTTATGCTTGTAATGGTGGTGGGCAGAGTGGGTGGTGGTTGTTGTGGACTGAATGTTTGTGTCTCCCCCAAAATTTACATGTTGAAGCCCTAACCCCCAATGTGACTGGAGAGAAGCCCTTTACAGAAGGAGCTATAGTTAAATGAAGTCATAAGTCTGAGGCCCTGATCCACCTTATTAGAGGAGGGGACACCAGGGGTCCTTTTATCCTTTGTGAGCAAGAGGAAAGGCCATGTGAGGGCACAGCAAGAAGGCCACCATCTACAACCAGGAAGAGAGCCCCCACCAGGAACTGAATCAGCCAGAACCTTGATCTTGAGCTTCCCAGCCTCCAGAACTGTGGGAAAATAAATTTCTAATTTTAGGCCCTCCAGTCGATGGTATTTTTAATGGCAGCCTGAGCTGACTAATACAGTGTTAGTCAAAGTGATCATGGTAATTGAAAGGGTATTAACAGGCTCTGGGGTGACCAGCCATCCCAGTTTATCTGGAATGGAGGGTTTTCCTGGGATGCAAGGCTTTCAGTGCTAAAATCAGGACAGTTCCAGGCAGACTGGGATGGCCAGCTAGTAGTAGTAGTAATTGCAGCAGTGGAGGTGATCTAATAATTAGCCGACGCTTTATATTCTACATCTATTCTGTGTATGCGTTATTCACTTTTAAGCTACCTCATTCCCAAAGTGGGATGTTTTTGCCCTTAGACATATACAGTGCTTTACAGATACAAAGCATTTTCACAAACACATCTGCCCCACGACTTGAGCAAGTTCTTCTCTAGCCAAACTCAAGCCTGGCCGATTTTACTCTGAAGGCCAGTGTGGACTCAGCCAGCTGAAGGGAGTCCTCTCCTGCCAAGGCCCATGGCCCTCAGGAACCCTGGCTCCCTCACTGTGAGCCAAGTGGATGCCCAAAGCTCCACCCCTGGAGCTTCTGATTCCTGTGAGCTGGGGCGAGGCCTGGGCTTTGGCAGGGTTCAGAAACTTTCCAGGGGATTCTGAGAACGGACAGTGTGCAAAGTGCCCAACAATAGCTCTACCGGCTGCTGCTTAGGTCAATTTGCTGTAAGTTTTCATTTTGGTACAATGTTAATCTTACAGAAAACTTTCAAGAACTGTACAAAAGAACTCTTGTATTCCCTTTACACCAATCCACCAATGGTTCTCATCTTAACCATTTGCTTAATAATTTTCTTGTGTTTATTTTTATCTAAAAAAAAACATGAAGTAAGCTTTCCTAGTGGGTATGATACAGACTGATAGCAGGACATATATAATATATATTATATAACAAATGCATACATATATTGGGAGACATCCATATATTTGGTGCCCAGCGAATGCACATTGACAGAGATGTGCCACCATAACCTTTGGTGGCAAATTTCATGATCATTTGGAGATGGAGATAAAGGAGGATTGACTGGGACGAGGGACAGAAAAGAAGTTTTGGGGGTGATGAAAACATTCTATATCCCGATTGCGGTTGTGGTTACACAAATGCATACATTTACCAAAACTAATTTGTCTGAATGTACAATTACAATAGGTACATATTATTACATATGATTGCATATAATTTATAATTTGATAAAGTTGATTTTTTAAAAATGTAACTTTTTTTGAAGTGTAGTGGCTTGTTCTAAAGAATCCAGCAGAGGAAAACTGATGCCTGAGGAAGTATGGATTTTATGCCCTGAATTATCATACATTTGTATGGCATTTATTATATGTCAGGCTCTGTTCTAAGCATTTTGCAAGAACGAACTCATGTAATTCTCACAAGCCTATGGTGTAAAGGCATCACAGGCCCCACTTTAGAGATCAGGAAGAGAGGTTAGCTATTGGCCCAAGGTGGCACAGCCAGGAAGTAGAACAACATGACTCTAAACCCTAGCAGGGAGGCACCAGTGCCCCTGCTCTCAGGCACTATGCTAAGTTAGTTCTTTCCATGATAGCCAGAGACCAGGCTCTGCCTTACCGTGCACCACTGCCCCATGGCAGAAGAGCCCCCTGAACTCCAGGGACCAGCCAGTGGACAGAGGGAAGCTGACTGTCCTTGAGGCCTCGCTGTTGAGTACCCAGACCACCAGACTCTCCTCTGCTTCCTGCTTCCCTCCATCCTTGACTCACCAGCTCTGCCAGTCCATCTCTGGAGCTTTCCAACTGCCCAATTTTAGGAGGCATCCAGAGGTGCCATATAGCCTCGCACTGGAAACAGAGTTGGTTGTCTGAACCACTCTGTCTGTCCCTGAGAGATATTAACAGAAAATAAATATCAGCATGTGACATCCTGAAGTTCTGTGTTCCCGGGAGCCAGTACTGGTTTCCTCATATTCCATGTGCTTCCTGTAAGTCAGGGGTCTGTGGCGGGAGAGCACGGAACCAGATCTCAGGCATGGACTTTGCTACTGATTTGCTGTGAGATGTAGGGCTTCTCTTCCCTTCTCTGAGTCTCAGATTTCTCACCCCAAATAATGGGAGGTTAGCCCAGATGTGAGGTTCTTGGCCTGTGGATTGCTAGGAAGTCCACAAATAGGCTTCAAATGTTCTAGGAATCCCCAGCATTTGTATGCATAGTGTTTTGTGTATTTAGATAAAGGAGTCCATATCTCATTTGATTTTCAAAGGGATCACTTTCCCTCTAAAATTTCACATCACTTGCCTGCCAAAGTCTTTTCTAGTTCTAAAATTTGAAGACTTTATGTCTTAATCTAAGTCTTTGCATTGCATATCAGCCTGGAAGCTTCATTTACAGAGAATGGCAAAGGAGACCCAAGGCATCAGTGTTAGAGTCAGAGCTAGCACGTGGTGTCTCCTGACTTATTCATTTATTCAGCATATATCCATTGTAATAAGCATATTTCATTCGAATGATAACTTTTGACCATAGTCCCACATGTGCCAAGAGCCTCTACAATGACCCAGGGCCTAACACAGGACCTAGTGCATAGTAGGAACTCTATAAATATTTGATGAATAAAATAATAATTAGGGTGAGGGCCTTAGGCCTGTAATCCTACCATTTTGGGAGGCTGAGGTGGGCAGATCACTTGAGCCTGGGAGTTTGAGACCAGACTGGCCAACATGGTGAAGCTCCCTCTCTACAAAAAGTCCAAAAAAAAAAAAATAGCTGGGCATGGTGGTGCATGCCTGTAGTCCCAGCTACTCAGGAGGCTGAGATGGGAGGATCACCTGAGCCCAGGCAGGTCAAGGCTGCAGTGAGCTGTGATCACGCCACTGCACTCCAGCAAAGGTGACAGAGCAAGACCATGTCTCAAATAATAAAAATGATGAATTGGGAAGCCAACTAATTGTGGGAGTGGAAATAGAGGAGGAAAGGCAGAACCCCAAATCAGGAGATCCAACTTTTATTTTCATCTTGGCTACACACAAAGCCTCTTCTCCTCTGGCCTCTCTTTTTCCACCATAAACTGAGGGAACTGGACTAGCTAAACTCCAGGGCCTCTTCTAGATTTAAGATTCCGGGATGTCAAGACACCTCTGGCTGCTTAGATAGAGTGCTGAGAAAGAGCAGTCCCCAAGAGTTCCCCATGCCAGGGAGATCTCTCGCTAGTGTATTAGTTATCTATTGTTGCATAACAAATTAGCTTAAATTCAGCAGCTTAAAACAACACATATTTATTATCTCATACAATTTCTGAGGGTTGTGAATCTGAGAGTGGCTTAGCTGGGTAGTTCTGGCTCAGTCTCTCTCATGAAGTTGAAGTCAAGATGTCAGCCAGGGCTGCAGTTATCAGGCTAAACTGGGACTGGAGCCTAGGCCTCCAGGCTCACTCACATGACTGTTGGCTGTTGGCCTCAGCTCCTTACCACGTGGGCCTCTCCATAGTGATGCTCATGACATGGCAGCTACCTCCCCCGAGAGCAAGTGATCTGAGAGAGAAAGCTGCCAGGATGAAAGCTGCAACGACTTTTTATAACTTAACCCAGGAAGTGACATGCTATCACCTATTTTATTAGCTATACAAACCGACCCTGGTATAATGTAGGAGGGGCCTGTATAATGTGTGAATATCAGAAAGTGGGAATCTGGGGCAGCTGGCTACCACATCCAGGCTGAAGTCAAATCTCTTGAGGCTGTCATTTAGATAAGGCCACTATTCATACTTTTCCGTGGGCAGGGGTCCCAGTGGGAAGAACTTGTGCATGAGCCAGCCAGTATCATCAGTGAAATGTTCTGCCTGCTCCTTTTCAAAACAAGCCCAGGAATTCTATAGGGCTCCTTGCTGAAGCACCAATGCCTGGTGCAGCCCTGCAAAGAGCAAGGGCAAAGATATGCGGGGGCTCAGCAGGGACCACCTTAATAACCCGGCAAAACCTCAATTACCCAAAGCAACGTGAGCCAGGGCCCTCATTTAATCAGATTTCTTGATTTAACTATCCCACACTGATAAATAAATCTATACACTGTGGTTGATGATAGACAAATAGCAGGCAAATATGTTGCCGTTAAAGATTTTTAAAACCCCTTCAAGGGTCTCTATCTGTAAATTTGCATGTTCTCTGCAGCTAAAATAATTGCAAGATACTGCAAGAACCAGACGTATCAATGGCCTAACCATGGCCTTCATTTTTCTTGCTAAGGCAGGAAAGCAAAAGAAAACATTTTAGGAAGTTTTTTAAAATTTAAAAACATTTCTAACAAAGCAGCCTTTCTGCAGAACTTCCATCTAATTAGGAAATTAAATTAACCAGACCATTTCACTTCCTCAGTAAAAGCGATTGAATTTCTTGTGGCAACTCTGACCCCTTTCACCATTTCCCCGACATATCTGGCACTTCCCCACCCACACTGCCTTTCATCCACCCTCAGCCTGGAATTCCTGGTGAGCCCAGAGTTGGAATGAGAAGAAATGGATTCCACTCTCTATTCCATCACTGCACGTAGGGTGTTTGGGCTTTCTGAGCTCCCTTTCCTCACTCATAAAAGGAGGCATTTAAAGTACGTGATTCTTCAGTTCTCTTTACCCCTAACACTCTAAGTTGTGTGATCCCCACCATCATCACTTTCTGAAATCTGACTGCTTTTTCAGGATGCAGGTAAAGTGCTATATTCACTATGGAGCCTCCCTTATCTCTGTGGACAGAAGTAGTTTCTCTTCTCTCTGCAATCCCACAATTAAGTAAATAGAGGTAAACACATGATTTTATGGATTATGTAAAATATTTACTCACATTTTTGTCTCTCCTAGCAGACTCTATGCTCTTTGAGGACAGCTGCCTGACCCTTCTCATCTTGATATCCGTTAGCACTGCACCCAGCACATGGTAGGTGTTCACACCTGTGGTTTGGAGGGAGCCCAAAAACCAGGTTTGTGATTTTTGCAGCACACCGATGTATTGGCTGCCCTCAGCCAGCAGGGGGAGCACATTTGCTCCTTAAATGAAGCCGCCAGCTCTGAACTGTGACACCCTCTGAAGAGCTGATGAATGGATTTACCTCGGAGGGTGAGACGGGCCCAGAGGACTAGGGTGAGGGCAGGGGTGAGGACAGATCTGCTACTTCTGACTAAGAAGCCACCACTTATTTGGTAAACAATAACATCCCAGGAACAGAGAGCACCCTCATGAGAAATTCAGAGCACTTCCTATCTCTAAGGCCAGGAAAGTGCATGAAGTTATAATAGGGATACAGTCTTGATTAAACACTGTGTAACTTGGGGAATTAAGTCTATGATAAATTGGGAGATAGGGACCTGCAGCCTCATTTCTTTTAAGGATATTTAATTACAAAATTCTGTAACGAAATTACAGCCTTATTAAAATGGTTTCTCACTGAAGAGAGGGTCTCGAAAGGTGAGACGATGCCAATAGGAGAGGGGCTGTAGGGTTTTCCAAGCACTCTCCCTGTGCCACTGCATTCTGATCAGAGACTAGAAAGTGGGGATAAGGCACCTCCCTTTGAAAATCAGCCCGCTGGAGAGGTTGGTCTCTCTCTCTCTCTCTCTCTCTCTCTCTCTCTCTCTCTCTCTCTCTCCACCTTTCCCCATGAGACTGCCACCATGAAGCCTGGACTGCCAGGCAGCTAGGATCCTATTAGAGACAGCTGTCTGGTGGAGAAACTAGCTTCTCTTTAAAATGACAGACACTTGTTAGTGATAGACATCTTGTTAATCACTCACACCTTAGTATGAATTACACCAATCAGCTGTTAGGGTTTCCTCCACCAGAATAGGTTGGGGATTGTTTAATCTGAGAATGGTAAATTTGGTTGCAGATTAGAGGTCACAGTTTTGGAGCACGAGATACTCTGGGAGGGAGGCCAGAGTGATGAGCCTTTGTGGGAGGGCTTTGGGCGACCAGAAAGTGATATGATGGATATGGAGCAGAAGAGGGGGCACAAAGAGGCAGGTAGCTATGCTGAGACCCATACTGATTGCAACTGCCCCTGGGGTTTTTAGAGATCCTGCTGATCACCAGCCAGTGTATCAGACCATGTGCCCTGATTTTTAATTAAGAAAATACAGCCCCTTGGTTTACCTAGCAAGTTAACACCTTCTCCGCCATATAGAGGCAGAAGCATGTTGATCCTGGCGGTTCAGCCATTGGGATACTCGTTTCATCTGTCCGAGATTGAGACCCAATATCCTCAAGCAGAAAATAGGGAGAGTCATCTTACACTCCTCATAGGTGATATGCTTGTAAGTATCTTACTGTGCCCAGTGCAGAATGAGCCCTCGGAAAGGTCATTGATTGTTGCTGTTGCTGCTGCTGCTGCTGTTGCTGTTTTGCTGCTGTTATTGCCACTACTGTTGTTGCTATTGTTGTTGCTGCTGCTGTTGCTGCTGTTGCTGTTGTTGTTGCTGCTGTTGTTGCTGCTGTTGCTGCTGCTGTTGTTGTTGCTGCTGCTATTGCTGTTGTCGCTGCTATTGCTGCTGTTGTTGCTGCTATTGCTGCTGTTGTTGCTGCTGTCGCTGCTGCTGTTGTTGCTGCTGTCGCTGCTGCTGTTGACACTACTGTTGTTGCTGTTGCTGCTGTTTTGCTGCTGTTGTTGCCGCTACTGTTGCTGTTGTCGCTACCGTCGTTGCTACTGTTTTTGCTGTTGCTGCTGCTGCTGTTATTGCTATTGTTGTTGTTAGCGTACAGCACATGCATGGCCTTCAATGAATACTGTGTGGCATAATTACAGAATCATTCAGTGTCCTGTGGGGTCAGCCTACAACGCAAGTTCTACTGCTCATTACTTACATCAAGGGCAGCTTTCACCCCCGAGCTGCCTAACTGGGAGCCAGAAGATAGTGTTGAAATAAACCAGGAAATCCGACAACCCAGCTGACATCTCTCTTTCCCAGTCACTGTGTGGATCAAAGTCATGCTCCATAGAAGGTGAGTGCTACTTCTAGGAATCAGATATTCTGGAGCAGCAGGTACAGGTGGTTTTCAAGTGGCCAGATGCCTTGTGGCAAAGTAGAAAGTGTGCTGGCTTGAGTGTCATGGTCCAGCTATGTGACTTTAGACATGTCACTTAGCCTCCTATTTTTTTTTTCCTCATAGGCAAAATAGAGACTATGCTAGCAGGGCTGCTATGAAGAAGTGATGCCACTGTGCTCAGTTCAGTGCCTGACTGAGAGAAGGAACTCGATAAACTTTAGCCTCCTTTCCTCCAGACCTTCCTCCTGCTTCTACTCCCAAATAAAGGGCTAGAGCATCAGAACTGCAGGGAATGTGAAAGATCATCCAGCTCAGTTTTATCTTTCCAGATTAAGTAGGGACATACAGTGGGAAAGTGGCGGCCCAGATGAGAGGCCAGGTTGCCCAGTTCCTCACCCGGTGGTCACCCTGGCACCACTCTGCCACCACATCACAGTCATGGCACTGTCAGCTCAGAGCTAAATTCTCCTGGCATTATTTAACTGGGATTGTGGCTGTCTTCATTCTCTGAAATTACGTCAACTAAGCTTTAATGACCATTAGCTACTGTGGTTTTTCCTTTCTGAGGCCGCTCATGTCTTTGGCTAGGAACTCATCTCTGTAAGCATTTGTACTCTGCTCCTGTTTTCAGCAGATCTTAAATATTGTGCCTGGGTCTGAGCTTCTCCTTACAAGTGCAGGATTCTAAATTCAAATTCACGAGCCAGTGTCTGTTTTCTGGAGCACATCCAAGTGTGGGTGAGTGAGAACGGGCAGTTTATAATCCTGAGATGCTAATCTACCTTGCCAGGTTCTGAATGTGGTGGAGGAAGTAATAAACTTGGAAAACAGAATAGGTTCCAGGCCTGAATGACCAATTAAACCTCTTTTTAAATGGCCAAGAGCAATATCTATAAGATACAAGCTAATTACAAGAATTAACAACAACCACTACCAAAAAAACCCAGACTCTTCAGCTATATCAAATACCAAGGACCAGAAATGCAAGCCATCTTATATTTGTAATATCTATATTCCTAGCTCTGGCCTCCCTTCACCTCTGGTCCTGGATACAAAGAGGTGGGGTCCAAAGAAGAAGGAGGCAAGGATGATACCAACAATGGGAGGAATGAGAAGGCCCCTGAGTTGTTAGTAGATGGATAAAATACCAGTCATGGGACCTTTTCTCTCCTGTCGCCTTCCTTCTGATCGTTCATCCAGTACACATTTATGGAGCAACTACTAGGCAAGCAGTAGGGTAGGCACTGAGACTCAGCATGGAGCTGACCTTCCCAGTGGGGAATACAGAAAACAGACAAGCAAACAAACAAGATACTTTCAGAGAATGCTAAGCCCTCAGAAGGACATGCAGATAGGTAATGGGATAGTGAGGAACTGGGTTTGGGCAGGGACAACTTAGATGGATGGTTGGAATGGCATCTTTGAGGATGTGACCCATATGAGCTGAGATCTGTAGGACGAGTAACCAGCCACAGGCAAATCTGGGAGAACGTTCCAGACAGAGGGCACAGAAAGTGCAAAGAAGACCACTTGCTGTGCCTTCTGCCTGGAACATTCTCCTTGTGTGAGAGCCCAAAGAAGAGAGGGATGGTCGGAGTGGCTGCGGCTCAGTGAGCAGGACTGGGGGATGGGCCATGGCCTGATGGGGTAAGGCTGGGGAGGTAAGATAAGGAGTAGTTAAGTAGAAGCAGGACCTAGAGTCAGAGAAATCTGGATTTGAAGCCCAGCTTAAAGAGTTATAGACCGGGCACGGTGGCTCACACCTGGAATCCCAGCACTTTGGGAGGCCAAGACAGGCAGATCACTTGAGGTCAAGAGTTCAAGGCCAGCCTGGCCAGTGTGGTGAAACCCTGTCTCTACTAAAAACCAAAAATTTGCCAGATGTGGTGGTGCGTGCCTGTAATCCCAGCTACTTGGGAGGCTGAGGCACAAAAATCACTTAAACCTGGGAGGCAGAGGTTGCAGTGAGCCAAGATCTCGCCACTGCATTCCAGCTTGGGCAACAGAGAGAGATTCCATCTCAAAAAAATAAAAATAAAAATAAAAAAATAATTATTAACAGTGTGACCTTGAACTGGTTACTTTGCCTCTGAGCCTCAGCTTCCTCATCTTTGAAATGGAGCCAAAGAGAATAGGACCAACCTCACTTGGTTAATGCAAAGAATAAATGAGAGGGAGCCCTTTAAAGTACTTAGCAGAGCACCTGGCACACAGTCAGTGGCCATAAACTCCAACGTCTACTCTTCCAGACTCACCACTGACACCCAAGGCCACTGATCGCAGGCTGGGGTCAATTTCAGTCACCACCACCAAGAAAGCCACCAGGTGGCGGTCTTTCAAGCTTTTCTGGCTTAAGCGTGGTCAAGACTGTTTGAGCTTGTTTTCACCCAGTAGGAAAGTGCAAAAACAAATCCTCCAAAGACTAGGTGGGTATAGGGCCACTGGAAACATACAGGGAATATTTTCCGGCTTCAGCAACAAAATGTAGTGAAAAGAACACCAGCTAAGAGGCAGACCTGGGTTCCCGTGTCCACTTTGCCTGTAGATGAATTGAGCTTGGTAATAATGCATTTGAGCCTTGTGGTCTAGATTTCCCCATCAACCTACACCATGGTATTGCTGTGAGGCCCCGAGGAGGCACTACATGCAGAATGGCTGAAGAATACCTTTCTAGAGTGTGCTTGAGTGACAGTCCCAGCTTTGCCACTTACTTGCTGTTTACTTACCCTGAGCTTTTTCACCTATAAAATGGGCATAAGAACAGAATCACAGGCTTGTTAGGACGATGAAAACAGTTAAGCACTTGAACAGCTCTGAGCACCTGAACGTACAGTCTCAGTGTGTGCTGCCATTATCTGTAAAGTGCCATTAGGCAGATTGGCTGTGACCACAGGCTGCCCTGGCTTTGGTTGAGGTGGCTGCTGGGAAGCTGCAGAGAAAGAAGGTGAATGTTTGACTGAGGATGAAGATGAGACAACTACGAATAAGCAGAGAGGGGGGAGTTCCACTTGCAGATGGGGAGTGAAGGTGCACAGTAACCAAGGAAGTGTCTCCTGCCCCCACAGTGCCTTGGCAAGGAAGCTCACAGGATGTGGGAAGAAGGGGCATCACTTGGTAGCCACGTCTCCAGCCCATTTCTATTCCTTCTGTCTCTCTCACTCTCTCCCTCTCTCTTTCCACCCCCTCTCTTTTTGAGACAGGGTCTCACTCTGTTGCCCAGGCTGGAGTGCAGCGGCATGATCATGGCTCACCACAGCCTGGACCTCCTGGGCTCAAGCAATCCTCCCACCTCAACCTCCCAAGTAGCTGGGACCACAGGCATGCACCATCACCCTGGATAACTGTGTGTGTGTGTGTGTGTGTGTGTGTGTGTGTGTGTGTAGAGATGGGGGTCTTCCTATGTTGCCCAGGCTAGTCTCAAACTCCTGGGCTCAAGCAATCCTCCTACCTCTTCCTCTCAAAGCAAGTAAGTGGCAAAGCTGGGACTATCACTCAAGCATACTCTAGACAGGTATTCTCCAGCCATTCCACATGCAGTGCCTCATCTGGGCCTCACAGCAATACCGTGCTGGGATTACAGTCACGAGCCACCTTGCCCGGCCCTATTCCTTACCTCTTTCAGCACAATGTGGGCGCCAATTTCCTGCTGTATGGTAAGCTCCTTGAAGGCAGAGGTTGTATTTATCTTTGTTTTCCCACCAGCCTAACACAGAGCCCACACCTAACAAGCCCTGGACAAATGCTTGTTGGTGAGCAATCCATTCTGGGCTACCCAGTGCACTGATCACATCTCAGATAACCTAGGGCTCTGCACTGAGCTGTGACTCCACCAGCTCAGCCACGGGATTGGATGCTCTGCCTGTGACCTGAGGATGTTAGTTACTCTGTGCCAATGCCCTTACCTATAAACGTGTGCAGACCGTGTCCTAATCACAGGCAGGAGAAAAGGCACAGGCACCAGCTGGCTTTCCTGGGTTTCCCATTTTCCTGTGACCTGCCCCTCCTGCCTGGAAATCTCTCAGGAGGATGGCACATGGTGGTGAGTGCTGTGTAATTGCTTAATGGCAGGAATGGGTGTAGGAGGAATTGCAGAGATATGGGAAGGGCAGCAGGCATGACAGAAAGGCACAGCTTGCCAAGAAAGACACCGCATACCTAGCTCTGCTTTGCCCCATGAGAACTTTGGGAGGTGGTGGGAGTCACCGCGTCTTTCTATTTCCTCTTCTCCACAATACGGGAAATACAAATACCCACTTCTTTGTCAAAAAGGGCACAGTGCCTGGCACACAGAAAGTGCTTAAATGCTTGTTGAATATATCAATAAGATGTTGTGTGAAACAATGCTTTGTAAATACTAAAGCAGCACTGTTAAAACTTTTTACTAAAGTACTCTAAGCGCAAAAGAAAAGGTTACACGTATCCCCACAAGGTTGGGGGAGGCTGAAAATCTCACCCAACAGGAAGCCTGGAAGATCTTTTCAAGGCTCACACTTTGTTTAAAATATGCTCACACAGTTTTGCATTCAGCTCCATGATATATGCAGATTTATTCAAATCATAATTAGATATTTTTATTTCTTTTCGTTTTTTTTTTTTTGTTTTTTTTTTGAGTCGGAATCTTACTCTGTCACCCAGGCTGGAGTGCAGTGGCACAATCTCGGCTCACTGTAACCTCCGCTTCCTGGGTTCAAGCAATTCTCCTGCCTCGGCCTCCCAAACAGCTGGGACTACAGGCATGCACCGCCGTGCCCGGCTACTTTTTTGTATTTTTAGTAGAGATGGGGTTTCACCATGTTGGCCAGGCTAGTCTTGAACTCCTGACCTCAGGTGATCCGCCCACCTTGACCTCCCAAAGTGCTGGGATTACAGGTGTGAGCAACCACGGCTGGCCAGATATTTTTATTTCTTACCAGTTAAATTACCTACCACTCTTCCTCTTTCTCCCCACCCCGGCAAAGGGGGTCGTCTAGTAAAAGAGGATCTTCCAGGAAGCAGGAAGATGTGGCACTTCTCTCTGGGGTATTTTGTGTTCCCAGAATACTTCCAGCATTCTTGTTTAACAAGCATTGTGAAAGACTTCTCTTCAGATTTAGTTATTTGTGTTTAATATTTTACACTTGATCTCAGCCAAAAGACCAAGAAGCGATGTCTGTTTAATATTTTGATGGCCAGCCTCCGTACCTTGCTTTACTCAGAGAAAAATAATTGGCTTTTGTCCATTTGGTCCAATCAATGCGAGGGTCCAGAATGCACCCCTTCCCACCCCTTCCTTCCACGCTGCGGCGCCCACAGCCCCGCCGGCAGCGGTTGCACACGTCCGAGAACAAACAGCCTGCCGGGCTCTCCACCAGGAACCGGGAACTCGACAGCCTGTTGCGACTCCTCGTGCTGTCTGCCCCTCTGACCTCTGGCCTCCCTGGGGCCTGCTCTCTCCTCCCAGCCCCGCCCCGCCTTGCCTTTGAGTTCCCACCTGCCTCCCGCGGTAGAGGTGTCAGGTCAGGTCTGCTGCATCCTGAGCCCTCCTCCTGCTGCCTGTGCCCTCACCTGCACACACAGCCTTCAGCCCCGCATCCTGCTGGAAAGCAAATAGCGCTCCAGCTCTTAGAGACCTCCAGGGGAGCAGTTTCTACAACCTCTGCAGGAATCTCGTTCTAACATCTCTCAACTCTCACACAGAAAAAGGCCTTCTTTTCATGAAATCTCAATTCCTTTCTGTTGCAATGAGCATGGAGTTGCTTTTATTCTCTGCTAGTTTGAGCTATACTTAAACAAGCCTAATTCCTCATGATATTCTCCCTGCCTCACCAAAGGATGGAATATTGGCTTCACTTCTGCTCAGCCCTCATCTATGGTGCGTACAGGCCTGAGTCTAGGCTGGGATCCTGCCTCTGGGGTGTGAACAGAGCAACACTGAAGCAGCGAGGACCCTTTACCATGGAGGCAGGGCTGAGCCAAGGGTAGCCCTGAGCTCTTTTGGGTGCCTGGAAGTAAATAACTGACACTGACTAAGGGCCTCTTGTGGGCCAGACCTTGAAGAGGTTTATGGGAAATATAAAACCAGGTCTCTACCTTCAATAATAGCATCATAAAAGAATCACTTACTGACTCAACTCTGTGGACAGTGGAGAATGCACTGATTTTGGCCCAAGAGACTTACATTTGCATCCCAGCTGTGTCTTTGTTTGTTTGTTTGTTTGTTTGTAGATGGAGTCTCTCTCTGTTGACCCAGCTGGAGTGCAACGATGCGATCTCAGCTCACTGCAATCTCCACCTCCTGGGTTCAAGCAATTCTCCTGCCTCAGCCTCCCAAGTAGCTGGGATTACGGCACCCGCCACCATGCCCAGCTAATTTTTGTATTTGTAGTAGAGACGGGGTTTTGCCATGTTGGCTAGGCTGGTCTCAAACTCCTGACCTCAGGTAATCCACTGGCCTTGGCCTCCAAAAGTGCTGGAATTACAGGCGTGAGCCACCGCGCCCGGCTCCAGCTCTGCCTTTTATTAGCTGTGCTATTTTGGGCAAGACACTACACCTCTCTGAGCCTTCATTTATGTGTCTATCTCACAGGTGTTAATGAGGATTTTTTTTTATTCTATAAAGTGCTACACAATTAAAGGATTATCATAGATTGGGTGGGAAGAATATGAAGGCGGGGCTCTACATGTCTGCAATAGGAGAAATGCACATGTGATGTGCTAAAGGGCTTGGAGGAAGAGAAAAGGATGAAAATGAGTGGCATTTCACAGGAATGACAGGCAGAAGGAGGTGACAGTTGGGCACAGAGACAGGGGAAAAAGAAGGGAAGAAGGATGATAGCTATCATTTATGGAATGCTCACTATGTGCCAGGCGTTCGGCTAAGGGCTTTGCGTACATTATCTCACGTATTCCTTATGAAATCCCCGTCATGAGGTTTTATTATCCTCATTTTACCCTTGCATATGGTAGGTCATAACATACCTCCATACCCTCAAGCTGAACCCATGAGATATACATCCTATCTATAATGGAATTTGGTGCCAAGATGAGGATACAGCTTTATAAAAAATCAGAGAAGAACCAAGCAAGAGATGCAGAGATAGGTGGTCAGGGCAGAGGGTTTTCCACAAACCCTGGTTAATGACATCAGAAGAGTAATCAGAAATGATTGCCCTTACAAACTTCAAACATGGATTCCTTTTTCCAGATGCCATCGGTTTTTGTCCACCTTGTTAGCCCTCCACTTCTATCTACTTCCTGGATGGCCCATTTCCTTACTCTTCTCTTTCTCTTATGTCCCCTTTCTCTCTTCTTTACCCTTCTCTTTCTCTTATGTCCCCTTTCTCTCTCTCTCTTTCTCCCCGCCCCCCTCCTCCACCCCTCCTCACACATGCACACACACACAGGCTCAATTACCTTTTCCATCTTCTTTTGTGTCAATGTCTGACTCTATGGATGACAAGCTCTCCATGCTCGGTTTAGACACTGAAAACAGGCTATAGCTACAGACACTCTTCCCACCCGACTTTGCTCCCTCTCCCGACATCCTCCCTTCCCTTTCTCTCTTCTCTTGATTCTTCCCCTCCTTTTATTTACTCCTTCCTGTTCCCCTTCCTCTTCTGTTCACTTTTCACCCATTTATCTCTCTTCCCTTAGGATGGAAACTGACGAGGGCATCCCTAGCTCAGGAGCTCCCTGGCATTTGCTGCTAGTAAATGTATGCTACCACCACCCAACTGCTGACAGGGTTTTTCTTTTCTTTTCTTTTTTAAACCATGACCATGAGCTCATGTCTGTCAGAAACCTGGCTGGGTTGGCAGCTGGATATGCCAGACCAGGAAGGGCTGGAACCCAAAACAGGACCTGTCCACCAAGGCAGGGCCAGGGTCTGGGGAGGTCCTGGGAGCTGGAGGCAGAAGTGAGGCCAGGTTGGGGGCATGTTAAAGGAAGCTGGCATGAGGCAGTTGGCAGAGGTTCAAGAGGGCAGTTGATGCCTGGAATGTGGGGCAGCAGGTGTTAAAGACTCAGTCACAGGGAAGAAAGGAAAGCATCCAGAGCCCAGAATCCTAGGCCCTGAGGTCCTGGGTCATGGGGTAGGGCAGCAGGAGGTGAGAATGGATGGAGACCCAGTGACTGGAGCTGGGGGTACCAGCAGGAGCTCTCTCAGAAGAAAAAGGTAACAGTGGGGTCCTAGGACCTGAGAAGAAAGGTAGAGCAGGACCAAGGTCAGCAACAATGATAAAGATCCAAGATGAAGCTTCCCTGCTGTTGACTTGGACTCCAGGGAGCCTGTTTATCATGAAGACTGCTGGCTGAGCATCTCAAGCAGGAGTAGAGAGCTGTGTGGTCAGCGGCCCACCATGGCTTTCCTTTTCCCATCTCCCTCCCTGCATCACATTCTTAACCAGCCCCTCAGATTGCAGAGCCACCCCCACGACAGTGTGGGAAAACCCCGTAGCTCACTGGACACATAGGCAGGTAAGTTCCTGGAACCCAAGCCATTTTGGCACAGGTTAACATGATAAGCAGACACCTGCTTGCATCGTTACCTCCAGGCTTCCCCCTGCCCCACAGCCTCGAAAGTTTCTAACCAGACTTCCCCAGGATTCCATCATGTCCTCCTTCTTCCAGCATCCCTTTCCTGGGGCTGCTCTGCCTGCAGAGTTTCCCTGCAGCATGCGCTCACAGCTCAAGGTCTTCTGAACAAACTCTCTGGCCATCTGGAAGACTCCTTTCTGCATCTGTGATGGCTCTGGCTCTGGCCCTGACTGAACCATCCCCCAGGGTTTGTGGCTTCTCTAAAAGAGTTCCTGTCCAACTTTACCCCTAACCTACCTCCCCTTGAAAGTCCATCCTATGCATCTGCCTCTTACAAGCCACAAGTGCATCTGAAACCCAACGGCCATGTGATAAATGTGTACTCCTTGGGAAAAAGGGACGACCCCTCCATACGACTTGGTTTGAGAAGGGGTTATTTCCTCATACCCCCTTTAGCTCCTCATTTCTTTCACAGTTTGTGGTTTCCCATTTTCAACTATTGCTGTTTTTCCACCCCCTTACAAAAAGATTCATTTCTTTTGAGACAACCAAGCCTAAAATACACAATCCCTTATCTACAATTCCAAATCCCCAAATCTCTGAAAGTCAAAAGGATTTTTGTTTTGCAAGTTTGATGCCAAGACTCATCTGGTAGCAAAATCTGACCTAAACTGATGTGAAGTTACTTTATCCTCACACCTGCTTAGTGTAAACTTCATATATTTCATTGCAGAAATATTAATGTGTCTGATTTCAATATGCTGCTCAAAGCTTCACTGAGAATGTTTATGTATGGTGCCTTTCTGAATTCTAAAATGCCTCTGGCCTCAAGGGCTTCAGATAAGGGTGTGAGGAACTGTACCAGCCTCTCTGTTCTCCTGTGACAGAACTCTTGGGACAGAAGCATCTCTAAGATCTGGTGTCTTGACTTCTCACCCGGAGAGAGAGAAGATAGCCAAGTAATCTTCTAATGTAGAGAGAGAATTAACAAAGTCATTTGTCAATGAAAGGACATGGGGTCTGGAGGTTGTCTTCAGTGTTTCCTACAGTTTTTGTCCTGTCCTTAACTTGTTGCATGACTGTTAGCAACTTGCGTAAAGTCCAACCTCTCTGATCCTGGACTTTAGAAGAAAACTAGCTCCTGAGAACTCCTGCTCCAGTGATGTTGATGATGACTAACACACACAATACATCTTGAGTTTTTAGAAAATGAAGTACTGTACAGCTTTAATAGTATTTTTAAGTAAATAGGTTTAATTGGAATAACTCAGCAAATATCTAATGTGTGTTCACTCTGTGCCCAGTTTCATGCTGGGTTCTGTGAGGTAGTCAACTGCAAGGTACAAACTCTGGACTTCAAGGGGCTCATATTCTGATAGGGAGGCCAAGTATCACTGAGTGAAAAAAAGCTAATGTGCATCACAGGTGATAAGATGGTGTAGACCTGCAGGAGAGCTGAAAACTGCTGGCCAGGGCAGTTTTGGAAGGTGGCGCAGGAAGGAAGACTTGGTTTGGGTATGAACAGATGAGAAAACAATTTAAGCACGTTCCCCAGGTAAGAATGAAGAAGTCTGTGGGGGAACACTCTGAAGAAAAAACAACTTCACTGGGGTCAAAGGACTGGAGCCTGAACAAGATGCATGGGGTAAGGGTGTGCTGAAAATGTGTGTATTAGTCAGCTCAGACTGCCATAGCCAATACCACAGACGTGGAGCTTAACCACAGAAGTTAATGTTCTCACAGTTCTGGAGCCTGGAAGTCCCAGATCAAGGTGCTGGCAGGTCTGGTTTCTGCAGAGGCCCTGCTCCTGGCTTGCAGATGGCCTCCTCCTGTTACTCAGGCAGGCTTTCTCCTGAGGATGCACAGAGAGAAATGGGAGATCTCTGGTATCTCTCTCTCTTCTTACGAGGACACTAGTCCTATTGAATTAGGGTCCACCCTTATGATCTCATTTTGCCTTAATTGCCCCTTTAAAGGCCTTATCTCCAAATGCAGTCACACTAAGGGTTAGGGCTTCACTATGTGAATTTGGTCCGGAGAGGCACAATTCAGTCTATAACCGTGTGCATGTGCCTCAAGAAAGCTGTGTTTGGGCAATGTGGGAGGACAAGAGGTCTCTCACGGGATTGGGGGTGGGGAAGGGCTGGAGCTCTGAGCAGACACTGACATGAACTGAGCAAATGGACATCGAGGACATCAGAGAAATGAGAAATTTTCCAACCAGGACTGCCTGGCCCACTGGGCTAAACCCTCACAAGTTCAAGTGCTGAAGCCAGATTGTATTCCCTGGAGCACTTCCTGGCTGGAACATCTCCATCATTTCCTGCATTTTTCTGTCCTTCCCTAGCACCTTTGGTCTGTTGTAACCTTACCTGGCTAGCTGCAGGAAAGTGTGAGATTATTACAGAGTTATTTTGCACAGAGCACCTATTCACATCTGGTTGGCTAATGCTGATAATTACCGTGCTGGTTACTAAATCTGTCGGGTCTGGGTGAGGTGAGGCGCTACAGCTGGGGCTGCTGTGCACAGCTTCACCGGAGAAGAGAGAGGTGAGAACAAAAACCAAGAAAGGTGTGCTCAGATGTTTGGGATTGAGTGAAACTGGTTAATTACCAGTCACTTGCTGTCTCCCTGAGTTGGAGTTTCTGGCTAAGGAATGCTCATAGATCAGACATAATATGACAACCTGCAACTTATTTCCACATTAAGAGGGTGGCGGGGACCAAGATGCAGAGAAAGTGTGGAGACAGTCTCTCAGGTGCCAGAGCCTTGGCCAGATGACTCAGATGCCCTCAGAACAAGGTGGTGGCATGTTCCAGCAGGGTGCAGAGCCAACTGGACTCCTTATGCAGAGAGCTGGGGATCAGATATGGCCTTGGGGGCAGAGTCTATTTGCCGATAGATGAAGGTTCTTAATCAGGGCCCTAGATTAAGTTTTAATGATCCACGAACCCTCCTAAAGTTGCATGTCAACATGTGTGTATGTGAGTGAGCATTTTTATAAGCAACAGATCCATAACATTTATGAGATTCTTGAAAGGTTCTAAAGGGTCTGTGATCCCCAAAAGGAGGGTGATTATAAACTACTGTCCTAGACCCCTGAAGAAACAGGTTGACATTGGACCGAGCCCCAAGAGACTCAGGGTTCCTAATGATCCTGAAAGTATACTCAAGGTGTGTGTGTGTGTGTGTGTGTGTGTGTGTGTGTGTGTGTGTGTAAATGTGTGTGTTTGTATATTTTTCTAGAAAAATGATTCAGTAATTTTTGCCAGATTTTCAAAGGGGCCCACAACCTTACAGGCTTGATGGGGGCTCAAAAAGCCAGAAAGTTTGTCTGTGCCTAGCTATTTCTTTTCAGAGGAAGATCACAGAGACCTGAAAACAGAGCCCAGACTAGGTCCTGGTAGTTCTGCTCAAAATCTGTGGATAACAGGGGCCAGAGGCTGGATGTGTGGCCCTCTATAAAAGAACACATTCAAATCATTCTAAGAGTCAAGGGCCCAGAAGCCAGACTAGTGGGTGATGGTCACAAAAGCGTCAACGGATGGGAAAACAGTCCTAGCTCCTTCCCTCTCCGATGGTGGATTCCCAAGTCTTTCTCTTCTGTGGCCCCTTTACCTGGCTTTCAGAAACCCAAAGACCTCACTCATGGAAGCTCAGAATTCATTCAATAAACACTGAGCGCCTACTATGTGCCAGGCTCTATTCTAGGCGTAAAATAAAGGATTTGCCTTCAGAGTGTGACCCACCAAGGCCAGTTTCCTGCCTGAACAGGGGTATTTTGAGCATTGCTGATCAAGTGTGTTTTTCTGGCGCTTAGCACCCCCATTCCCCTGGTCCAGAGAGGCAGAAACCATCCCCCCACCACCACCAAGGCAGCGGGTTGGGGGCGAGGAGAGGCGGGCAGTACCTGTGATCAAAGCGGTGAGGGAGGCTAGTAGGACGCAGGCGGCAGGAGCGGGTGGGCCAGGCCCGACTCGGCCACTGCTGGGGTAGGGACTAGGTGGGATGGGGTGGGGGCACTGCTGGTGGGGACGGGGTGGGGTAGAAGCGGCGCTGCCCGCAGCCGCCTGGGCCTCTGCGCGCCTGATCTCCGAGCTGCGCTCGCCCGCTCCCCGCCTGCGGGGGCCGTCGCGGAGCCCTGCTCTCCATACTGAGCAGTCCCCGGGAGGTGCTCGGACACGTCCCCAGGCTGGATAAAGATCGGCTCGGCTCTAGCTCCGTAGTCGAAATCTCGCCATCAGCGCGGCTCGCTCGGCCGCTTTGGCCCGGCCCGGCGACGCCAGATCGCTATCCTGGGGGGAAATGGGAAGGCAGTGCAGCCGCTCCCGCCTCCACCCTCGGTCCTGCGCGCAGGGGTGGCCGCGGGGTCCTGGGGCTCGCCGCCCTCCCCTCCCCCTTCGCGTTCCTTCCCTGCGCTGCCTCCCGAGGGACCCTCGCTTCCCTCCGGCCTGGGGCCCCCAGCGCCCAGCCAGGCGCCCTCTCCCCTCCTCGCCAGGCCTCGCTGCCGCCTGAAGGTTACGCGACGCAGTGGCGGGGCGCGGGGGGCGCCCGCCCTCGCCGCCGCCTTCGCCGCCGCCCACCCCAGTGGCCGCCGCGCCGCGCCGGGCCAGCCTGGCTGCCGGCTGCTGCCACCGCAATCCCGGCTCCTAAATCAGCGCGGGGAGGCGCTCCCTCCCCACGCCCGGCTCTCCGGGCTCTCGGGGCCGCGATTGGCCGCGCCGGCGCCCCCCACCCCGGGCCCCCGGCTCCAGCTGCCGCGCCATTGGCTGCGGGCCTCCGCCAGCCTTTACATAAGACCGGGCGCGCTCGAGTGGAGTTGTATAAAGCGAGCGCGCGGCGTCGGGGCGGGAGGCTCGAGGCCAGCCCGGGACCGGGGCTGGGAGCAAGCAGGCGGCGGCGCCGGCGGCAGAGGCGGCAGCGAGCGCCCGCTTCCCACGCCCCTAGGCGGCGGGGCCGAGAGCGGGAGGATGGCTCCGAGCGCTGACCCCGGCGTGAGTATCTGCACCGGTGCCCCCCACCCTAAGGCGGAGAAAGTTTCTCCAGCTCTGCGCGCCCCCCCGGATCCGCCCGCAAGGGTGGCGGGGACGCCGCCCGGGAACCCGGGAAGACTGGGATCGCGAAGGCGGCGGCTTCGCTCCTAACTTGCTGGGAGGCGCTGGACTCGATTGGCGCGCGGAGCCTCCCCCGCGGGCTGGGGGTGAGGCGGCGGCCGGGTTGGAGGTGGCGGAGAGGTGGGAGCTGATGTGTGGGGGCGACAGCCAGCAGCTGGCAGAGAAAGTGTTGGGGGCGCACTGGAGGTCAGCTGTCAGGGGAGGGGGCCTCTGGGGCCTGGAGGGGGCGGAGCGGGTGAGGAGGGATGTGCCGGGCTATCGGGAGAGTCTCCCAGTCAGCCAGGCTGAGACCCGGGCCTGGGAAGCCACTGGCCTCGGCCGAGTGCCTACGCTTCCAGGCTGGGGAAGAGCCCCGCGGGCTGGCTCTTCCTCCCCTGGGAAGCCGAGTTCCCGGGCACAGCGCTGGGTGGCAGAGAGCTCCGGGAGCCAGCCCCGCGCGCGGCGTAGCTGCTAGCCGCCTTATGCTGGACGAGGTGTGGTCTTCCCTTCAGGCTGCCTGAGGCAAGCCGGCTTCAGGCATTCCAGGGGAACCCTGAGTCCTCCTCGACCCCGTGGGGGCACTTGGAGGCTTTGATGGGGCAGCCAGGCCGGGCTTGGGGGCATGCCCAGCAATGCAGCGCGCTTCTTTGCAGTACAGTAGTTGGGAGCCCTGGTTAGTCCCGCTTCTGCAGAAAGCAACTCAAGAATCCAAAGTCATCCCAGCCTGGATGGAAGCCTCCCAGAGTGGCGGGGAAATTCTCCTAGGGTTGAGAGCTGGGGGGGCTTCCTCCAGGAATGACTAATGAATATTGCTGCTGCTGCCGCCGCCGCCGCCGCCGCCGCCGCCGCCGCCGCCGCTGCTGCTGCTGGTGGGTGCACCCAGTGTGGCTTCTGCACATCCCAGGAGATGCTTCCGTTCTCCTGACAGGACACATTCTTGAGTTGCACTTGAGGTGTCTTCTGGGATGGGTGCAGGACTTTCCACGTGAAGCCAAGTGGAAAAGAAGGGAAGAGGGTCCCAGGACAGGGGACAGTTCTATAGTGTTTTCTTGAGTCAGGGGAGAACTCATGTGGGAAGAGATAAGCGATTGACGGAGATTTGGAACCCAGACGACTTGGGGCTGGAGATGTCCAAGACTGAATTAGAGCTCATTGAGAGTCACAGAGTACCTCACCCTCAGCCATGGGGGAGAGGTGGAGGCTGGAAAAGTGGGAACATGGTGGCTGTTCCAGCATGGTTCTTGAGAAAATGTTCTCTCTCTCTCTCTGACTTGGTTAAGAACATCCTTCTGGCAGTAGGTCCTAAAGTCAATTTAAGAGGTAATGAAGGGAGTTGAGGGTCTTGATGATGGCACAGAGGACCACAATTAGAACATTTCCATTTCCGGTGGGTACTAATGGACTCTGGAAAAGGTCGAAACGGTGTGTAGGGAGTCTGGGGAACCTGCTCTGTGGCTGCTCATTTGAGCCTGAATCCTCCACCTTATCCCATCCCTGAATGTAGGTGGATGTTCAAACTCCTAGGGTACCTGCTTCAGCCTGGAGATATTTTATGGGTGCTATCAATCTATATCCCAACCCCCAGCTCCATCGTTGTCTGCTGCAGTCAACATTTTTCTGCTGCATTTCCCAAGACCTTCTCTCCACTGGGGATTTGTGCAGCGAAATACCTGCTTGTTGCTCTTTCTTCCCTTCTCCATCTGGGCTGCACCTGGTGTTCTGAACCCTGGTGTTTATTCCTTGGTACCTTGATGTTTGGTTAAGACGTCCTATGGCTGCGCAGGGGTGCCCCTGTAAATCTGTGGACCAATGGCCTGTGTAATTCTAGGGAGTGCAATAGACTTCTATAGAAAGAATACCACCAACCGGGAAGGCAGTCCTACTAAACAGCTTGTGACAGCCTCTCATGCTCAAGCGCTCCCTTGCTTCCGTGCTGAGGCGGTGGAAGCCTAAAGGTGGAGCAGACTCCTTGGTGTCCAGTAGGGGGCGCCAAAGGTACCTGGCTCAGGACCACTGACTTTCTCACTTCTTGCCCTTTACTGGCTGTAGCAACTTAATGCTTTAAGGCAGCTCAGGCTACAGCCTTCAACCACCACCATCGTACTTGGAATCCTTCTACCACATGCTTCCTGGGCTTCAGGTGGTCCTGTGACCTCGGGTGCTATGGGGCAGGTGCAAGCACAACATTCCAAGGAGACAGAGCTGGTACACAGCCCCACCCTCTCTCGGGGATCATTCCTTTGTGCTTGGTGCCGCTGTGTTCTTTGAACTCTTTAAGGGTTCATGGAGTTCCAGAACATTAGAGCCAGAAGCAAGGAGCCTTGGAGAGCATCTCATCCAACCCCATTCCATCCCAACACTCACATGCACATTTAATTTACAGATGAGAAAACTGAAGCTGGATAAAGCCAAGGTCACATGGCTATTTGGTGGAAGACATGGAACTAGGCCCTAGGATTCCCACTGCTCGATTCAGAGCTGTTTCCACTCCAGCGGCCTGCTTCCTCTTCACTATAAAGATGGACATACTTTCTCTATACAGTAGGCACTCATAGTTATTGACTGACCAGGCTTTGGTAAATTAATACATCCCATACAGTTGGGGAGATTCTATTTTGAATCTGTTTTTCAGAGTGAGGAGGTGAGGAGAAAATACAGTTCTTGTCATGGACATACACAGGTCATAGAAATTCCTAATTATTCTTTCCCTGCCTCTACAATCTCGTCTCATTATTCCAAGTGGTGTTTTAAGCAAAAGCCATGCAAGTCCAGGTTTCAGTCTGTGCATTTAGGAGTCAGAAGTGCCGAGTCCCTCACTGTGGTCTTGGAACCCAGGTCTGGAGCGCCAAGGAATGTTGGCGTGGGGTCTCTCTGCTTGCAGTCACACCACTGCTGGTGAGACCTCCCAGATTCAGATTATAGATGGATTGGAGAGTTTCCAAAGAGTATTTGCCTATTTCCCCCACCCTTGCTGCTCCCAGCTCAAGGTCAGAGTGCTAGGACATTCTATTTTTGCCAAATCCTTATGTTTGGACTTCTTCGGTGACCTGCAAGATACTACCATTTCCATTGCCCTTTCTTCTGTTCCGAGAGCCTGGCTGTCGACATCTGAGCTGGGCTCTGGGAAACAGGTTTGCTGAGTGGCCTGTGGGCGGCCCCCTTTGTTCTCTTTTTTTTTTTTTTGAGACGGAGTCTCGCTCTGTCGCCCAGGCTGGAGTGCAGTGGCGCAATCTCGGCTCACTGCAAGCTCCGCCTCCCGGGTTCACGCCATTCTCCTGCCTCAGCCTCCCGAGTAGCTGGGACTACAGGGGCCCGCCACTACGCCCGGCTAACTTTTTGTATTTTTAGTAGAGACGGGGTTTCACTGTGGTCTCAATCTCCTGACCTCGTGATCTGCCCGCCTCGGCCTCCCAAAGTGCTGGGATTACAGGCGTGAGCCACCGCGCCCGGCCCCCTTTTGTTATTATCTCCCCACCTGGCTTCTTTGCACACTGGATGGACTTCCTCCTGGTTCTCCTTGGAGCCTCAGCAGACTCGGAAGCCTACCCTCGTAAGAAACCCACTGCTGCCAAGCCAGAATTCTGAGAGGCGGAATCCTCTTCTCTCCCTAAGACTCACGAAAGGGATGCTTGTTGCCAGGGAAGATGCTTGAGTCCCCTCCTCTCCCTCATGCTCACAGAAGATGAAGTTGGAGCTTCATCTTCAGCGGGAGGAGGGAGGTGCAGGATCACGTGGACCACCGGAGAGGAAAAGCCCCTCTCTTTAAACTGGAGTCTTAAGAGGCTATGCTTGAGATCTCACCAGCTCCTAGCTTTACCTGGTGAAATGAGCCTGCATTCTCAAGACTTGTTCTGGTTCTGGATAAGACCAGAGGAATATACTTACATACATTGTGGTTATAGTACAAGCTCTCTGGACTTTTGTTTGAATGCGGGAGTGGGTAGAGAGCTTGAGAAGTGGCATTAGACTATGAGAAACAGGAAATTGTCCAGTGGGGCTTTTATGAGCCCCACCAGATGGCTGACCCTTCCCCCTCTCATTGTAATGGTAAGGACACAGGCTTAGAATCTGGTCTCCGCTTGCTGGCTTAGAGACCTTAAACAAACCACTTAACCTCTGCAAGCCTCAGTTTCCTTCTCTGCTAAATGATGAGGCTGACAACCATGTGATGAGGGTAGGGGAGCGAAGCTGGAGGGAGACAGTCTTTAGTATTCCTCTGCCCTTGGTTAGAGGTAAAGAGGTATTCAGTTGGAAGGGGATATTATTGCTGAATCACTGGGAACCCCCGAGTCTTCTTTTTCCCAGTGAGTGAGCCTGAGTGCCCAGGTTTGCACATCAGCCTCTGCTCACAGCAATATCTGGGCTGATGGGCAAGGCCTTCTTGGCAGGGCTCCCTCCTTGCCTCTTTCCCTGCCCCACCTCAGGGTTTTCACTTTGGGGTTCTGCCATGCTTGGGGAAAAGAAATTTTATGGGTCCCAGGATAATTCTGAATGTGATGGAGGGCCCTGAGCTATTGATTCCTAAGGAAGGATCTTTCTGCTGGGAGAAGCCTTCCTTGGAGCCTAGTGATTTAAGAGTGCTGACAAATTCGTGCTCACCGAGCCTCCTGCAGGCTGCAGATACAGGCTTCCAGGCCAGCCTGGGCTCTGCTAGGGATTTCTGGAGAGCCTGGCTGGTTGCTTAGGGGACATAAACCTGTGAACTTTCCTTAGGAGAAAGTATGAAATCAATTGGTTCATTATCACACCAAACACACCCCAGACCATTTAGGGCATTTAAGAAATAAGAAGCAGCAAAGGACTGAGAGGTTGTCTTTGAAAAGTGTGCAGAAAGGTGTGAAAGGGTTGGGGGAAAGGAAGGGAGAGGAAGACCGTTTTTCCCCTGAACCACTCATGATTTTTACCTTATCGAAATCCTTGAATGGTGACTAGAGGGGTTATTTTGTTCCCCCTCCCAGATATTTGGCAATGTCTGTAGACACTTTTTCTTGTTACAACTGGGGAATGGGGTGCTACTAGTATCCACTAGGTAGAGGCCAGGGATGCTGCTGAACATCCTACAGTGCACAGAACACGTCTCACAGCAAGGAATTATCTGGCCCAAAATGTCATTAACACCAAGATTGAGAAACCCGGGACTGGAGCATTGCAGCACAGAATCACAGCACATTAGAGGTGGGAGTGATTTTAGAAGTACTCTCATCCAATTCTCCCATTTCACAGCCGAGGGCACTGAGATCCAGAGAGGAGAGGGAAGCAGCCAGGATCACACTGCAAGCAAGTGACAGAGCTGGTCTGCAATTCAGATCTGCTCTCTCCTGAGACCGTTTTACCCAGATTCCCCCAGAGTTGTTGTGAAAATTAAATGTGAGCTGTGAAAACAAAAATAAATAGAAAATTATAGAGACTATATTAATATTTCTATTATTAAGAATTGGGAGTTTGTATAGTTGTATTTCTGGCTATGCCACTGACTCATTGTGCAATATTGGACAAATCATTCTCCCACCCCCATGCCTCTCTATGAGTGTGTGTGTGTGTGTGTGTGTGTGTGGTGGAGAGGTGGTCTTAGAGCAAAAAAAAAAAAAAAAAAAAAAAAAAAAGGATAATATAATCATTCTCTTTAGAGAAAGGTCCAAAGATTTGCCCTTCAAAAACCCTAGACACTAAAAAAATTAAAATTTTCCTTGAAAGAAATCATGTTGACTTTGTAAGAAGCAAAGCGTTTACTTCTTGGAAAAATTCCAGTACCCTGGCCCTGTAAGTTGGTTCCAGCCCAGGAAATCTGATCAGCATCCAGAGGAGAAACTGATAGCTCCACAAATGACAAGAGGCTGGATATGTGCCCCCTCCCTCCAAGAAAGGGTGATGGCGACTTCTCCTCCATCCTTTCCTGCTCAACCCTCCTGGCCCAGAAGTTCCACAAGGAACTTCAACGAGGGATGGGAAGGTGTGTCATTAATCAGTGAAACCTTGTTTATTTAACAGACATATTCTTAAAGAGCTCTTCCAAGGGACATTTTGACGTATTACTTTAATTAGCTATGGAAGAATTGAGAGTGCAGAGAGTATAAAATGACCCTCTCTGTTGTTTCCAGTTACTCTTATCTTTGTTTGCACCGGACAAGTACAGTGACAAGGTCATGGGAATCACTGCTGAGCCCTGGGAGTGTCCCGGTGACCTGAGGAGGGACTGCAGGGACTGCTTTCTTTCCTTACATCAGCCTTCACCTACCTAGAGAGCAGCCACCTCGGTGGAGATTCCTGCTTTGGCATTCCAGCCCTCTATTGATGTAGACCTGTCTTAAAGGAAGCATCATGTTGTGCAAATTTTAACACAGCTCTTAGGAAGGGGAACAGGCCTGGGAGCTGGAAGTTCCCCTCCCAGAAGGGCAGAGGCGCTCTTATAGGATTGGTGGGAACAGCCTTGGTTGGTGTTTTTCACATGAGGTCTGACCCTGGTCTTGTCCTCCTTGTGCTCAGGATGGGAGGTAGGAAGTCACTTGAGGCTCCCCTGAGAGGACTGAGGTGACATCCCTCCCTTCCCACATGGGAGCGTCACTATGTAGATTCCTGCCATGAATCTTCTGTGTGTCCTGAAGCAGGTCCCTTAGCCTCTGGAGGTCAGTCCCTGTAATCAGAGGAGCTGGGTGGCAGGCTCTTTCCGTCACCGGCAGTCTCTTCCTCTAAGGGGTGGCACATTCCCTTTCACTCTGGTCTCTAAGAACAGGCTCTTTCTTAGAAATCATCATCATGCACCTCTCATCTGAGAAGCTGTGTATATCCAAAGAGGCTTTTTTCAGGTGGGGAAATAAGAGTCCTCAAGGAGAAATGCTGCCTTGTAAACAGTATGAGGGAGACACCGTCATTTGTTCTCAGCCACAAATTCAGTGCCTAGCATGGCACTTGGCATGTGGAGGGGCTCAGTAGGTGCTCAGTGGGTGCACAAATGAGTAAGTGAATGTTGGTGGCCATTCTGGGGCAGAGGTGACCCTTGGTATTCGATTTGATCTCCAAACCCGCCTTCCATCTAGCTCCTTCCCAGAGCTGGCACAAGGACTATGTAAACCTCCAAAGGTCCCCTGATCAAGCAGCGCTTGAGGACTCCAGGCAAGGCCCACTCCATGAGATGGTGGCTGGCTCTGAGCCTGGAGCAAGGCTGAGTTTCTCTTCCTCTTTACCTCCCTTTGCTGTTTTCCCTCTCCTTCCCGCCCCCTTCCCACCTGGCTGCTGCAGGGAAGCTCAGTGCAGGTTTACTTTGCTTGAAGCTGATAGACTGCATGGAAATTTGGACTTCCACTGGAGACAAACTAGGAAGTGAATCACAAATATATATCTGGGAGGATCCTTTTAAATAGTGGGGTCCACGAGTGCATTTTAAATTATTTAGGGAAAAAACTTGACACGTAAACTATTAGGCCTGGAAAAGAACTTTGGAGGTCATCCAGTGCCCTACCCCACCCCTGGCCCCAGGATGTTCAAATCCTCTCTGTGATACTCTCACTCACTCTTCAGAAACACGGTCTATCCATCCTGCACACTGCTGCCTGAAGTCTAAAATGCCCTTTCAAAAATGCAAGTCTGATCCTGTCTCTGCCCGACTTCAAAACTTCCCTCATGGTGTGACTCCAGGCTCCTTACCGTGGCATAGCAGGCTCTCCAGGCCCCAGCTGCTGCCCCACATAAGACTGTGTCTCCATCCTTGTCCCCACCCTCCCCTCTTCTCTCTCCCCTCCACCCCATATCCCAGACATTGCATTCCAGCAGCAACAAATGCATTCACAGCATGTATCAAGCTGTCTCACATCCATATCGTTGATCCATAGGTCTCCAGCATCTAGAATCCAATTCACCATCTTCAGAGAGCCTTTTCTGCCTGCCCTTCCCACCACGTCCCTAGTTAATCCCTCCCTCCTATGGCTTGTGTCGAGGCTTTGTACCTGTCTCTTTTTTTCTTTTATTTTTTCTTTCTTTCTTTCTTTTTTTTTCTTTTTGAGAAGGAGTTTTGCTCTTGTTGCCCAGGCTAGAGTGCAATGGCGTGATCTCGGCTCACCCCAACCTCTGCCTCCCAGGTTCAAGTGATTCCCCTGCCTCAGCTTCCCAAGTAGCTGGGATTACAGGCATGCACCACCACACCCAGCTAATTTTGTATTTTTAGTAGAGTTGGGGTTTCTCCATGTTGGTCAGGCTGGTCTCAAACTCCTGACCTCCTGTGATCTGCCCGCCTCGGCCTCCCAAAATGCTGGGATTACAGGTGTGAGCCACCGTACCCGGCCTACTTTGTACCTGTTTCTACTCTGAGGTTATCCCACTGAATTGTGTCTCACCCCTGGTAGATTGTAAGCTCCTTGAGGTCAGGGACCACGTCTTTTTCATCATTTCTAACGTGGCCCATAGGCATCTTCTCAATGTTTGAAGAATTAATGTGTATAGCATAGCATGCTAAGGGGTTCTGTGCTTAGGAAGCAGTATTTAAGGAGTCAAAGAACTCCATCAGGGTCCCCTAGACAAATTAGTTACAGAAGCAAACCTATTCCTCAAAGTCTCATAGCCCAGAGCATTCCATTCAACATTTGGCAACTACTCCTGGAAGGGGAGCACCGAGCAGGCCTGGACTCCCTCACCTGAGATGCATTCATGCATCTCACAAACATTTATTACTAGTAGTAATGGTGTGATTATTGGTACTGTTACCTACCACGTGTGGACTTTCTCTATGCCAGGCATTATGCTCAGCACTTAACATACATTCACCTCATTTCATTCTCATGGCAACCCGATAAACATTATTTCCCATTTTACAGAACGGGAAGTCTGAGCAGTTAATAGTACCTATTAAGAACCTGCTGTGACTTCTGCATAAGGCTAGGAGATTCCATTTGTCCTCTCACTTTCAGAAACACCATTTCATTAGCCCACTGGCCTCTGTGGCACTTCCTCACCTGGGTCCCCCGAGGTTTTGTCTGCCTTTTTCTGGAGCAAGCCCAAGTCTCCTGTCTATGAGTGCTGCTGCAGGCAGTGTCTAGAGCTGTCTCCAGGTAGAGGGGAGGAAGAGGAATTCTTACATTTTCTTGGTGCTGGGGAAAATGCATGAAACATGCCACCTTCTGGGGGGTAGGGAGTTGTAGAGGTCTGGAGTTTGTCTCTTAGGCTGGCAATACAGAGGACAAGGGTGGGGGACAGGGTGGAGAAACAGAAGCATTAGAATGTATGCTAATGCCATACATTACCAAAACTTCATCTTGTTCTCAGCTGTTTTCCTAGTGCCCAGAGCGGTACCTGACATAGAGTAGGTGCACAAGAAATACTGAATGAATGAATGAATGAATGAATGAATGAGTGAATAGTGGCCTCCAGTGTTCTTGCTCACTTGGGCCACAGTATTTGCCTCCTAACTGGCTTCTTTGCTTCCAGCCCAGCTTTCTCATGACCTTCTTCACACTGTACTGACACAGTATTCCTTCTAACACACCACTCCAGCCATGGCATTCCCTGGCCCACTGGGCCTGTGTCACTCACAAGGCTTCCAAGGTCTTTTCCAGCCTCCTTTGCTGCACTCCTTCCCACCAGGTGTCCTGCCCCTGCCCCGAGTCTGCACTGCAGAGCCTCACTGCACTACACAAACCTGCACATCTCCCATGCACCTGCTCCCCTCAGCCTGGAACACTCTCTCCACCTTGTTCCTCTGGCCCACTTGGCGTTGCCTCTTAGGCCTTCCCCAGCTTCCCCAGGCAGAGGTGGTTGCTCCTTTCACTGTGCTCCCATCTCATGGTTAAGACAAATTTGATGTCATAAGAGAAACTATTCAGTATGGTGCTGAAGAATTCTGGAGCTCATTTGCTTAGACACACATCCTGGATCCACCAGGTACTAGCTGTGTGACCTTGGGCAAGTTACTTACCCTCTCTGTGCCTTAGTTTTCTTATCTGTAAAATGCGGACAGTGGTAGTTCTTCTCTCACAGGCTTACTATGTGTATTAAGTGGGTTACTTATGTGAAGGGTTAGAGTAATGCCTGGCACATGGTCAGTGGTAGATATGTATTATTATTGTTACTATCCATTCCTCGTATAGTACTTGCTATGCAAAATATCAATTATGTGCCTCTCTGTGTGTCTGGTGTCCAGAGTCCATATGAAGATCCACACGACCCACTCTGAGATTTAGGAAGGGAGCTCTGACAGCGTGTGGAAGTGGGAGGAGGGGAGAGGAGAGACAGAAGCAGTTAGCAGGTATTGCTATTGTTCAGGTGAGTGAGAAAGGGGCAGATCCCCCACAGGAAAGGTGGAAAAACTGAGCAGGATTGAGAGAGATTTGTGAAGCAGAATTGACTCAGGGATCCAGTGGGTGTGAAGAATGAAGAGGCAGCAGAGATGGTGCCAGATTTCCAGGCTGAGTGACAGTGTTGGGGTTTGAAGGGGCCCAGCGAATAGCATCCCACTCCCCGACTCAGATTCAGGGCCAACTAAGAGAAAGGACAAGACAGGTGGGGCTCAGGCAGGTGGAGAGGGAAATGCCACCTTTATTCCAGAGGCAGCTGCCTGGCAGGCCAGGCTCCCGTGGGGCTTGCTGACACCTTATCCCTGCCCACTGCAGGCTTCTCTGTGGGTGGGGGCAGGGCAGAGCTTGCCTGGCCAAGCTCCACACATGGCAGAGTGGCCCTTGCAGGGAGGCAGGTCCAGGGAGGGCTCTTTGATCCCAGTTCTTTCAAACTGACCAGTTCTTTCAAACTCCCTCCCTTGGGAGAAGGGAGCAGAGTAAAGACGGAGGCCCAAAATGTCAATCTAGCTAAGGTTTCTCCATCTCAGCACTGTTGACATTTTGGGCTGAATAATTGTGGGGGCTGTCCTGTGCATTGTGGATGTTCAGCAGCATCCTGTGCCTCTACCCACCAGATTCTAGAAGCACCTCTTCCCTGGTTGTGACAACCAAAAGTGTCCCCAGATATTGCCAAAAGTCCCCAGGGCCAGAGGGCAGCAAAATCGCCGTGGTGGAGAACCACTGCTCTAGTCTGATGGAAGGGCCTTTGGCTGGAAACATGCAATGTGGGGAAATGGGTGCTGCCTCCTAGCTTATAAGCCAGGCGGCGGGGTCTGTAGATAGGGAAGGACAGGCTGGGTGAAGGCTGGGTCCTCCTGACCTTTGCAAAGTCGGCTCTCTGTCTGTTTTGCTTTCCTTCCTGCTCCTCCTCCTGCCTCTCCTTGCCCAGCTAACTTCATGGCATCCTCAGAGTCCAGCTACAACCCCTCCCTCTAGGAAGCACTTCCCAGCTCCCCCCCCAGCTAACTTACATCTCTCTGTGCTCCCTCCTCCGCAGCACCCCTCACCCTGTACTGCAAATGGTGAGCAGCTTTCTTGCTGTGACCCTAGCACCTAGCACAATGCCAGGGTTATCGAGGGTCTGCAAGAAGTCTTGTCACAGGTGAAGACCCAGGGCAGCTCCTGTTAGCTCTTCTCCAGTGTTGCTTGAGTTCCAGGAGCTCTTTTGTGGGTGTCTTTGTGGAGCTGGTGGCCCAGCCTGTGTGGGGCAGTGTTCCCGTGGCTGCCTCTCTCCTTCATGTCTCAGCCCTCCTACAAGTGTCTGAAAGGCTGTGTATTCTCTGCTTGTCGCCAACGTCGGAAATATTTAGGCTTCTTGTTTTTATGAGAGCTTGGGGTGTGACCTTGGCTCTTTCCATAATTGCAAAAGAACTGTTTGCCCCGAAAATTGCCCTGGAAGACTTTCCCCACAGCTGCCTGACCCCACGTCAGAGAATCCAGGTTGCTTGGTTACCAGTTTCCAGGCCCAATTCAGGAAAGTCCTGAGGCCACAGAAAACTGAGTTTGGCTACATGGAACCCACAATTAATGTCTAAAGACTATCTCACCTTTCAGCTCTCTATGTCAAAGAAGGGGAACGTGCAAGTTGGCTGCCGCCTGCCTGGCCCTGGAGAGGCCTTCCCTGTCACTCACTTAACCCTTGAAATCTTGGCAGGTCATACGATCTCCATGGTACAGATGAGGACACCAAAGACCAACAAGATCAAGGAATAGGCCCAAGGTCATGAGCTAGGCTGTGGTAGGGTTGAGATCCAAAGCCAGGTTGCTAACTCCCAATGTTGGTCTCTCTCTCTCTCTCTTTTTTTTTTTTTTTTTTTTTTTTTTTTTTTTTGCGGGCATCTTGCTCTGTCACCCAGACTGGAATGCAGTGCACAATCTTGGCTCACTGCTGCAACCTCCGCCTCCTGGGTTCAAGCAATTCCTGCCTCAGCCTCCTGAGTAGCTGGGATTACAGGCGGTGCCCCTTACCACACCCAGCTAATTTTGTTGTATTTTTAGTAGAGACGGGGTTTCACCATGTTGGCCAGGCTGCTCTTGAACTCCTGACCTCAAGCAATCCGCCTGCCTCGGCCTCCCAAAGTGCTGGGATTCCAGGCATGAGCCACCATGCCTGGCCTCTCTTTATCTCTCTATCTCTTCACCTTGCTGGGAATTGTTCAAAAAGTTTGCTTATAGAGCATTTTTAAGAAATTATTAGCAGATACGATGGCTCACACCTGTAATCTCAGCACTTTGGAAGGCCACTGTGGAGAATTGCTTGGGCCCAGGAAGTTCAAGATCAGCCTGGGCAACATAGCAAGACCCCATCTCCACCAAAAAAAAAAAAAAAATAGCCAGGAGTGTTAGCACCCCACTGGAGTCCTAGGCTACTTGAGAGGCTGAGGTGAGACAATTGCTTGAGCCCAGGAGTTTGAGAGTGCAGTGAGCTATGATCATGCTACTGCACTCCAGCCTAGTTGACAGAGTGAGACCCTATCTCAAAAAACAGAAAAGAAATTATTATTAAAAAACAATTCTTCTCACAGCTTGAAACACAAGTTTTCCCATCTCTGGCCCTTATGAAGTCCCTTCTTTTCCCCCTCCGCACATCTCCCCTGCAGGAGAAGCCCACATCCCTTACCGAGGCACCCTGCGCTCTGGCCCTGTGCCCCTCTGCCTTTGATATTTAGCTTCGCCTTGTCTGGGCTGCTTTACCTGGATAGCCTCCCATTGCCTTTACACGGGGTGTTACACCTGAGATCACATGGCTGCTCCGCTGATTGTTGGGAGAGCTCCTTGAAGGCAAAGGCTGGGTTTTATTCATCTTTGCACTCCTAGGACCTTCCACATCTCTGCATGGAGTACTGTGTACTGTGTACTTCTCTAGTGCTACTCCTGCCGGGGAGTGCTACTCCCAGTGCTCTAATACATAGTAGGTGCTTGATACACAAGCATTCAAGAAAACAAAACAGTTCAGTTCAACCTACTTTTTCATTCTATTTTTAACCTTTCTACCATTCTCCCCAAGGATTCAGATGTTCACAGTGGTGTGACAAGAGGCTCCCTGAGTCAGCCACACAAAATGCGAGGTCACTCCGGGTGCCAGCTGCTCTTCTGTTTCAGGCAGTGTCATCCTGCTCTGCTTTTCCCCCAAAACTTTATATCCCCCCTCCTCCTCTGACACTCCCTAGATAAATAGGTTTTCTTTATAGACTTCAACCAGCCGGTGATGAATTTGGGTAGCAGAAACATTTCTCACTTCAAATCAGATTGCAGCTTCCCATCTGGGGACCACAAGGCTGGGGCAGTGGTTCTCAGCCCAGACTGTCCATTAACATGATCTGAGCAGCTTCTAAAAATACACAGCACTCAAACTCCCACCTCAGACCAGTTCAATCAGAAACTGGGTAAGGGACCTGGGTGGTGGCATATTTCTAAACACCTCCACCCGAGGTGGTTCTGTTGGGCAGCTAGGGTTCAGAGCCGCCAGCCTAGAGTCTCATATCACCTGACAACTTCCTGGGAATGCAGGCTCTCAGGGACCACCCCACACCTACCAAATCCGAATCTGTATTTTCAACATGACCCTCAGGTGATTGGTAAGCACATTGCCTTTTGAGGAGCATTTCTTTAGAGGAAGAACGGCTTTTAAACACCTATGACAAATTGCAAGCAGTTTCTGTTGATTCATGTTATCAATTGGACATACTCATTCCCGCGCTTACTTAACACATATTAACAGAGCGCCTGCTAGGTACCAGGCACTATGATGGTTTCTGGGAACACAGTGGCATATGTTTCTATCTTGGCCTGCAAATTCCTACCCAGAACCCCTTCTTCCTAGACTCTGCCCTTTGATGGGAGCTGTCCTTCATCTCCTTGACCTGACCCTCTCTGCAGCATCAACCCTTTCCCCTTCTCACCTCTTCATAAAAATTAGAGTCAGAATCCCTCTTTGTCACTCCTTGTCAATTGTGGTACTTTGATCTTGAGCTGAAGACAGCCAGCACTTTGAGTGTGTAAAGATAAACTGAGCCTGGGCAGCTCTGGAGATTGCATAACCTAGGATTGATTTCAGCTCCTTAGATCCAGAGGCAGAGGAGAATGTTCTTAAACCAATCTCGTGCCTTCACTGTAGTATATAGCCTGGTTTCAGGACTCTGGGAGCTACAGTATGGAACCTGGTATTCGATGTGTAGTTTATGGACCAATATCACCACCACCACCTGGGAGCTTGTTAGAAATATAGAATCTTGTGCTCCACTGCAGAATTATTGAATCAGAATCTGCATTCTAACAAGACCACCAGGTGATTCATACACACATTAAAGTTTGAGAGGCACTGATATAGAGCACTGCTCATCAAATTTTGCAACATATTAGAATCATGTGGGAGCTTTTAAAAATCTGATATCCCATGATTATATATTAACAGCAACAAAAATTTGGTGCCCTTGCTACATATACTGTGCCAGTTAAGTCAGAATATCTTGAGATGAGACCCAGGCATTAGTATTTTTTTATTGTGATGAAATACACAGAACATAAAATTTGCAATTTTAACCATATTTAAGTATATACTTTAGTGATGTTATGTACGTTAACATTGTTGTACAACCATCACCACCATCTACCTTCAGAACTTCTTCATCTTCCCATATGGAAACTCCATAATCCACTAAACACTAACTCCCATTTCCCCCTATACCCAGCCCCTGGCAACCACCATTCTGCTTTCTACCTCTATGAATCTGACTACTCTGGACACCTCGTAGAAGTGGAACATACAGTGTTTGTCCCTTTGCGACTGGCTTATTTCACTTAGCATAATGTCTTCAAGATTTACCCACCTTGTACTCTGTGTCCGAATTTCTTTCCTTTTATTTATTTTTTATTTTTTCTTTCTTCCTATATAAAAGCAATTCCTTCATTTTTAAAGCTGAATAATATTGCACTGTATGCATATATCACATTTTGTTTATCCATTCAACCGTTGATGGACACTTGGGATGCTTCTGCCTTTTGGCTATTGTGAATAATACTTCTATGAACATGGGTATACAAATATCTGTTCATGTCTCTTTTCTCAATTCTTTTGTGTATATGCCCAAGTGGAATTGCTAGATCATATGACAATTCTAATTGGAATTTTTTGAGGAATTGCCATACTGTTTTTCACAGCAGCTGCATTATTTTACATTTCTGCCAGCAGTGCACAAGGATTCCAATTTCTCTACATCCTCACCAACACTTTTTTTCTGTTTTTGTTTTTTATTACAGCCATCCTAATGGGTGTGAAATGGTATCTCATTGTGGTTTCGATTTGCATATCCCTAATGATTAGTGATGTTTCATGTACTTATTGAGCATTTGTATATCTTCGGAGAAATGTCTATTCAAGTCATTTGTTTTGAGTCAGGTTGTTTAGTTTTTTTGTTGTTGAGTTGTAGGAGTTCTTTATATATTCTGGATATTAATACCTTGTTAGATATATGATTTGCAAATATTTTCTCCCATTCTGTGAGTCCTCTTTTCACTCTTTTGATAGTGTCCTTGGATGTACAAAAGTTTTTAATTTTCATGCAGTCTGTTTTAGCTATTTTTTCTTTTGTTGCCTGTGCTTTTGCTGTCTTATCCAAGAAACTATTGTCAGGCATGAGAATTTTTTTAAAGCTCCCCAGATGATTCCAATGCACAGCCAAGATTGAGCAGTGTTTCTCAAATTTTAACACGCATTGGAATAATCTGAAATCTTGTTAAAATGCAGATTCTGATTTATTAAGTCTGGAGTGGGATCCAAGATTCTGCATTTCCAACAAGCTCCTAAGTGATGCCGATGCACTGGTCTGCCGACTGCTCTGAGTAGCCAGGGTGGAGAAGAGCATTTAAATGATTTCCTTTATCTGAACCCCCCAAAAAGAGGGTAAATATTATATTTACAGACCTTCTTCTAAGCTTCCTCACCGTAACCATTGCCCAAAAAATACGCCATCAAGACAGCCCACTGCTTATCCCTGACTTTTCAACTGGTACTGAGAAGCCCGGTGGGTGCATTGGGTGCCTTTGGCATGGCAGAGGAATGAAATGTAAAGGACTTATTCTCCCTGCCCCACTCTCTCCCTGGTCTCATGGGGAGGCCAACCACTGGTCTACTCATGCTGGGTGAGTTCAGGATCCACACTAATGATGGCTTGCTCCTCTCTGGCCTTGGCCCTTGTGAGGCAACTACTGTAGAACCCTGCTGAAAAGCTTGTCTTGTTCAAAATATGTTTAATATCCTTAGAAAGGAAAACCACATGGGTTGGCCTGAAGTTTATAGAAGCAGCTTAGGAGGGAAAAAACTGTTGAAGGTCTGCATCCAAAAAACAAAATCTTTTAATTCATCATAGAATTTTAGAGCCAGAAAGGACCTTTAGAGAACTCCAAACCTTTATTTTGGAGAAGAAAGCTGAGACCCAAAGAGGTTGTGACTTGTTTTAAGGTCACCCAAGCAAAATAGAGGTCAGCCAATGGGTGCATTATTTCTTTCTCATCTTGCTTTAGGTTATTTATCTGGAAACGGATAACACAGCAGCTACTTCTTTCGTATGTCTTCTTTAATTAAAAGAAAAGGTAAAACTAAAGAGGCTAGATCATAATTCTTGACTCTTAGGGCCTTCACTGGAAAGGTTCTAATGATTAGAACTTTTAGGCTCATATTACCTGAATGGGGCCAGCCTCCCTGGTGGCCGTGACCCAAATTGCAGATGTGGTGCCTGGGAGGAACTAACTAGCTTCGAAAAGACATGTTAGATGCCACTTTTCTCTTCCATGCCCATTGCTGATGTTGTAAGCTGATCACAGCACTCTTTCCAGCCACTGCCAGTCAATTGGATTTGGCCCTCAAATTGAAACTCCTTTGCCATTCACTACAATAGAGGTCATCCCTTGAAAAGTCCAATGACCTTCAGATCCATGCTACATTTCGGCATGTCGACACTGGTTATTAAATACTCTTTAGTTTCCCATTTCCTCCCCCATCCCCACCCAGCTGCTCATTAATCCAATTATGAGTTTCCTTTATCCAATCAAAGTTCCTGCCAAGTTGCAGAGCTCTTGTAGTGATTCATGATGCATTTGTCTTTAGTGATTAGAAAACCCAGTAGAAGATGCTGTCTCATTCAGACATCTCTGTAATTTGGAATGACCTCAGTTTGGTAGTGCCACACCCCACATGTGCCCTGTGAACACACTACAAGAACCTCCTTCCCAGTTTCTGCCCTGCAATTGGAGCCTTGCCCCTGTGTCACTCCCCAGCCTCTCCAGCAAGGCATTCAGGAGGCTCCTGAATCACGTCTGGCTCTGAAGGCAGTGCCCAGCCCCTTCATTTTGGTCTCTGGGTCCTTGAACAGCAAGCTCATTTGCCGGCAGGAGCATCTGTCTCCATATGGGGAGACAGTCTTCAGATCTTCCTTGCTCTTCCCTTCATTAAGACATCAGCCTCAGTCAGCCTTGCCTTGGCTGCCAGATGCACTGACAAGCCAGCAGGAAAAGTTCCATCTAGAAGAGGTCTGCTACCTTCTGAAGGCAGGAAAGTACCGCTTTGCCTGCTGGGACTAGACCCATGCAGCCTTTGTGGACCTCCTTCCAGCAGAGCCTTTAAAACATTTCATGAGTGCTGATTCTAGGCCTGCAGGTAGAGTCTCAGGGTGGTGCCATCTGCAGCGTTCCAAGTGTCTCCCTTGCTTTCACTCAAGGGGGGTGGAATCCCTCCACCTCCTTGGCCATTTTCATCTGTCTCCTGGGTGTGTGCCACAGGCTCCCATGGCCCCAGGCTACTTGGCAACACCCTGAGTTATGTTAGAGATATAATAATGAATTATACAATGCATTATACATAATTAATTTATAATAAAACACGCACGCAATGGTTTAATTTCTCCAAGTGAATGATGTGCTATCCGCCAGATCCTGCTGGAACGCCTCCCCTAACTGACTGCTTCTTGGTCTGGAGGTGATGGCCAGCTGCCCTAGGGAGGGATGTTGGCATGAGGAACCTGCCAAGTCACATATTCCCCCTGGCTACCTCTGGAGTATGTACCACAGGAGAACAGTCTTTCATTGCATCTATTATTGTTCTAGATCTGGATACTCATGAGGGTCTCACCCAAACTCTGCATTGTTTGAGAGCTGTTAGGTTCTTCATTCGCCCAGTCTTTCTCCCAGAGTATGGGAAATGCCTTTGTATTTATACCTTTCCCTCCCCATCTCCCTCCCTTCCTCCCTCCTTTCCTTCCTTCCACAAATATGAAATAAATGAAGGAAAGAAGTGCCTATTATGTGAACTACCTTTGGCTTGCTGCATATCAGTGAATAAAACAGAGATCCTTGCCCAAGTGGAGCTTACACTCTAGCAGAGGGAGGCACACAATAAATAATAAGTGTAATCATAAGTAAATTATACCAAACATCACACAATGATAGATGCTGTAGAAAAAGAAAAAGCAGAGCAGGCTAAGGGCGATCAGCCATGATGGAGTCAGGTTGCAGTTTCAATGAGGGTGGGGAGGGCAAGGGAGGGGAGGGCAGGGCTTGTGGAAAGCCAGCAGCCTAGGCACTGTCAAGCTCTCCATGAATGGGAGAGAAAGGCACTCTGGGCCTACCCAGGACTTTAATGTTCCGGGATTGCTTTGGTTACAGGTTCTTTCGGTAACATTTGTCACTTTTGGTTTCAGATGTCCAGGATGTTACCGTTCCTGCTGCTGCTCTGGTTTCTGCCCATCACTGAGGGGTCCCAGCGGGCTGAACCCATGTTCACTGCAGTCACCAACTCAGTTCTGCCTCCTGACTATGACAGTAATCCCACCCAGCTCAACTATGGTGTGGCAGTTACTGATGTGGACCATGATGGGGACTTTGAGATCGTCGTGGCGGGGTAAGTGCCTCCCACCCTCAGTGTGACAGATATTAATCAGATTTTGCTGTAATAAGGCTGTGTAACAACTCCAAACCCCAGTGACTTGCAACAACATACGTTCTCACTCATAGGTCTGTGGTTGTCTGTGGCTCAGCTGCAGCTTGGCTGGGCTCAGCTGGGGTTCTGGGGTGCTGTGACCTTGTCTTTTGCTACTGCAGTGGGTCAGGATGGAAGGAAGTTTGGAAGAAGGGTGTTTGATCCACAGGCTTTTCAGGGAGAAAACTGGAATGCTCTGCTTTAAGGCACTGTCTTCTCTTCATATTTAAGCCAACTTGATTATGCAGATATTACTTCTTTACCAGTGGGGCTCTAGGATCTCTATACAGGAAGGGCTTAAGGGTGACAATTATGGTAGAAGGGTATGCTCAAAGCTGCCTTTGCACAGCACTTTACATAAGACTAAGAAAACATTAATTAACCGTTTCAAAGAGGGGGGAAGATGGAAATTAAGAGGGTTAGCTAAACCTCCGCTGAGCATGCCTTGTTGCCCACGGCTCCTTTCTCTCCTGAAAACCAACATTGGGTTGCAAAAAAAGCATAAGACTAGGAATCCAAATAGCCTGAGTTCATGCCCTAAGGTGTAAACGTTCCAGTTTTATGTCCTTGAGTCTCTTACTCACTGACATTCAGAGATATCATCTGTAAAAAGGGGAATAACTGTAATGGCTTGTTGTCTTGAAGCCTTCCTAGGCTATTGTGTGTGACAGTGCATTGTAAATTTCTGCCAATCACCATTGATAATTATTATGCATTGAGGGCCGGGTGCAGTGGCTCACGCCTGTAATCCCAGCACTTTAGGAGGCCGAGATGGGTGAATCACTTGAGGTCAGGAGTTCAAGACCAGCCTGGCCAACATGGTGAAACCCCGTCTCTACTAAAAATACAAAAATTAGCTGGGCATGGTGGCGCGCGCATGTAATCCCAGCTACTCAGGTGGCTGAGGCACAAGAATTGCTTGAACCCAGGAGGCGGAGGTTGCAGTAAGCCGAGACGGCACCACTGCACTCCAGCCTGGGCGACAGAGCAAGACTCCATCTAAAAAAAAAAAAAAAAAGATTGTGCATTGAGCACTAATATGTGCCAGACACTATGCATCATCTTATTTCACATCCCTCATTTTATTTCATCCCCAACAGCACTATGAAGTAAATGTATTGTCATCCACATTGAGAGAAAAGGCAGATGGGGTTCAGAGGCAGTAAGCAACTTGCTCTCTGCTAAGTAAATAGTAAGTAGATAAGTCGGGATCTGAACCCCAAGGCTTCCTAACTCTACAGCTGCCAAACTACACTGTACAAAGTTTCGTTATCACTTCAAAAATCAGTCAATCAATAAAAACACTACAGGGGCCTGTCGACCTCATTCTGGGAGGCCTGAGCTTTTTTGGTAGCACTAAAGTAACTGGCGGGTAACATTATTTGCAGCAGTTGCATGTAACAGTAGAAAGCTTTGACCTTGGAATTGAAAGACCTGGTTTTAATTCTAACCGTAGCCAACCTAGTATCTATAAACCCTATGCAATTTACTTTACACAGACCCACTTTCCTCATCTAAGTAAAATGGGCATATTGAAATCTACTGGCCTGCCTCACGGGGTAGTCATGGCGGTTAGTGGTGATGATGTATAGAAAAGATTGTTTGTAAAGTACAGTTTTTATTTTGTCTATTCATTTCTTCTACACTGCAAAGAGTAGAGTTGCTCAATTCTAGGCCTTCTAGATGTAGATTGGTGTGCTATCCAGAAGCATTTTCTGTGATGATGTAAATGTTCTGTGTTGGTGCTGTCCAGTATGGAATCCACCAGCCACACGTAGCTACTGAGTATGTGAAATGGCTAGTGTGACCAAGGAACTGAATTTTTAAATTTTCTTTTATTTTAATTAAAAATAGCCACATTTGAATTGGACAGTACAGTTCTGGGCTTTTAGAAGGAAAAAACTAAAGAGCTGAATATGACAGAAAAGGAGAAATGGAATCATTGTAATGACGCTTTTTACCTGGGGTGACCTGAGCAGGGTTGCAGTTAATCAGCCTTGCCTGTGTCCAGTTCTGTGACTGTCCAGTTGCTCTCTGAATCAGGGAGACACCCTCCTCACTAAGTCCATACCCAAACTGACTCCCAGAGCCATGTGCCACCCTGCCAGAATCTCTGGTTAAAGGACTTTGATGCATCTCTGAGATGTTCTGTTTGGATGGTTGCCCTGCCTCCTACTTGGTGACCCTGGCCTCCCCTGATAGACCCTGGGGACTGACAGAGGACAGAGAATGGCAAGGCAACCGTCCTTCTCTCCTCCTCCTCGCCCCCCAAGTTGCTACTATTATGCCCTCCTTTCATCTTGGAAGATGGTATACTCTCGTATTCCCTCAGGTTAATGTGGAAAAAAGTAAGACCTGAGATATGAACAGAAAGTGTCTTCACCCTATTTTCTTCTCCTTCTGGGACCTGGACATCTGGAAGGAGCTAGCCAGATTGCAGAGCATGGAAAGCCTTTCAGAGCATGGAAAGCCTCTCCCTGTCTCCACTGCAAAGCTGTCTCTGATTTCAGTACCTTGCACTCCTCCCCCAGCCCCTGCCCCTACAATGAGCAGCCAACTCTGCTTCTCATGGTCTGGCTCTCCCTCTTTCTGCCCTGGCTGTTGCAGGAGACCCGTTGGGTGCCCCCCCACCCCACCCCCCACTCTTTTGTACTCTTTTCCCATGGTTCCAGATGGAAGGAAAGAAAGGGTGCGAAGGGCCAAGCACACCCACTAAAGGAGGATGCAAAGAGCCTCTTACAGCATACTTCATTATTTTTGCTATCGTTTTGCCCCTTTCCACAGCATCTCTCTCAAAGGCATGCTGAAATAGTAGGCACAGGTTGCATTGCTCTCCTCAAGATTCATCTTTCAGCTGCGAAGAACAGAACTAGCAGAGAAGGTCTTGGCCCCAGGGCTGGTGCTGGCCTGGGTCTGTTTGGGAAGAAGCAGAGCTGTTTGGTAGCAGAATTTTCAGTTTCCCTATCCTTTCCAGGTCAAAGGGAATGATATGTGCCACCATGGGCCCAGTCGCTGAGGTCAGTTCCCTGAGCCCTGTGCGTAAATGTGGGCTCTGTGTGCAGGTCTTTATCCTGCCAGTCCTTTGATGTGCAGGGGATTGCTCCTGCACCTCCTGAGCCTTCAGCTTCTTTCTTTCCAAGTGCTGGGCATTCATTTCGTCTTCCTCTTCAATGAAGTCTTTTTCTCTTTCTCTTTCAAGAAATGTGCCTTTGTGTCCTCTGTGCTAGTGAAGCTAGACCATCATTTGCACTGACTACAAGGTTTAGAAGTCTCAACCTTGTCTAGCTTGCTGTTTATGTGGGTCCTATAGGACTTTGGAGTCATCCTCCGGAAACAAGAACTAGACCATCCTGGGTCTTGATGTGAAATCAGCCATTTAGAGAGACCCCTATCTCTTCTTCCAGGGCAGGGTTGAGCAAAGCAGCCTCTGTCTGAGAAAGCTTAGGCTGCTGGATGTTATTCTGAAAGATGATATTTATTGCTCACCCCCAGCAAAGAATAAGAGTTACACAGAAGACAGGATGGCAAAATTGGGCAGTCTCCCAGCTCCAGGTCAGGCTTTCTTTGTGGCTGTTGTGAAGCATTGCGAATTCTCAGCGCATCAGAAAGACACATTCTAATTTGAGTACCAAAATACATTCCAAAGGCAAATATAACTTTTTATTATCTTCAGCTTTGGATGATTTGTCACTGTCTCCTTTTTTGGGCTGGATAACCAAAAGTGGACTATACAGACATATTTAAATCAGGACCTTGGGAGGTCATTTGGTCCACCCCTTGCCTTACAATAAGACCACACCTATAGTATTCGGAGGCTCCATTTACTTTGAGCCATCCAAGCGAACGTGGCAATCCTACTGTAATCCAGCTCGATAGTTACTTATGTCAAGAACCGATTTGACTAATCTGAATCCCACATATTAGAGTTTAATAAGCCATTTCTTTTAGGTTTTGTTTTGCTATTGCCTTTGAAGATATAAACCAGATGATCACTGTCTTTTCAAACAATGAAAGCTAGGATCACTGCCCTGCCTTTCATCCTATGTGGACTTTTTGACATTTCTGATTTTGACTCTTAGATTTCATCCACCCTAAACCTATATTTAATTCTGCTTTATTATCTGTCTGATTGTCAACTCACTGTTTAAGAATCATGTAGCAGGAGTTGAAATTTTGAAAAATTGCATTTGAAATCTTCATCAGGGGCACCTATGGTTCAGTTCATGACAGGTCCACCCTCTATTACCTTATAGACCTTTCCATTACCTGTCCCCTGAAGGCATTTACTTTTGCCACCCCTGGGAGAACAGCCAGCTCTTCAGTTTATAAAGCGCTCCGTACTTGAACTTGTCTTGAATGTGTTGACCTTGTAGTATGTCTGACTGGAGCCCTGTTGCTTTGAGTATTTACTCTTTGAATAGGTTTGTTTTGTGTTGCTTTTTCGGTGTCCTCGTTCTGGGTATTGACAGCATTGATTTTGAGCTTGTTGCGGGTCGGTTTGTGTTGTGTTTCAGATTCTTGAGTTAATTGTGATGGAAGGCGTGTGCATGTCTCTGACTCTGGGAGGAGCAGGAAATGACCGCCCTTTGTTCTGCGGGGATGGGGGAGGGACTGGGCCGGCTCAGATCCTCTGCACATCTGGGCGAGTGCCTCCGCATATGGAGGGCTTATCTGTTAACCAGCAGGTGCATGATTGCAGTCTGCTCCCTGTGGGGTGAGGGGAAGATTTGATCACCTCTGGCAACTTCCGTGCACGCACAGACCATTTAGGATCTTCAGGACTGTTTTTTCAGTAAATAGAAAGCCCAGTGGCTTCTCCTTTTCTCAGTGGAACTAAACACCCAATCTACAGTCTCACAGATTCTGGAAAGGAATTCCTGTTGGTGTCAATCTTGTACAATTCCTTTAGAGCAGCTTTGGTTTCCTGGGATATCCCCAGAGGTCTGAGGTAACACCCCTACCATCTCAGTTTCCAAAAGGAGTTTGCTCAAATGGAAAGACTGTAGTGGTTGTAAAGTTTAAATCATGATTTGGATCCATTTTTCTACCCAAAGATTATTCATTTGATAAAACCGTAACACATTCTTCACACTTGGAAGGGTTTCATTTAAAGGGATGCTATATACTGTAAAGCAGTGTTTTAGGTTTTTCTTAATTTTGCAACTATGTCAGTAAACTTTTTTAATTTACTAAAGTTAATTGAATTATTTAAAAGGCAAATTGTATTCAATTGCCAAATTAATCATGATCATATAGGAGATAAATTTGCCATTATAAATAATAAGAACAATGATTTTTTAAAAGACACATTTATCCATGATTTAGCCAAAGCAGCATTTATGCATTTTATTTTAAGTATATATAGATACATGTAGTATATAGATATATATATAGTATTTATAGATAGATATGGTAAATAATAGGTAGATGTAGTATGTATATAAATATAATTAGATACATATTGAAATATATATATATGCACACATTCACATATGCTTTTAACAAAATCCGAATAAATATTTTTGAACTTTCAGTCTTAATTGTTGTGGTGTGTAACATTTTAATAGATTTGATAATCAGTTTTGATATTATCTTAAAATGTTAAATTATTTCATTCTGTTTCTTTTTTTTTAACTTAAAATATATTTTACTTTTGGCCAGGCATGGTGGCTCACGCCTGTAATCCCAGCACTTTGGGAGGCCGAGGCAGGTGGATCACCTGAGGTCAGGAGTTCGAGACCAGCCTGGCCAACATGATAAAACCCCTTCTCTACTAAAAATACAAAAATTAGCCAGGCGTGGTGGCACGTGCCTATAATCCCATCTACTTGGGAGCCTGAGGCAGGAGAATCGCTTGAACTCGGGAGGGGGAGATTGCAGTGAGCCGAGATCATGCCATTGCACCTCAGCCTGGATGACAAGAGCAAAGCTCCATCTCAAAAAAAAAAAAAAAAAAAAATATATATATATATATATATGTATTACTTTACATTACACTTAAGCACATTTTGTTGCAAAAAAAAAAATCACACAACCTAGGTCAAGGTAAAAATCCATTTTTACCAACCCACACTCCTTCAAGACCATCCCAGCCCCTTCCCAGAGTAACAACTGTTTCCGGTTTGCTGTTTATGCTTCCAGAAATTTCTATGTCATGTATATGGAGAAAGAGTGTGTGAGAGAGACAGAGACATAGGGAGAAAGAGTTTATGTTATGTACATTTCTATTGTGTATATATATTATAAAATATATAATTTCTGGAGAAATCACACTGATACATATTGTTCCAAAACTTGCTTTTTTTCACTGCATAATATGTTCAAACATATAGATGTAGCTTTTTTTTTAAGTTGCTTAGTATGGATGTACTGTATTCATTTTGCCATTCCTCAAGTGACGTTTAAGCTGTTTCTAATCTGTGACCATTGCAAACTCCACCACACTGCATGTACATCCTTACACACATATGCAAATATTTCTTTAGGATGGATACCAAGAAATGGAACTGCAGGGTCAGGGATATGTTCATTTTAAATCTTATTAGATATCACCAAATTGCTTCCAATCTAATCTTTTTGTATTTACTCATAGCCTAGAAATAAAAGGTTTTGGATTATTCAGCTCAACAGCTATTCAAGCACCTACTGTGTGTACAGCCATGTATGCTCCAGGGTCTGAACTTTGTCAATGTAGATTTAACAATCCCAAGAAGGAAAAGAGGGCCTCTTCTACATCTGCAAAGGAAGCTGCTGCTATTAAAACTGAATTGAGGAACTTCAGCACTTTCTGATTCAAACTGCTGAAAGGGCCTGCTCTAAAGCCTCTTCTGCAAAAATATATTTCTTAAATGGGTCACCCTTAACCCTGAAATTTCATTGTTGTTGGTATCATGGAAGAATGGTTGCAGTGTGCCAGCTCTTCAGCTGTGGTTTTGGATGGACTGCCCCTGATTTTGAATACTAATAAATACCAATTAAATTAAATACTAATTAAATGCTAATACGTATTAATTGGATCAGGGGCCAGGGCTTTTTTAGCCCATTCTTAAAACTTTTCTAAAAAAGGTTACCTAGCAGTGCCTGGCAGGTTTGCCAGAGCTGTCCCATTGCCGCATCCGTACCTCCTTCTCCCCAGTCCTGGGCAGCCAGGAGCAATGGGCAGAATTCCACTTCCACCCCCTCACCCCAAATTACATACTCTCCTGATCAGTTCAAAGGTCTGAGGCCCCTATGTAATTACCCCAGACAGACAGGCAGACAGACAGACACACATGCACACATACACACAGAACAAGTGTGCCAGTTGGTGTGGTAGACAGAATAATGGCCTCCCCAAAATGCCACATCCTAATCCCCAGAACCCACCAATAGGTTATCTTACCTGGCAAAGTGGGCTTTGCAGAAGTGATTAAGTTAAAGACCTTGGAATGGGGAGAATATTCTGGATTATCTGAGTAGGCCCAATGTAATCAAAAGGTCTTAAAAGTGGGAGAAGAGGAGGCAGAAGGAGAAGTCAGAGTGATTCTGTGTGAAAAGGATTCAACCCACTATTCTGGCTTTGAAGACGGAGGGAGAGGCCAAGAGCCGAGGAATGTGGGCGGCCTCCAGAAGTTGGAAAAGGCAAGGAAACAGATTTATCCCTCGAGCCTCCGGAAGAAAACACAGCCCTGCCAACCTTGATTTTAGCCCAGCAGGACCAATGCTGGACTTCTAATGTACAGAACTGTAAGATAATCAGTGTGTATTGTTGTAAGCCATTAAGTTCATTGCAATTTTTCAAAGCAGCCATGGAAAACTAAAACACGAGATAAAATGTTGAATGCTTGGTGTCATTTTTCAGAGAGGTGATGGCCATTACTTCAGAGAATTTTAACTGTATTATTGTGTAATTTCGCAACAATAAACGAAATATGCTACCAACAAATGTATTCTTTTGTAATCAACGTCAATCCCTGTCATAGAAACATGTGAGTTTTGGGCCGGGCGCAGTGGCTCACGCCTGTAATCCCAGCACTTTGGGAGGCTGAGGCGGGCAGATCACGAGGTCAGGAGATCGAGACCATCCTGGCTAACATGGTGAAACCCCGTCTCTACTAAAAATACAAAAAAAAAAATTAGCTGGGTGTGGTGGCGGGCGCCTGTAGTCCCAGCTACTCTGGAGGCTGAGGCAGGAGAATGGCATGAACCCGGGAGGCGGAGCTTGCAGTGAACGGAGATTGCACCTCTGCACTCCAGCCTGGGGGACAGAGACAGACTCTCTCAAAAAAAAAAAAAAAAAAAAAAAAAAAAAAAAAAAAAGTGAGTTTTGTAAAGAATTCCTAAAAGCATACTTTGTTCCTCGGTGACCATCAGGATTAATTCACTCTGTAACTCACTGTTTGACACCTAGTGCTATGAGTGGCTGGAGGTGGAGAGAGGGAATTCGGAGCTTTGAAAGATCTCACTGTCTTTGGTGGGACAAACACACCCAAATTGGGTGAGGTGATAAGTGACCAGTGCCACTAGAGAGACGCAAGCATTCCTGGAGGTTGGGGGGTCGAGAGCACTTCCAGCTGGGAATCACAGAGGTCTGGAGGTGGCATTTCAATGGCCTTGGAAGGACAGGCAGCCTGTAGATCTGTTTACCAAGGGGACAGAGGCCTCTCCAGGTCAAAGATAGTTTTAGGCTTATTTGTTTTTGTTCCTTTGTTTTTAAATTTATTTTTAAAAAAGGATTTTAACAAAAAAAAACCTGATTTTCACAAAGTAGTGAAGAGTATTTATATTTAAAGCCATTCAAAAATAGTGATATAATTAAAACACTAAAAATGCCTCTGCTGAAAACGGCAAAGCTACATTTAGTAGTCTGAATTTTTCATCCATTTGGAAAGTAGACGTATGCCCTGTCTCCAATCACTTTCCTTGAAGTCTCTCTTATTCCCATTTTTTTTAAGCGGTGGGCTGGCTGAAGGACCTTCTTAGTCCCGCGGGCCCTACTGCAGGCTGCAGAGGCCCAGGCCTAGGGCAGGAGAGAGCTGAGGCTGACCCTCCCTGGCCTTGCACCACGGGCCTTCCTCATTCTTGCCCTGCTCTTTGGAATATACGCAACTCCCACTCTCAGCATCACTGCTGCTCCAGGGGGCGGATCTGACGCCAGCCTCCCCATCCTGTGTTTTTCTTCACACATCCCTTCTCTTCTCCAGTCCTACTGACCTGGTGAGCAGGTGGTCTTATCACTTTGTTGTGATTCTGACTTAATTTTCCCTCTAAGGAAACTTTTGAGGTTATTTTTGAGGTGCGGGTGTCTAGAACACAAATGGATGTGTGGAAGCTAAAAACGAACATTCCCACTTCAGATTTGTACCATGCTCTCCCCTAGTTTACCTTCACCTGCTTGCAGCCTACAGTTATGGAGGCATAGAGAGCAGGAAAAGCATGGGTCTGGTATTTTACTGACATCTCTTTTTAACCATCATGCAGTTCATATGAGATGCAGCATTTAATTGATCCTAAGTCACATTTTTTTTTTTTACATTTTAATATCTCTAAAATTGAGATGGGACTTAGAATTGGCAGCCTGCATTTAACTGGCAGAGTTCTTCCTTGCCTAGAGACACGTAATATCATGGTAAGTCTTATTGCCAATGACACTTTAGATTTGACAAAAACACTGTAAATAGTGTCGTCCCTGCTTTGCAGATGAGGAAACAGGTCCAGTGACCTGCTTGCGTTCACAGAGATGGTAAAAGGTAGAATAATATTCTCTTTATGCCCATTAAATTAAGCTTGTTAATTGTATTATTCAAATGATAATCTTTATTATATTTTTCTGCTTGGCCTATTAATAACTGAGGGGCTTGCTTTGTAATATCCTACTATGGCGGTTCATTTCTCTCAGTAATTCTGTCGATTTTTGTTTTATACATGTAGAGGCTAATTTATTAGGTGCAGCTTTACCAGTTGTATTTTCCTGGTGAACGGACCCATTATCATGAAGTGACCTCATCCATCCCTAAATACACATTTGGTCTGATAACATGATATCTATTCCAGCTTTCTTTTGGTTAGTATTTGCCAGGTTTATCTTTACCATACTTAACTTTGAACTTTTCAAAGTGCTTATGTTTTATGTGTGTTTCTTGTATGCAGCCTATGTATAGCTTAAGTTTCTCCAAGTGTTTGACCATGTCTATGTCCTTTTGCCAGTGAGTTTAGTCCACTTCCATATAATGGGAACATCAGTATGTTTAAACTTGTTTCTGTTATTTTGTTTTCTCAATTTCCATGTTTTCAATGATTTTCTCTCTTCCTTTCTTGCTTTTTAAAAATTTGATTGGTTGAAAATCTTTTTTATTGAAGGTGGCAGCGTTTCAGGATCTCTGGGGTGTCGCTCTTCTAGCCAGACACCTGTGGCTGGTGGCGCTTTTGCCCAAGTTTTGCTTGGGCCTGATGGGCTCGCTCCGCCCACTCGCCCTGGCAGGCTGCGCTCAGCTCATACCACCAGGCTGGATCCCACGCCTCCAAGGGAGACTGCGAGTCAGATGTGGAGTGGCAAGGGGTGTGTGAGCCAGTGCAGGGCCCAGCCACTGTGCAGTCAGACATGCTGGCTGCTACTGCAGAGCGGGCAGCTCCAGGTGCTGGCATGGGTGCCTGCTCTCTGCAAGGCTGTGGCTGGATTGGGTGCAGGTAGCTTCCCTGTCTGGCACTGGGGAACGTGGTGGCACCTAGAAGCTTAGAGATGCTGGGAACTGCAGGGTCTCAAAGAGGGAGTCACAGCCGTGGCTCGAGGAGATCCTAGGTCTGGGCTCCCTGAGGGGTCACAGCTCTTCTCTCCTTCTCTCTTCCCACAATATAGAGAGCAAGGGGCATGTTTCAGCCTTCTTTGTATTACAGCTCTTTCAGCCTTGCCATTCTCCAGGTCCCAAGTTCTTGTCCTGCAACCCCGAAGAATGAGGTAGTCAGACAAGTGAATGGTGAGCCAGACTAAGAGGAGCTTTACTGAGTGATAGAACAGCTCAGTCTCCCATAGGGCAGCTCCTTTCTGCAGCCAGGGTGTCCTGTCGAGTGTTCAGCTCCTAGCAGAGAGGGTAACTCCTCTCTGCAGCTGGTCATTCCATCATCTGGGCAGCTCTCAGCAGGGAGGAGGCCCTAGAGTGGGTGGCTTCTCTTTGCAGACAGGGCGTCAGTCATCTCTGCCGCTCTCAGCAGTGAGGGGGCCCTGGAGTGGATAGCTCCTCTTTGCAGCTGGTCGTCCTGATGTATGCTCAACTCTGGCTGAGCCCAGGGCTTTTATGGGCCTCAGAGAGGAGGAAGTGCACGCCAATTGGTCCATGGACAGCCATGGGCAGGCCCAGAAAAGGCACCACAAGTTCCCACTCCTGTCCATGGTACTGGCAGCCCAAACCCAGCCGTCAGGCCCTCCCTGCCCTAAAGGTAGGGCCTAAATGTGGACCTGCCCCCTTCTTCTCAGAAACCTGTCTGCCTCCTGCTGCCATTCATGACACCCAGGTTGTAAGTGCCAAGGGGCATTTGCAGGCCTGCACTAAGCTGCCCTCAGCACCCCTTTGGCTTCCCTTCTGTGCTCATTGGCACCCAAAGTCCAGAGGGGGAAGAGGCAGCAGGCGGCTGGCATGTCAGCACTGCCCTGAGCCTGTGCACACCTGGCTGGGCCACAACAGTGCCCGGGCTTGCCCTAACTTTGCTCTGAGATTAAAGCAGGTGCCAACAGCAGGGAGAAGCCAGGTCTCAGGGGCAGGCACTTCTGAGCCTGTGAGGGCAAGGGGGCCTTCCCAGGCCCCCAAGAGTGCAGGGATGCCTAGGTCTGCAGCTGGGGTTTGGATAGCTGCAGCTGTGCCCAGGATGGTGGGGCTCATGCCTTCTCCCCTGCGTGGGAGTCCTGGGTCAGCAGCCCCAGGTTTGGGCAGCTGCAGCTGTGCCTGGGAGGGCAGGGCTCCTGCCTTCTTCGTGGAGTGGGAGGCCTGGGCCTGCAGCTGCACCTCCCTGCTGCAGCCAGCGTGATGGCAGTGGCCACTCCAGATGGCCTGTCTCTGCCATCATCAGAAGGTTCTTGTTTTCTAAATCCCATTTTTTTTTTACCCCTATTGATTTGGGATTTATACCTCTACTTTTGTTTTTTTAGAGGTTTACTTTGAAACTTTACATACGTTTTAACTTAACAAACTCTGAGATTATCTTAACCCCCTTCTATAACAATACAAGGACTTCAGGACATGTTAACTCTGAACCCCTACTCTTGGCATTTGCATAGTATTTTAGTCTTTGCCCTTTGTTAGCCCTGCCAGTTATAATAATAAAAATTAATAATAGTTTTGTTGTTACTGTATAAAGACAATGTTTTTACATTTTTTTTTTACCATTTTATTGCTCATTTTTCCTTCTTGCATCTCAGAAAGACCTTCTGGGATCACTTTAATTCCAAAGATGTTACCTTGCTGAATGCCCTGTCCTGATAGACTCAGTTTTTGTTTAATCTAAAAATATCTCTACTGTATCTTCATTCTTGAAAGAACCTTTTTCTGTATGCACAATTTCAAGTTGATGGCTATTATTCCATGGTGTAATGGTTGCCATTGTTTCTTTTCAGATGCCCATTATTACTAACGCCATTCCTTTGTAGGTGATCTATCTCTTGTCTCTCTCTTTCATCGTTCAGTTTGGCAGTTTTACTATCGTGTATATGGATCTCTTTTTAAAAAAAAATACCTGGTCTGTGCTTCCCAAATTGGAGGATTCATGTCTGTCATCATTCTGAATATTTCTCAGCCATCATCTTTTTAAGTCTTTCCTTGGCCAGGAACAGTGGCTCATGCCTGTAATCCCAGCATTTTGGGAGATTGAGACAAGCAGATCAGTTCAGCCCAGGAGTTTGAAACCACCCTGAGCAACATGGAGAAACCTCATCTCTACTAAAAATACAAGATAAATTAGCTGGTATAGTGGTGTGCACCTGTAGTCCCAGCTTCTCAGGAGGCTGATGTGGGAAGATCTCTTGAACCTGGGAAATCAAGGTGGCATTGAGCCGAGATCGCACCACTGCACTCCAGCCTATTGTGGCAGAGCAAGACCCTGTCTCAAAAAAAAAGCAAGTCTTTCCTCCATTCTCTCTGCTCTCTCCTTTTGGGACTCTACTCAGACATGTGAGGTTTTCTCATTCTAGTCTCCAAGTTTCTTAACTGTTCTCACATTATTTCATCTTCTGTCTCTCTGTGCTGCTGCATTCTGGATAATTTTCCAGTTATATCTTCCAGTTCACTAATTATTTCTTCAATTGCATCTAAACTGCTGAGTTTTCATTTCAAAAACCGTTTTTTATTTTTAAGAGTTTTATATGGTTCTTTTCAAATCTCCCTGATAATCTCTGATAATGTCTTACTGCTTATCCACTTTTGTGAGTTCATCATTTCATTCTTTAAATATTTCATACATAGTTATAATCTGTATTTGACAGTTCTAATATCCGCAGTCCTTGGGTGTTAAATGTGTTCTTAGTTGTTTTCATTACCACTAACTTCTGGTGGCTTGCTTCCTTATTATATTTGCTTGAACTTAAAATGTAGGAGTTCTGTGGGCCTAAATTGAAAACACTTTTTTTTTTTTTTTTTTTTTTTTGAGACAGAGTCTCCCTCTGTGCCCAGGCTGGAGTGCAGTGGCAGTATCTCGGCTCACTGCAACCTCCACCTCCCAGGTTCAAGCGTTTCTCCTGCCTCAGCATCCTGAGTAGCTGGGACTACAGGGGCATGCCATCACACCTGGCTAATTTTTTTTTTTGTATTTGACTATTTTATTTTATTTATTATTATTATTATTATTATTATTATTATTATTATTATACTTTAAGTTTTAGGGTACATGTGCACAATGTGCAGGTTAGTTACATATGTATACATGTGCCATGCTGGTGTGCTGCACCCATTAACTCATCATTTAGCATTAGGTATATCTCCTAATGCTATCCCTCTCCCCTCCCCCCACCCCACAACAGTCCCCAGAGTGTGATGTTCCCCTTCCTGTGTCCATGTGTTCTCATTGTTCAATTCCCACTTATGAGTGAGAACATGCGGTGTTTGGTTTTTTGTCCTTGCGATAGTTTACTGAGAATGATGATTTCCAATTTCATCCATGTCCCTACAAAGGACATGAACTCATCATTTTTTTCTGGCTGCATAGTATTCCATGGTGTATATGTGCCATATTTTCTTAATCCAATCTATCATTGTTGGACATTTGGGTTGGTTCCAAGTCTTTGCTATTGTGAATAGTGCTGCAATAAACATACATGTGCATGTGTCTTTATAGCAGCATGATTTATAATCCTTTGGGTATATACCCAATAATGGGATGGCTGGGTCAAATGGTATTTCTAGTTCTAGATCCCTGAGGAATCACCACACCAACTTCCACAATGGTTGAACTAGTTTACAGTCCCACCAACAGTGTAAAAGTGTTCCTATTTCTCCACATCTTCTCCAGCACCCGTTGTTTCCTGACTTTTTAATGATTGCCATTCTAACTGGTGTGAGATGGTATCTCATTGTGGTTTTGATTTGCATTTCTCTGATGGCCAGTGATGATGAGCATTTTTTCATGTGTTTTTTGGCTGCATAAATGTCTTCTTTTGAGAAGTGTCTGTTCACGTCCTTTGCCCACTTTTTGATGGGGTTGTTTGTTTTTTTCTTGTAAATTTGTTTGAGTTCATTGTAGATTCTGGATATTAGCCCTTTGTCAGATGAGTAGGTTGCGAAAATTTTCTCCCATTTTGTAGGTTGCCTGTTCACTCTGATGGTAGTTTCTTTTGCTGTGCAGAAGCTCTTGAGTTTAATTAGATCCCATTTGTCAATTTTGGCTTCTGTTGCCATTGCTTTTGGTGTTTTAGACATGAAGTCCTTGCCCATGCCTATGTCCTGAATGGTAATGCCTAGGTTTTCTTCTAGGGTTTTTATGGTTTTAGGTCTAACGTTTAAGTCTTTAATCCATCTTGAATTAATTTTTGTATAAGGTGTAAGGAAGGGATCCAGTTTCAGCTTTCTACATATGGCTAACACCTGGCTAATTTTTTGTATGTTTAGTAGAGACGGGGTTTCACCATGTTAGCCAGGATGGTCTTGATCTCTTGACTTTGTGATCCACCCACCTCAGCCCCCCAAAATCCTAGGATTACAGATGTGAGCCACTGTGCCTGGCCTGAAAATAGCTTTTACCAGAGAGGATTTGTATCCACCTCTAGGGCCGAGGGGTCCTACTGACCTGAGAATACCCTAGCTCTCTCCAAGTGTCCCGGCTTAATGTAGGGTTCTGTAACCCTATCTTGCCACCAGTTCAAGGATTAGTAATACTCTTTATGGTACTCAGAGTCCCTCATTTCCATGTATTTACCATTCATTGCTGCCAGGTCTAATTTCAGCTCACTTTTCTGTGGGGTGGGATGGTTCTTGGAGATTTTCCTTAAGTTTGTGAACCCAGTAATACACTAAAAATATAGTTCATTGGGGATCTACTTGTTCTGTAGTGGTAGGGTCCTTCAGAGGTCTGCATACCATTGGAAACAGAAAAATAGACTTAGGAAATCCAAAGCTTGTGTTCTTTCTATCACCAAGAAGACATTGGAGGGTACGTGAAACTAAAGGAAGTAGGATTTAAGAGGTCCTTCCCCTTAGCTTTTCAGAGATGCTCGAACTCTCTTCTTGCAAAATAGAAAGAGTTCTACAGCATGGAAGTCTTGGGTATAAGACAGATGAGGAGGGGTGTGTGTGTGTGTTTGTGTGTATGTTGGGGGAGAGAAGCATGTATGTGCAGGAAGCCCCATGCACCAAGAAAAGCCAGGCCAGACTGTGGTCCTTGGACTGTTCCTCTCTAGAAGAGCATGGAGTTCAAAATCAGAATCTGTTCACAGCACAGATGATACCATCCACTGGTGTTTGGCTATGCCAAGCAAAGAAACATGAACTGTGCACATCAGAAAAGATTCCTTCCCCCTCAGCAGCCATCTTCCCATGTTGTTTATAAAATACCTATAGCCATATGAGGTCATGGACAACTACACAGTATCCTTTGATGTGCCCAGCTGTTGCAGTCATTCTGTATGCTGTCCATGATTGGGCAGTGGAAGGGGATTCTCCCTGCTTGGGAGCTATCCTGGAAAGCAGCAATGCATTCCAGAGCTCCTCACACAGGATAAGGTGGCCGGATCTGCTCCTTGGGCCTCCACAGGACCTTCATTCCTTCTGGGAAGAATACTCCTCCTCTGGAGAACTGTTCCAATCACAGGATCCTGTGGGGCTGCCAATCAAAGTAGCCCTTTGGCCACTAGGGATTAGTCCAGTATCTAATCAGTATCTTGATCTGAAATTTTCTATCTTGAAGGAAAGTTCTCCCTTTGCTGTTGAATCATGAGTTGAAAAGGTATATCACAACTACCACTTGTTCTCTCCCCCATCTCATGGAGGAACCTGAGAGAATGCCGATGACATCCAGAGAGAAGACGAGGAGAGAATCCCAAGGGCCTGTCCCTGAGGTCCACAGATCTATGCGTCCCCTGAAGCTCTCCTTCAGTTCTGGGAACACCCTGGCATATGCCTCTAATATGTCCTCTCCCTCCTTTTCTCTACAGCTGCTTTCCTTATCTAATGCCAAAACTTATGGCTTATAAATCAGACAAGAGAAGCCCATTTGTAGACCAGAGCGAGCACCCTATCTGGTGCTGTGTTGCAAACCAGAGCGTAACCATCCCTAGCCCCAAAGGAGAGGCTTTGGGAAGATTCTTAAGAATATATAAAAACAGTTGGCAATCTGTGATCCATGTTAACCTAGGTTTGTGAAGGAGTTTTTGCTATCTGAATCAGATTTAAAATAAAACTCAAACCAAAAATATATCCCAATGTTATTTAATTAAATAGTAAACATTCTAGGCCAGGCGCGGTGGCTCATGCCTGTAATCCTAGCAATTTGGGAGGTCTAGGTGTGCAGATCACTTGAGGTTAGGACTTCAAGACCAGCCTGGCCAGCACGGTGAAACCCCATGTCTACTAAAAATACAAAAATTAGCCAGGCATGGTGGTGCATGCCTGTAATCTCAGCTACTTGGGAGGCTGAGGCAGGAAAATCACTTGAACCCAGGAGGTGGAGGTTGCAGTGAGCCAAGATGACACCATTGCACTCCAGGCTGGCGGACAAGAGCAAAACTCTGTCTCAAAAAAAAAGAGTAAACACTCTACATACACATTTTGATCAATAATTCTTTTTAAAATTTCTCCTCTCACATTAGATTGCAGACTTCTAAAGGCAGGAACTTTATCTTTTTCATCCGTGCACCTACAGTGCCTATCACATAGTGTTCAAATGAAATAGGCAAGGGTCTTATGGGTGGATGGAGGATTTTAGATAAGAGGATTAATGAAAATAATAAACATTAGCTATACTCAGAGTGATTGATTTAAGGACCTTCGCCTTGAGAGCAACATCAATCAATTCAATAAGCAAATTCTACAAGCCTACCCTACCGTGTGCATAGTTGTGTGCTCAGCACTTTGGAAGATACAAGAATATGATCCCCTCCTTCAAGCTATCTTAGTCATAAGAGAGATAAGGCATATATGGAAATAACAGAGCAGAATGTCATATTTGCTACAGCGAAGACACTCATTCCATGTTCAGCACACCCATCAGATTCATGTCCCCAATGAATATTCTAGCCTCTTATAAACACTGCATTTCATATAAGGTTGTAGTCATAAGGCTTTCACCCTCTGTGGAACTTTTCTATGATGAAAAACTGCTCTATGGGTTTGATCTTTTAGTATTAAAGCCAAGGTCCTTATGCTAATTTCCCTTTCATTAAACCGCAATAATTTTTTGTTGGCTGAGTAGTCCCAAGGGACTGACAGTATCATTGAGCCTCCAGTCCTGGTTCTTCTCGGTTCCTAACACCAAGACAGGAGAGGCAGTGAAATTCTCAAAATGCACCACTAACCAGTTGTACTGATGTCAGCCTGGTTTTTGTTTGAATTGGCAAATAAAAGTTGTATATATTTATTGTACAAATCATGTTATAAAATATGTATACACTGTGAAATGGCTAAATCAAGCTAATTAAGATATGCATTACCTCACTTTTTTGTGATAAGAATATTTAAAATCTACTCTCTTAGTGATTTTGGAGAATACAATACATTGTTATTAACTATAGTCACCATGTTATACAATAGATCTGTTGAACTCATTCTTCCCATCTAACTGAAATTTTTGTATCCTTTGACCAATATCTCCCTTCCTCACTCCTAGCCCCTGATAACTATCATTCCACTCTCCACTTCTATAAATTCAACTTTTTTAGATTCTATATGTAGGTAAGATTATGTGGTATTTGTCTTTCTGTGCCTGGTTTATTTCACTTAGCATAATGTCTTCCAGGTTCACCCATGTTGTCACATATGACAGGATTTTCTTCTTCTTTAAGGCCAAATAATACTTTATTATGTGTTATCACATTTTCTTTATCCATTCATCCATTGATTGACACTTAGGTTGATTCCATATCTGAGCTGTTGTGAATAATGTTGCAATGAACATGGGAGTGCAGATACCTCTTCAACATACTGATTTCATTTCCCTTGGATATATACCCAGTAGTGGGATTGCTTGATCATATGGTAGTTCTATTTTTAAGTTTTTGAGGAACTTCCATACGGTTTTCCATAATTAGGCTTATTTTTTGAACATATATTTTTCCATCAGTAACCTGTTGTCCATATCCTTCCTTCCAAGCTAAAGCAAAGTATGGAAGGAGTAGGAGGGAGATAGCTAGTTATTTCCCTCAACCCCCTCCAAATAAGGTGGGCTGTAATTCTAGTTCCACCAGGATCTTTTAAAGTTGCTTCCCTATTCTGGGAAGCAGCGGCACCAGGCTATAGCTGAGGCAGCACTCCCCCAACTCCCATCAGCTATTGCTCCATCCGGCTGGCCTGAGAAGGCCTTGGTTAAAACATTTCAGCACCTGATTCCTGGACAGCACCAGAGCCATGGAACAGGCTCAGAGATGCTGCCTGGCCTTCTTCCCTGTCTGCATCCCCACATGCAAAACATTTTGCTTAGGAAGACTTTGAAAAGTATGGTAAGTCTCATTATAAAAGTTTCCTTTCTAGACAATGTATTAATGTCAAAAAGCAAGAGATAGTAAAATAACAGATATCTCAAAGTTTCCAAGGGTATATCTAAAATCTAAATCAATCTTTTAAACACACCTAACATTTCATAGGAAAATAAATCTTTAATTTAAAAACCAGGAAGTAAAAAGAAGACAAGTTCATTCTTGGTTCAAAACGCTGGAGAGCTAAAGAAATTTTCAGAGAACACTGGTAACTTGCTGATACCTGTCAAATAATAGTACTTCCTACCATTGTGGTGAAGACAAATGAGATAAGCCATGTAAATTGCTTAGCACAGCACCTGACACATACTAGGTGCTCAATAGTTAGTGTGTTGAGTATGAATATGTTTCTTTAATACCTAATATAACAGGAGGAGTTTGCCTGGACCAACCCTTGTCTTAGAAATGTGTCTCTCCCTCTTTTTATCGGGGGGATAAAATGACACTATGTAACTTTTTTCTTTTTATCTTATTTATTTATTTATTTATTTATTTATTATTTTTAAAAGACAGGGTTCCCCTCTGTCACCCAGGCTGGAGTGCAGTGGTGCATTCACAGCTCACTTCAACCTCCGACTCCTGGGTTTAAGTGATTCTTTCTCCTCAGCCTCCCAAGTAGCTGACACTACAGGTGTGTGCCACCACACCTGGCTAATTTTTGTTTTTTAATTATTTCTAGAGACAGAGTATCACTATGTTACCCAGGCTGCTGGCCTCAAACTCCTGGGCTCAAGCAATCCTCCACCTCAGCCTCCTGAGCTGGGAGTGCATGCCACAACACTGAGATAATCTTTTTTTTTTTTTTTTTTTTTTTTTTTTGTAGAGATGGTTTCTCGTATGTTGCCAAGATTGGTCTCAAACTCCTGGCCTCAAGCAATCTTCCCACTTCAGTCTCCCAAGGTGCTGGGATTACAGGTATAAGCTATCATGCCCAGCCATATTTTTCATTTTTTAATTAGACCTATATATCTTTTGTTGTTAATTTTTAAAGCAGTCGTTTAAACATTGTCAAATATGGTGTTGTCTACAGACATGCAACGTAAAATAAGTTATCTTGTATTTTACTTAGTTTCCTATGAATCAATGTCTCACCTAGGAGAAAGTTTATTTTCCCTATTATATTCATCAGCTCTTATTCGTTCATTCTACTCATTCTTTTATTAAGCTACCATGTGCAAGGCACCTTGCTGAGCCCTGGAGGTTAGTGGTGAATGAGAGCAACTCCTGCCTTCACAGAGCTCAGAAAGAGAGTCAATGTGCCTGATGGATTAAAGAAATTCTTACTTTGGGAAATAACTTCAACTTCCTCCAACCAAATCTTTTATCAGAATTCATAATTTGTAACCAGAATCATTTCTCATCCCCACTGTCCATGCTTGCTAAAAGACGCTAATAGGAAATGGAATGATAAAACAAAATGGGGTTGGAAAGGAGAAGGACTCGACTTGGGCAATCCATGAATTAATCAGCCCCTGGATAATCAAGAGGTGATATATAAAATGTAAGTGTCACAGTTCATGCCTTCTTAAATAATTAAACATATTAAAGGAAGGACAAAAAGACCACATTTCAGAAGAAATTGGTAGCCTTAAGGCACAGGGTGAGCAAAAATGAGCGCTATAGTAGCATTTATAAGCCTTTTCTATATTGTAACAAGCCAAGCAGGTAGGAGTAAGACGGATGGTTATCTGGATTCTCCCATATATTTTAAAGTAGGGAATGCCAACCTAGAGGTCACAGAGTTATTACATGACATCTGAGAATCCATCTGTGCATGGGCTTTTTATCAATAGATGCTAGTACAGCTACCATTATATGGAGATTCTTTAACATTAAAAGGTATCGTCACACCTGAAAGTGTTCAAGACCATAGTCTTAAAATATATGCTTATGTACTGTCATAAAAATGGGATTAAAAGGAGCCGGAGAAGGGTCACTGAAAGAAGAGGGAATGAGAGATTTCAGACAAGACATGGAGAAAGAATGAGAGAACAGAAGAGTGAGAAAAGAAGAACAGAGAGAAGAACTGTACACAAGATGTAGGAGAGAAATGATGGAGTCACGCAATCTGTGGTTACACAAATCTGTGGTTAAACTCTAACTCCTTCCCTTCCTAGCTGTGGGACCTTAGAACGAGTTACCTAGCCTCTCTGAGTTTTGGTTTTCTCATCTATAAAGTAGAGACAATAATAGCTAATAGCCTACTTCATAGCACTATGGTAGTGGCGGTATTAAAGTTCTCCAATAAGAGAAAAGAACTAATAGGAGTTATGGCATGCAACGTGTAACATTTTGGCCAAAGGTGAACCACATGTACAATGGTGGTCCCACAAGATAATAAAATTGTATCTTTATTGTACCTTTTCTATATTTAGATACACAGATACTTACCATTGTGTGACAATTACCTACAGTATTCAGTACAGTAACATGCTGTGCAGGTTTGTAGCCTAGGATCAATAGGCTATACCATCTAGCCTAGGTGTGTAGTAGGCAGTTTATGTAGTAGGCAGTTTGTGTAAGTAAGACTAGGTTTGTGTAAGTACACACTATGATGTTTGCACAAAGACAAAATCACCTAACAACACATCTCTCAGAACGTATCTCAGTTGTTTACATATGACTCTGTGTGTGCGTTGGGTGGGGGGAGAGAGAGAGAGATTGATTTATTTATTATGAGGAATCGGCATGTGATTATGGAGGCTGAGAAGTCCCATGATCTGCCGTCTGCAAGCAAAAGGTTCAGAAAAGCCTGCAGTGTGATTCAGTCTAAGTCTGAAGGCCTGAGAACCAGGGGAGCCAATGATGTAAATCCCAGTTCCAGGGCAGGAGAAGATGAGATGAGATGCCCCAGCTCTGCAGTGAGGCAGGGGATGAGGGGCAAATTCCTCCTTCCTCTGCGTGTTTTTCTACTCATGCCCTCAACAGATTGCATGATGCTCCTTCACATGGCAGAGGGCAATCTACTTTACTGAGTCCACAGATTCAAATGCTGATCTCCTCTGGAAATACCTTCACAGAAGCACCAGAAACAATGATTAATCTGGGCACCTGTGGCCTACTCAAATTGACACATGAAACTGACCATCACAATAGTTAAAATAATGCACACAAAATGCTTGGTCCTATGTCTGACATGTGGAAAGTACTCAGATATTAGCCAGTACTGCCATCATAATTTCTTTTTTTGCTTTTTTTAGAGACGGAGTCTTGCTCTGTTGCCCAGGCTGGAGTGCAATGATGTGATCTCGGCTCACCGCAACCTCCGCCTCCCGGGTTCAAGCAATTCTCTTGCCTCAGCCTCCCGAGTAGTTGGGATTACAGGCACATGCTGCCACACCCGGCTAATTTTTATATTTTTAGTAGAGACGGAGTCACCATGTTGGCCAGGATGGTCTCAAAATTCTGACCTCAAGTGATCCGCCTGCCTCGGCCTCCCAAAGTGCTGGGATTACAGGCATGAGCCACCACACCCAGCCACCATCATAATTTCTTACTGTCCCACCTTGTGTCTACCCATGAGATCGTTCAGAGTCTTACCCATCTGCAAATGTCTGAGTGCTACTTTTTGGTTAATCTTCATCTTTAATGAACTGGATTAGTCAGAACTCTTTTGATTGCAATAGAAGAAACTGTTTGCTACCCACCCCTCCCCACCCCAAAAAAGAGAGGATCTAGAGGAGGCATACTGGGGCACACACAGAACTCAAAGTTAAGACCAGATTAACTGAGCCTTGAGAAAGCAGCAAAGGGACAGCAGGGGCTGTCAGGACAGACAGGAGCCAGAGACCAAATGTGGCCAGGATCGCTCTCTGTGTCCCTGCTTCTCATCCCCATGTCTGTGCCTTGGCCTGTCCACTTAATTATTTCAGAGCATCTTTCTCCATAAGTCTGGCACCAAAACTGCTGGCAATCCTGGCATATATCTTCCCAGCCTGACCACCAGAGAGAAAGTTCCAATTACAAGAAAAGAATTCTGGGTGACCATATGCCCATCCCTGTGTTTCAGGGACATTGTGTGGTTGGGAAAGGGGGTAGGATTGATCTTCAAATGCAAAGGGGGTCTGTTCCTAGATCCAAGATGGAAGAGTGCTGAGCAGACACATAATCATGACATAGTCACTCATTCAGGAAACATTTATTGAGCACCTATGTGTATTCAGCGCTAGAGACACAGGGATGGCCAAGAGGTACATGGTCCCTGCTGTCATGGAGCTGACATTCTAATGGGAGAGACAGCAATAAACAAAGAAACAGGATATTTGAATTTCTGTAGGAAAGTAGGTGCATGTAGATGATGCACACTCGTGCACATAAACGCCGCTCACAGGGAAAATCTTGCAGCCTGCTGTTGGCATGCCTTCTCCAGCACAGACCCCTTTCCCTTCCTTGGTTGCCCTGGAATCCCCTGGTTAAATCATCCACTTCAGCACCCATTTATCTTTCCTTCTAACCCTCAATTTTAGTCCTTTTGAAACCTATTGAGATCCAGTGATGCAAAGAAGACACCAGCTAGATTTCCAAGAAAATCTCATGCTCAGAATTATGAATTAAAGGAAGGGAGGCCTAGAGAAATATTCCACATGAACCCCAGTCGGGAAAAGAACAAAGGAATACAGATGAGTAAAGTCAGTGTCTCAGAGTGTGTCATCCATGAGAGCCATGGCTTATAAAGGAGCCAACCAGGGCATGTCTCTGGGGACCAAGGGGCTACTGGCTCCAACCTTACTCTCTCAAATGCGAGATTCATAAGGCTGTATATACAACCATTGTATTTGTGTGTGCATGTGTTTCAGATATTTTTTCTTGTGATATCTTTAAATGATATGAATGATTTTGGCAACTCTGTTTTGGCATTTCTTCATTTCTTAATATACTGAGAGTCTCAGAATCTGGAAGTGACCCAGCCCTCTCTCAAACCTCAGGACACTCTGGCATTAGTATTTAATGAGCACCTGCAATGTACCAAACTCTGTGCTTTGCCCTTTACACATAATCTTATTTACGAAGGAGATGCTACTGTTTCTGATTTATAAAAGAGAAAAGTGAGAACAGGAGGGCAGATCTCTCGCTGAAGGTCACCCAGTTAGTAAGGGTCAGAGCCGGGAGGTGGTTGTGGCCTGTTTGGCACCAAGGCCCAGACTTTTCCTTCCTGCCCCTGGTTCCCAAAGCAGGGCAGGGCCAGTCTGAATGAAATTGTTGTCATCTTGTAGCAAAATTAACTAAATAAGAATGATGTACTAATAATATTTTCATAACGCTAAAATTATTTAAAGGACTGATTTTTCAATTCTAAGATTTTGTAATTCTTGTTTTTCTGGTGTTGAAAAGTATTTTTATGGTTATATCATAGATGATGGGGGTTTTGCTTTGTTTTTTGTATTGTCCTCAGTTGGCAAAATAAAACACTCGCAATCCTGCATGAGTGCTCTCAAGGTTGTTTTTGAAAGTTCACTGTGCCATGACATCTTAACGTTGGAAAGTACTGCTCTAGATAACATTGACATCTCACGAAGGAAGGGCTGCCCTTCATTGAGTGCCCATGGGCCCCAGGCTGGATGATTCGCATGTGTTGTCTCTGATAGATCAAACCACTAAAGGAAGGTCTCCCCTGGTTTCACAGGCTAGGGAATTGAGGCTTAGAGGACCCCCTGAGAGTGCTTGCAAAGGTCTTGGCTTCAAATGCTAGAGCTCTCCTCTCCCCGGTGTGGTGGCAGTCTGTTTGGGAGCCCAGTCCCTGCCCTTGGTGCATTTCATCCCCAAGCGGCCTCCCTCCCAGTCCTGGGCCATCTGAGACACAGCCTCATCTTCCCTTTACCCTTCCTCCTTCCCAGAGCCCAGCCCTTTTCCCACACATTGCAGCTTTGATCGCTCTCAGAACCTACATAAACAGCATTTTAGAGGCTGTTGCAGCTATTGTGGTCCGCATTGGTGCTCTGGCTTGGAATAACTTCTCAAAGATCCTCAATAGGGAGGTTGTGGCCTTCTGTCCCTTGCTGGCCAGGGACACTGAGGTCAAATGGGATCCCCAGAGCTCTTGGCAGTTCACAAAGTGAGTTCTTATTTCAGTGCAGGACAGGCTGGGATGGGTGGGCCAGCTACTGTCTCAGGACCTGGCTTACATGTTAATAATGGTCCAGATGCATGCACGTGGTTTTCCCTCTGTGTGCAGGGGTTGAAGGGTGATTCTTCTCTGCATAGGCTGTGGCTGGTTTTCTTGGGAGCAAGCACAATTGGACTACACAGGAGGCCTCGGCACTTTGCAGAGGCAAGTGCACCTCTGGGATGACCAAAGGCTGTTCTCATGCATGCCCCGGCTCATCCACAGTGACAGATGCACAGTTGGCCTCCATGTGACTGCCAGAGGTGGCTGTAGCAGGCATACCGCAAGCAGGAAGAGCACCTGCTCTCTTCATTAGGACAAGGAGAAGAACGAAGCTGGCTGCTGGCTTCATGAGTGCTCTGAGGGAAAGGAGCAGGGTCTAGTTCCATCTGGAGAAGATGGAGCAGCCCATAGACTGGTGTATTTTTTAGGAGCTATGAGATAAAGAAGAAAGATTCCATCAGCTCATGGAACTGGTGATGGCTAATGAGGCCAATGTAATTTACAACGTGAGAAAAATGTTGACAAATAGAGCAAAAATTCTTATACATAATATTATAGAGTAGTAGGAAGAAGAATAACAGGGCTTAGCTATGGTTCAAATTTGTCATTTTTTGGTGCCTAGCATCTATTCTCTCTTCCTTTCTTTACTAGTAGGTAATTGCTTCTCCCCTTTTGTGGGCAGTTTCAGAAAAATGGTAATCAAGGAATACTGCCCTTTACTCTACACAAGCCGAAACAATCCCTGGAAGTTCTGGCCAAGGGGTGGAGCCACGAGTTGGGCACAAGTCTGACATGCACCCAATTACAGTCTCCTCTGAGTCTTTCATTTTTGGGCAGAGCAATGCAAGGATTGAAGAATTGTTTGAAATTTAGTTATTTTCACTGCAGCACCAGAGCTAGGCTGTCAGAAGGTTCTGGCTCCTTCTTGAGCTGCCTTTTCCTAACCTGGTCCTTCGGCCTTCCCTTTGAACTAGTGAGCTCCCCCATAGCCCTGCCAGTCAATTTCCTTTTCACGTAAGTCAGACAGACTCAGCTTCTGTTGCTTACAATCAAAGAATCCCACTGAGCATCACGTGCCCAAACAAGTTGTCTTTACAGAGGGGTCTGGAAGGTCATGTACCTGGTTCAGTGGTGCTGCCAACCCTCAAAGAGTGCAGGAGTTTTGCATTTGAGATGACCTTGGGAGCCTTGTTTCCACGTCATGCAAGAACACCAGACCCTGTAACCATGCTTCAATTTGGACCCAAAACAACATTACCAGCTCAATCAGCTGGTTATTCACCGAGCTTGGCTACAAATGCCAAAAAGCTTCTTGACTGTTTCCAAAAATAAAATTCAGCTCTGCAGGATGGGGCTCTGCCACCATTGTGCTTATTCCAAATAATGTGGCATGGATTTGCAGAAAATTCTCAAGAGAGGCCCCAAAGTGTCTGGAACAATGGCAGCAACCTTGGGATAAATATCTGGCATCTCTGATGACTGCTCAGATGGGGGAGGGACACTCATTTGGATGGATGGATTCCAATATATTTATTAAATAGCCCATCTCATTATCTAGAAGTCACACTCCATGCTGGAGACACGTTTCCAAGCCTGAGAGCTAGAGTGTTTTAAGAGCCTTTGGAAAATTCTCTACATGCAGTCTGAGACCCTGCCCCACCCCTCAGACATAGCCATGTAGGGATTTTCGCCTTCACATGGGAAGCAGATGAGGTTTAACAAGCAGTGGCTGTTGTCTCTTCCTCTTAAGCAAGATGTGTGTCCTTTGCCCAAGGATGGGCTGAAATCTAAAATAAGAGAACATGTAACATCCATTGGCAAACCTCTGGTTAAAGCCCCTTGCATAGGCATCATGTTTCCTTGCTTCTTAACTTTCTTTTAGATTAGAAAAATATTTGCCATTAGGTTTCCCAAAATAAAAAAATGTGTGTATGCTGTGTGTTATATGCATACGTATTTTTGGATGACACTGCAGGCCCCAGATGGAAACAAGAGAGTGGGTGGAACACACCCTACTTCACCCGCATCTTGATATGGTCACCCGGCCACACCCACACACATAGGCCAGAGGAATAGATGAATCTTCTGTCTTCTACCACTATGCCATTGCCAGGCCTAGGGTCCTGGATCATTTCAACAGTAGAAGAATTCTACTTTCAGACACAAGGAAGAAGAAATGTGGTAGTTCTTGATGTGTCTTTTGATAGAGAAACAAAGGAAGAATGAAGCTCTCAGAATTGATTTCTGTCCCTTGGTGTCTTGAAATTTCTATCTCTTTGTGATCAAAAGAGCACAACCCAATGAGGGGAGGGAGAGGAGAATCTCTACTTTTGGCAGGCTCTAAGACAGTCTTGGATTATTTATTTGTTCTGTAACTCATTTCTGTCAAACATTCTTTTTCTATCTCTTGTCATAAAAAATTGAAATGCTAGTTTTTCAGTAGATGTCTTGGCTTTAACTGTCTGTCTGACCTTGGACAGATTATTTAACCTCTCTAAACCTGTCTTCTTGAATGTAAGCACAGTGTAGGTGCTCACTAAGTATTTATGGGTGAGTGGGATGACTTCTAAGGGCATTCCAGGGCATTCCATAACTCTCTCTGTGGCTTCCCTGGTAACTGAGGAGAGTCTACTGGTGGGCTTTCTCCAAAGGTAGACTTCCTCCCTGTAGTGGGCATCACCATTGCCCTTTGGCATGTTTCATACTTGTTTGGTGCTTATTCTCTAAAATATTGTTTTGCCATTCTCCTGAGCACACTCAGTCACCACGTTAGCATATCAGAGTCATCTTGAGAGTCTAGAATTGAAGGTTCACATGGTTTACCCAGCAGAATTGCTAGCAACTGACCATCGCTAAATGCTGTTGGCTTTTGCTCGTCAAAAGTTGTTTGTTTAAAAAAATTAAAAAGCTGTTTGTTAATTTACTCTGTGTTTTTGAAAATCTTTCCATAGGCAACAACTTTCCCACTTTCTTCAATTCTTAGTGGTCTGTGTCAGGTCCTCCATAACAGGCTAGACCACAAACTTTGTTCAAATGTGATGCTCCTTCAATTCCTATTTTTCAGTTGGCCAGTACCTGAATTTACACAATTGCGGCGCTTCTGGGGTTAATATTACTCTTTTGTGAAGTTGATTTGCGAAGTGTGTCCCCTAGAGGCTCACCCCCTAATCTGAATTGTCAACTGGGGACCGCTAGAGATTGATGATGGGGATTATGATTGTCTACGTGTTGCGCTTTCATCCAATTTTCTGATGTGTTTTGGTAATGATGTTGACAGTTGTGTGAAGATCTGTTACTGAAATTAAAGCAGCAGCAGCAGCATTTTTGAGCTTGATGATTAGATTTGATTAGATCAGAGTGGGTTTTACTTCTCCCTCAGAGTCAGCAGAGATTTACTGTCCACTGACTGATTTAACTTCATGCTGGAAGATGGTTAGGGACATAACTTTCCGCAGAAAAAGAAATGTCAAGGAGTTTTAGACTGAAACCCAACCTTGTTTGACTTTGTGTTGACCTTGAAGGGTCAGAAAGTGTTCGTATTATCAAAGATTCCTGCCTAGACCGCATCATAGAGAAAATAACTCTATCTTGACAGATTTTGGTGGACATTTGTATTGATGAGCATCTTCTAACACTAGCTATCATTTGAGTGAGTCAGAAGCTTTTATGAAATCAGATAAGGTATGAAAGAATAGGATTATGGTTTCTGAATTTTTCTTGCCATTGGCAAGAGGTGAAAGTAGCCATTTATGAGGCTAAGTGTACATGACTTAAAGCCACAGTGAGATGCTGGAAGGGACAGCTCATGTACAGGGATTTCCTGTAATGTGGTAGGTGCAGTTTCACTTTGTATATGAATTCTTAAAATAATCATAACCAGTAATTCACAAAAGAAGAGATGCAGATGGCCAATAGACATGAAAACAATACATGACTTCAACTAAGAATTTTCAAGATGTGGCATAAAATCAGACTCTTGTTTTTATTAACAAAACTGGCAAAAGTTAGGTAGATTATACTACTCAATATTGACAAAGATGTGATGAGATGGACATTTTCATAAACTATTAGTGGGAGTTCAAAAATTTGGGAAGAAATTTGCAAAAGGTACAAAGAGCCTAAAAAATGCACAGCCCTTTTGACTCTGTAATTCTACTTCTATAACTTTGTCCTAGCAAAATAATCAGAAATATAAGGTCAGAAAATTATGTGCAAGGCTATTTGTTGTGCATATTTATAAGAGCAAAAAAACCAGAAGCAACTTTAATATCTGTTAATAACAAAATGGTTAAGTAAATTATGGAACATCAATGTGATGAGATATTATGTGGTCATTAAGAATTCTTTTCAAATAATATTTAAGGACATGGAGAAATATTTATGATATCATAACTAAGGGAAAGAAGCATAATATAAAACTTGATACAGCAGAATCCCAACTTTGCAAAACATTTAAATATTCACAGGAAAGGGATGAGAAGGAAATACACTGAAGTATTAAACGCTATCCTAGGTGGATGGTTTAGAGGTTAATTTTATTTTCTTCCTTACGTCTTTCTGTTTGTTTCTAATTTTTGTAAAATCTGCACACTTTTTTTTATAATCAGGAAAGACTTTTAATGATCATAATTATAGGATCCATAGGGTCACACAAGAATTTTTTTCAGCATTTCAGATCTTCAGGATGAGAACAAGGGGAACAATTATGTGTTTCTCTTCACCTAATTGGGAAAATTTTAGCAGAAATTCCACTGGCTCCAGGTGCCTTATTTTTTCAGCTGTTTGATGATTTCCTGCACCTTGTCAAGAATCACAGGGATTCTGCAGATTCTTCTGTCTGATATTGCAGGGTGGAATTGGAAACATGTTCCTCAATAATTGTCTTAACTGAGAAGGTTTCTGAAATGCGCTTTCCAGAGCTCAGCAACAGATTCATTCTTATTCAGCCGCTCTCCATCCAAGAATAGCAAGGGAGCCAGTGACAACTCTGTGCATGTGTGTGGCACTTAAATCTATGTTTTTAAATATTGGGGGAATACTAGACACCTCCGTGGGGTCATTTTTCCATCTCTTATTTGTGCCAGACTTCTCTGAGCCTCTGCTCTGGTGCATAGGTGCCTCCGTGTCTAAGTTCATGTCAGTGTGATGGAAATTAAAAGCCTTCTTCCTCTACCTCTGAGCTGTGGCATGAGGAGGTTGGACTACATGATCGAATGTCTTCAACTTCAGCCTGGTTTGCTCCTGTGACACTATCACCTCATTAGTCCCAAGCACCCAAGTGTAACGTTTTGTGGAAGTGGATCCCAGGACTTCCTCACAGCCACTACTGATGGTGGATTAAAAGCCACCCTACAGTTAGCAGGTATGGGACTCTTGGAGTGTATAATATAGTATTAGAGGTTTTGGAGGCTTAGAAGCAAACTGTAGACATCTCCCTGATTTAAATGGACCATGTCCAAACTTTGCCCATGTACAAGGGCAGGTCCAAAATCTGCCCAAAACTAAAATAAAAGCAAGTGCATTGTTAAAAACAGCTTCTCAGAACCTACCTTATATGAGGGTGGGTGTGCCAAGTAACAGTCATTGAGCACCGACTGTGTGCCTGGCATTGCCCTGAGCACTTTACATGAATCTTCTAATTTATCCTTAGCAATCCTTTGGAATTGATACTACTGTTTTCTCCATTTTATGAATGAGCAAACAAAGATTTAAGAAACTTTCCTGGGGTTGCTTTAAACTGCAGAGCTAGAATTCAGTCCCAGAGCTTACACAGGCCATTGGACCAGTGTGTCCCAAGCTTGGTTAAAAGAGTGGCCCCGGGCGTTTGTTGAAGAGACAGCCCCCAGGCCCTTGGAGCTTCTCTGACTGAGCGATCTGGGGAAGAACCTGGGAATTGGTAGTTTTACCAAGTGCCCCTCGTTATTTTTATCATCAGGCAAGCTTGGGAGAGATGGTGTTTGACAATACTGCAGTGCTTCTCAGCCCCTGCTGCAGGTTAGAACCATCTGGGGACCCTTCAAAAAAAAATACTGGTGACAAGCTCCACCCCAGAGACATTTGGATTTAATCGGACTGGGGTGGGACCCAAGGTTCAGTAGTATCTTAAAGCACTCCAGGTGATTCTAAAGTGCAGCCAGGGCTGAGAACCACCGCTCTGCTGCCTCAGCTGATTAAAATTAAATCAGCCTGACTTACTCTAAAAAAACACTGGTAAAAGAAGAATCACTCAGTGCCCACCAACTGTCTCCCACTTCCAGCCCAGCAATCAGGGGGACTCATGTAAGGGCCGAAAGAAGAAAAGCAAAATGACCAGCAGCATGTGACATCAGTCCTTGCTTCCATTCACTCTCCAGCTCCTGATGGGACACCAAAGCCTGATGCCCTTAAGGTGCTGCCTAGACCAGAGCTTGGGCAAAGACAAGGATTCTCTTGTTCCTTCCCCACGGTGGTTCGGGTGGGGTATATCGGAATCACACAGAGGGTTTGTTGGAACAGATTGCACGACCCTATCCACACAGGGTCTAACTGAGCATGTCCAGAGTGGGGCTAACACTGCTGGTCAGGAGACCACCCTTCAAGGACCACGCTTTAGCAGTTTGACTATCACGGAACTCAAAAGCCACATAAGCATAAGTATGAGCCCCGCCCTGCTTCCTGGCCAGTGCAAAATAGTGCTCTGGAGCAAGAACTTCTCTGAGGGAGCTTTCAGTTAGGTCTTAGACCCTCTGATCATAACATTTTCAGGGGACACCACTGAGACACATCCACACAGAGTCGAGGACCAGCCCTGCCCCCATCTCCTCACTCAGTCACAGGTCATCACACACACAATTCCAGACAGCAGTGTGAATTCATCAAATCACTGGGCAAGATGCATATGATGCCTGCTAAATGCCAGGCTGTGTTCTAGTGGCTGGAAGAAGAATGGTAGACGAGACAGCCCATATTCTTGCCTCCACAGAAATCTTGTAAGGAACCACCAAACAGACAACAAATAAGCAAGATCATTTCAGAGGGGGTAAGCAATAGGAAGACAGCAAGTCAGAGTGAGTGACAGAGACCATAGCTTTGGACTGGGAGGAGCAGAAAGGCCCTTCTGAAGGGAGGACATTAGAGCTGAGACTTGAATGACAAAAGGAGGTAGCCCTCAAGGACCTGGGAGAAGAGTCCCTATGTCAAGAATGTTGCAAACCTTGAGGAAGCCATCAACTCCAGTGTCATGGGGAGCAAGCAGCTTGTGCAGAAATTCCTAGGGCAGGAGCAAGCTTGGTGCATGGGAAGAACAGAGAGCAAGCAAGGGTTGATATGTGCACAGCAGCCACTTGCGTTTCCTAGCACTAGAAAGTTCTTTACATCTGTCGTCTCATTGGAGTAATGATGTACTATGTAAGATGTAAGAGGAAAGGGGGATTTATTCCCATTCTTTGTATGAAAAAAACTGAGGTGGAGAGGGGGTAAAGGAACGCTACCAAGGTGACAGAGCTGGTAAAAAATGGAGCTCAAAGCAGTGCTTCTGAAGCACTCCTGTGTACACAAGTCACCGGAGACCTTGTTAAAAATGCAGATTCTCATTGGCTAGGTCTAGGAGTGGAGCCTGAGATACTGAATTGGTGACAACCTCCCAGGTGATGTCACTCCTGCTGGCCCATGGGCCACACTTTGCGTAGCAAAGTCTTAGGTCATCATGGGTGCCAACTAGGGCATTTGGTCAGAATTAGGGGGTGAGGGGCTGGTGATTATTTCTGTGATTTGATCAGGTGGACTGTGTTGGAGTTGACCTTCTGGCACTCCACCCAGCAGTCCAGGATCAGAGGCTGAAGTTCTTTCAGATACTGATATAAAACCTCAGGAAGAGGTGGTAAAGGCCTCCCCTCCCCATCAGGAACAGCAGCAGGCTGGAGTCCAGGCTGGTGTGAATCCCTGCTTTGTCTTAGGCACAGCCTCAGCTCAGGCCGTACATACTGATGATCACAGCATATTGGTTCCCTGCCACTCTGATTTACACTCGTGAGGTACTCATCAATTCCAATAGGGAACTTGTTGAGTTATTTCAAGTTTCAGTTTTGATAGCAAAAACCAACTCCATAAAGCCAACATTTCTCAGTTATGTTTCCAAGAATGGCGTATAATTCCTTGCTAACCAGATCTTGTTCCTCTCTGGGTCTCAGAGCTGACGTCCCTCCCCAGGGTTCTCCCAGTCTCAAATTTGAGTTGGTACCCTGGTGAGTTGCTATTATGATTATCCCAGAAAAAAAAATCAGCATAGACTGTAAACAGCTGGCTTTCTTTTTAACAGCAGGAACATCATTGCAGTAGCCACTGTTACCAGAGAGGGGAAAAACTGACAAGACTTGATTTGGGGGACCTTTCACAGTGTCCTGCCCCATTGGGTGAGCAGAGCTGGTCCTAAAAAGAACCCGCTGAGATGCAATTATAGCTCCTGAGCCTTCCTCCTTTCTTGCTCACGTGCCAGACAGTGTTCCTGGAGCTGCCGCTCTCCTCCCCGGCCATAGTATTCCAGACATCACAATTCAGCTCCTGTCATGATGAGCAGCTTGCCAAAGGACTTACAGAACCTGTCACAAAAGATGCCTGAGTGGAGGCCCCTTTATCAATTACCCTGGGCCCTCTTATCTGTCAGGGGCCCACCTGGTCCAGCTGTTCAGAACTTATCCATAAATTCCAGGCAAGCCCCATACTAATTTGGCAGTAAATTGCACATGAATACCAACTGCATAGAAATGCTTAGCAAATACTTCCACTTTTCCTGTGACATCTTGAAGGTCCAGCAAAGACTCAGAGGCTCTGAGGGAATACATACTTCACACCTTTGGACAAGATGATCCCTGGGCCGAAATGAACAAAAATGACTGAGCTAGCCTATATTTGTCTACATTTTATTCAATTCAACAAACACTTATTGAGCTGTATAAAGGAACTTTGCCAATCACTCAAGGAGAAACAAATATATATAAAGTGCAGTCCTGTAATCAAGAAGATTGTAACCTATTACAGTTGAACCTGTAGACACATCCACAGATAACTAGTACGAAAAATAGAATGCGATAAATTCTGGATTAGAGGCTGGGTCAGAGTGGAGTAGGAGAGGATAAATTCTAACTGAAGAAGTCTGGAACAATTTTGTGGAAGCAGTGGCAATGGATCGGTTTGCTCATGAATAGATAGAATTTCAACTGAGGGATGAGCATTTTTAGTAAAACTAAAAATTGCTGCGATGTAGTAAGGTCTTTCCATGTATCCGACACCATTCCAAGTGCTTTGTATGTGTTAGCTCATCTGATCATCTCTTTAACCCCATGAGGTTTGATGCATGTGATTCCCACTTTAACCCCATGAGGTTTGATGCATGTGATTTCCACTTTATAGGTGAGACAGGTGAAGCCTAGCAAGATCAGGAAACCTGCCTCAGGCCAAATACTACCCTATGGGGAGCTGGGATTTGAACCCAGGCAGCCTGGAGCCAGTGCCCATGCTGTTAATTATGAAACACTTTTGCTTCTACATGCAAGATATTTGGTTTTCTTTCTTATTATCCTCACTTTAAAATCACTGATCAACTCTGTTAAGCTTTGTTAGAAGTGGAATGAGCGCAGAGGACCTACTGAAGATGTTTGTTTATTCCTCGCTGTGGGCTTTGGAGCCACCTATAATCAGTGAAGGTCTGGATGAGAGTACGCTGCGGCGGCCTGCCTTTCCGAGCTCTAGATGGCCAGGAACAGGCTCTCCAGGCACGCACCTCCCTGTCCCTGGAGTGTCTTTCTGGTCCTCAGAGGCAGCTAAGCTGTCTCTCTTCCTCTGGGTTTGGGGGCTCCACGTCAGTGGTCTCTATAGGGGCCCGAAGATGTAAGATGTGGTTCGGGGAACGGGCCACACACCAGGTAGATGGTTCCTCTTTCTTCCAAGGCTTCATGACCTCAAGGGGCAGCCGGGAGCTAGCTCCTCATTGGGGGCCCAGGAGCACGCTCACCGAGTGTGCGTAGCTTCCCTGGCAGGTGGAGAGGCTCTTGGCACAGAGGGCGGAGGAGCATTTAGACAGGGCCTCTGTATAGGAGTGAGGGGCTGGAAGCCCAGTCTTCCCTCGTCTCCCCCAGCCCTACCCCCGTGTGAGGCTGTGCAGGCTTGGAGGAAGGGGCGCCTTTTTGTCATTCACAGGGAGAGTCCATCTTAGAACTATGCAGAAGACTGGCTGCCAGTTGTAACAGAAATGGTGCCCCACGTCCTTTAGGAAAAGGTGACTCCATTCCGACTGGGCCAAAATGCCGACAGGGTAATCCTCTTTCTGCTCTTGGATGCCAAGAGATGTTGAGTCTTCCAGCTGCTTCTTCCCTGAAGAAGAAGAAGAAAGCGAGGTCTGCCGGCTCCCCATCCCGCCCCTCCACGCCCCATGCAGCCAGCATCTCTGTGCACAGGGCCCCGGAGGTCTGAAGTCTTTTGAACCCTCCAGCCAGGAGGCGGGTCAGGAACCGGCCCTGGCGCCTCCCGCAGCACCCGTGCTCCGTGAGGGGGCTGAGGACAGCCGCATCAGTCAGCCGGGCCCCGGGTCCCTCTGCGACCTGGGATTGAGCCAAGAGCATTTTGTGTTAAATGCCGACATATAAATTTGTAGACGATCCTTGTGCGCAAATTGGATTCCTTCGCAGGGCCCTTAAATGCTGCCGTTTAGCCAGATTTAACTGTAGGCTCCGGCCCCTCCGCCGCTCCTCCCGGGCCGGCCCTCCACCGCCACCCGGGAATCGATCCCGCGCCAGTCCCTGCCCGCGCTCCGGCCTCCTCCCGCGGGCTCCACGTTCTCCGGTCTCCTCCTCCCCCACTGCCCGCTCCCTTCTCCCCAGCGTCTCCCTCTGCCCGCCTCCCCTTCCCCTCCGTCTCTCCCTCCTCCTGTCTGCGCCGAGGCAGCTGCTTCCAATGCAGCGAGATGCACCAATTCATTCAGCCTCGCAGACTCTTTAAGGTCGTTACTAAATATATCAAGAAGAAGAAAGGGGTCTTTTTTCCTATCTCTGAACAGGGAGCATAAATGCTGGCCTTAGGATCCGAGCCTGTCCTGGCTCCCTGAGTCCAGCTTCTCCGGGCTCCCGGCAGAGGCAGGGGTGACCCCGAGCGGAGGGGCAGAGGGGAAGCGGAGGGGACCCGGGGAGCAGAGATGAAATCCGTTTGATATCTTCAAGGAGTTAAACGGCCCTGGAGAGTCGGAGGAGAAAACAATTTCCACCAAAGCGACTTCTCCTTCTCTAGATTAATATTTTTTCTTTATTTTTGAGGATATTGGGAAGTGTCGAAAGAGGCTGACTTGCCAGTCCTGGATACACAATTCTATTCAGACGCTCTACGCGGTGTTGTCTCTGATTTTTTCCTAACTTGTAAGCAGGTGACCTTGCTGCTTGAGCGGTAACCGGAGGTGCCTGAGTGCACGTGAACCTCAGACTTCGGTGTTGAGATGAGACAAAATGTACAACAAAGTGAGTCCGCCTGTTACGCAGCAGGGGGGGAGCCTGCTGGTTTCATGGCAGCTTCGCTGTACCCAGTCCTCCCTACTACACACCGACAGGCGCTTCCTGGGCGTCTCCCACCCGTCTTCTCTTCCTCCTAATGTGTGTAGGCAGAACAGGCTGAGTTGTGACTTAAGAGAAAACGCCTCCTCCCCATGCAAAAATATCTCCTGCACACAACACAGCATGCAGCGCCCATCCTTTAGAAGTTCTTTGAGGGGAGATAAAAATATAAGTGGTATTTTATCTTAAAATCAAAAGTAGATGAGGTCACCGGAGAATGTGTAGGGCAGTCATTTTCATTTTTAACCTTTTTTTTTTTTTTTTTTGGTATGGGATCTTTTATGAGACAAAGAATGCGATGGCTGTCTCCCCAGGCTGTGTGCACACTATTATAATCACAGAATTCTGCAGTTTTGGGAGGTTCATGAACCCCTAGGGCCTATCCACACACCCCTGACTTCAAAGTAAGAACCATGGGACCAAAGAAAAAAGGCATTTCAGTGACTGTCTAAAAAGAAAGGTCAGTGACAATGGTAAGGAAGGAGTTAGGTGGAGGAGAATATTCTAGAAAAGTTGTCACTGCAGCAGCAGGCCAAAAGGGGTTCAGGAAGGAGGAAGTGGTGCCCATCAGATGCCTCAGAAAGCTCAGAGAACATAAGGGCTGGGAAGCGTTCCCTAGAATTAGAAATCAGCAGGTTGGTAGTGGTGGGGCTCTAGGAGAAAAGTTTCAGTGGGGAAGGGGAGGAAGTTCGATTTTCGAGGTCAGGCAACAAGTGCTTTGGAAATGCAGAGGCTGCTCTGCTCCTTTTGGGATAGGAAGTAAACAAGAAGTCCCCACAGAGGAGTCCAGTTTTGAGATGGGCTGTTGAAACATAAGTAGGAAATCACTAGGCAGAAAAGGGGGCCGGGGTGGGGGGCATTTCAGGCACGAAAAAGAGCATTTCCACAGAGATGATGGCATGGAGGCCCAGGCGTAATTTGTTGGTGTGTGAATTAGGGTGGGACGGAGACAAGGCTGAACAGTGAAGCCGGCCTCAGAGGGCACAGTGGCTGGGGAGTTTGTGCTTTGTCCTGTCAGGCAATTAACAGCCAGGATGAGATATTTTTAACTTACTTTTTTTTTCTGATTCTAAAAGTAATGCAAGCTGATTATAGAAATGTGTTAAAAATATGGAAAATTAGAAAGAAATATACACACACAATTAGTTGGCATTATGGCATATTCCTTCCTTTAGTCTTCTTTCCAGACACTGTTTCGTTACATCTAAGACACCATTGTTTGGGAGCACTTCACTACTTTCTGTGCCTCTGCAAATGCACAATTACACTTGACACAGTGCTTCTTATCAGAGGGAGTGAGACACATTCCATTTCAGAGAGGTTAAATTGTGAAAAAAAAAATCCTTGGAATTCCATCAATGTCTTGGAATTGATGAAATAAGGCTACGTTGTTTTTTGAACTTGAGTTCTCATCGTATTTCAAATTTTGTATCTTGCTTCTTGACTCAGTATTATGCCACAATAATTCCCCAGGTTATAAAAGCATTTACAAAAACAATTTTTATGGCTGCATAATATTTCATTATGTGGATATTCTATAATTTATGCAACCATTTCCCTATCAATAGATACTACACTGATTTATTTTTTGCTACTATATATAGTATCTCAGTGAAAAACACTGCATAAACTTTTTTATTTTTTTGTTTTCAACATTTTATTCAGAGATAATGTAGTAGATTCTGATGACTTTATGTTGCCTTGGCATCCATTTCGAGTACAGGTTTAACTTTCTCGTATCAGAGGCAGAGCCCAGTTTCCAGTCCTACACCACACCCAGAGGGCGTGAGAACTTAGAGGTGTCTCTCCCACCTGGCAGACCGGGCTCCCTGCTTTCCTGTAGCTGCTTGTAATGGACCATTCAGGCATTTGCCTGTGAACTTGAAGTGACCCACACCCTGTTCCCTTATAACATACACTGCTAGTTGTGATGTGCACTCTCTCTGTCTGACTCTTTTTGTTCCTGCCTCCTGTGACCTGGAAACAGAGGACTGCCCTCCTGACTCATGGTACTCTCTTTGCTCAGGGTCTGGAAGTAAAAGGTCTTTGAACTTGTTTTCTGTTCTGGTGGTGCATTGTACCTTCCATCTGAAGAACCAGGGGCTGCCCCAGGCTGGGTTTTCTCTGGGCATATGGTTAGGCTCCCAGTGTAAGTGTGATGGTCAGGCCAGACAAGAGCCACAAGGATGTCTGCCAGTAGAAACAAGTTTCCCGGGCGAGGGACCCTGGTCTCAGTTTAGACAACTAGGCATTTGGCTGTCTTCCAGGTAAAAGAAGTATCCCGTAAAAGGCACGCTGGACACGCCATGTCCAGCTCCCCTGCGTTTCCTCTTAGGGCAGAGTTACTAGCCACTCTGGTTACTGAAACCTTAGTGTAGCTGGGGGCTCTCAAAACAGATAAATGTACACCTCAAGCCAAACATTGATATGGTGTAATAAGACGTATCTTTGAAAAACATGCATCACACTTCCCACCTCTCCAAGGTATATAAATAAACCATTGGTGAACTTAGCTGCAGCTCTGTGTTCAATCTTGTAGCTTTAAAAAAACAAAATTGTGGTAAACTATGCATAACATAAAATTCCCTTTCTTAACCATCTTTAAGAGTACAGTTCAATGGCATTATGTGCATCCACGTTGTTGTGCAACCATCATCACCATCTGTCCACAGATCTCTTTTCATCTTTCCAAACTGTAACTTTGAACCTATTAAACACTCACTCCCCATTCTCTCCTCGCGCCGGCCCCTGGCAGCCACCATTCAACTTCCTGTCTCTATGAATTTGACTACTCTACCTACTTCTTATAAGTGGAATCATACAATGTTTGCCTTTCTGCGGCTGACTTATTTCATTTAGCATAATGTCCTCAAGGCTCATTCCCTGTAGCATGTGTCAGAATTTCCTTCCTATTTAAGGCTGAATAATATTCCATTGTGTGGATATACCACATTTTGTTTATGCATTCATCCATTGGGGTGCATAAGCTTTTATCTGAATCTTGAGCTCTCTAGAATAGATTCCTAGTCATCAATCAAAAGGTATGAAAAATATGTTAGACTTTTAATATATATCGTGAAATTGCTTTCCAAAACCATTTTACAAATTTTTACTGCCTCTATCAGAGTATAAGTGTGCTTGTCAGCATTGGATATTATTATTTGGTTTATCTTTGTTACTTTGATACTAGCGATGTAGCATGTCATTGTTTTAACACACACTTCTTTGATCATTCCTAATGAAGGTAAACTTTAAAAGAAACGCTTCATTAGCTGGGGTGTGTTTCCTCTTTGTAAATTGTCTCTTTATGTACTCTGATCATTTTCTTATTAAAGATGTGTTTTACTTATTACTCTATAGGCACTTGTTATAGATGAATGATTCATTCAAACAATCACTGACATTCTTGTAGCACTGCCCGTCTGTGTCAGGCACTATCTAGGCATTGGAGAGACTGCTGCAAACCATCAGACAAAAATCCCTGCCCTCATGGAGTTTACCTCCTAGAGAGGGAGAAAGATGTTACAAAAGATATTAATATGTCAGATGGCATAAGTGCTAAGGAGAAAAGTTAAAGTGGGAAAGGGAGGTAGAAGTGTCAGGAGTGAGTGTCAGGGAAAGCTTCTCTGAGGAGTTTGAGGCAACCCGAGGGAGGGAGCCCTGTGGTTAGCTGGGGAGAGCTGGCCTGAGGCAGGAACACGGTAGCCTTCTCTGCTGGAGCAGAGTGAGGAAGCAGAGAGGAGTGACAAATAAGAACTGAGTGCAGCCACAGCAGCAGACCACGCTGGCCCTGAGGACAGGTTGCTCAGTCTGGCTTCTTTCTCTGAGTGAGAAGAAAGCCGTTAGGAGAAGGATTTTGAGCCAAGGGGTGACATGATGCGACTTGCACTTTAAAAGGATGCTCTGATTTTCATGTTGAGAATAGACTGAAGGAAGGAAAGGGGGAAGCTGAGAGCTGTCAGGAAGTTCTTGCAGTAATCCAAATGAAAAATGATGGGCTTAAACCAGAGATTAGCAGAGTGTGAGAAATAACCATGTTCTGTGTATTAATATATTGTAAGGTAGAGCCGACAGGATTTGCCAATAGGAATTGGGTATGGGATGGGAGAGGAATCCAGTTAGACTCGGAGCTTTTGGCCTGAGCACCTGGAAGCTAGAAGTTGGGAAAGGAAAGACAGCAGGAGTAGGTCTAGAAGAGCTACTGGGAGCTCAGTTTTTGATAAGTTAAGTTTGAAATATCTATTAAACATTCAAGAGCAATGTTGAGTAGGCAGTTGGATATATGAGTCTGGAGTTCAGGGAAGAGGTCTGGGGTGGAGATATAAATTTGAGAGTTGTCAGCGGGTAGATGGTATTTAAAGCCCTGATACTGTGTGAGGTCACCAAGGAGTGAAAATGGATGGGAGAGGAGATACCCAATGACTAAGCCTACTGCCTCCAGCGTCAGCAACCATTTGCACCCTTTGCTGTGGTTTTGGCATTTTGAGGGTTACCAAGCTGGGAGTAGGTCTGGGTGGGGAGATAAGGCATGATCAGATCTGTGTTTCTGATCAATGGCTCTGTGGGGTCGTCCATGGTCTATCTCATCACTCCTGAGCGTGGAGGGATTATAAGAGCTTCCTATCTGAGGTCCCCAGCAGGCAATGGTTAATGTCTCAGATTTCCATGGTTACATTTGTCCAAAGATCAGCTAACTTTTAATCTCAAGAGTCATCATCAACAAGCAAAGCACATTGGCAGCCCTTTGATATTGACAGGGAAAAATGCAGACTTGGGAGAAAGAGAGGAGGAGAAAGAGAAAGGAAGGGCAAGGGGCCCAAAGGAAGGCTCGGGCTGGAGTGGCTGCCCTGTCCCCACAGGCTGGCTCCTTCTTTACAGTAGTGATTGTCAAGGGGCTGGGAGGGGATGGAGCATCAAAACACCTGAGAGCTTTGCCAATCTACTCTTCCCTGGCTCCCAAGTCCCCTGACCCCAGGAATTCTAGAAGCTCCTCCTCCCCCAGTTGAGAAGCCTCACTTTCAAGGGTGAATACACTCTTGGATTGGAGCTGGGATGGTACAGGCATCGTTGGCCAAAAAAGGTGCCTATCAACATGTGACTTCTGCTGCTGCTTGAAGACATATCAGTGTTAAGAAGGGAGTGACCATATAATTTGTCACCCAAATGAGGGCACTTTTGACATGGGGGGGAAAGGAAAGCAAACCAACTGAGACTGTCCTGGGCAAACTCTGGTATTAAGACCACCAGCAGAGCTCCAAATGTGACTGAGAAATTCCAGTATCAGCATCACCTAGAGATATGGTTTTAAAAATAAATCTCTGAGCTCATCTCCAGATGTACTGGCTCAAAATCTTTGGGGATAGGACCCACGGTCTGCATTTTTAGTGAGCACCCGCTAGTGTAGGAATTCTCTCTTTGTCCCATCATCTCTATTCCTTCCGCAAGAGGTGATTCATGGTCTTTTCAGACAAGGCTTCAGGAAGAAGGAAGAGCTGCTGGTTGAGAAAGATCATTTCTCCTGCAGTAGGGTGGCCATCCTATTTCTAACATGTCCTAAAGCTGGGGCGGCACTGCCTTCCTGGGGAATTCAGCCTTGCTGTGTGTTCAGGACAGTCAATTCCTTATTTCCTTCTCAGACTCTGGCCTGCCCCATTTACCCCGACTAGATCCTGGGCTGCTGCAGTAAAATATAAAGAATTGCAAGCTGGGCGTGGTGGCTCACACCTGTAATCCCAGCACTTTGGGAGGCGGGCAGATCACAAGGTCAGGAGATTGAGACCATCCTGGCTAACACGGTGAAACCCCATCTCTACTAAAGATACAAAAAAAATTAGCCAGGCATGGTGGCACGTGCCTGAAATCCCAGCTACTTGGGTGGCTGAGGCAGGAGAATCGCTTGAACCTGGGAGGTGGAGGTTGCAGTGAGCCAAAATAGTGCCACTGCACTCCAGCCTAAGCGACAGAGCGAGACTCTGCCTCAAAAAAACAAAAACAAAAAGAATTGCTCCTCTGTGCACACCCAGGACCTTAAGGGAGCAGCAGAATTACTTCCTCAGATGTCAACACCTTGGCAAGTGTCCTTCCCACAAGCCAGCATCGTTCCCCTTTCATAATCCATTCTGGCTCTGTCATCTGTGAATTTAAAACCTTTTTGAGCTTCATTTATTTTTTAAGCCTGTTTTCTCTTCTTTGGATTGCAAATCCCATAAATTTCCTACCTGTTGAATGGTGTATCCTTTATTTGTCTAAATGCCAGCTCTTTCTCCTTGCCCAGATCTCAGACTCCTGAAAGACGGAAGACAAAGAATGCCCCCGGGAAGCCATGTGTACCTTGGATGTACCTTTCCTTATATGGCACTTCTGTTTCAACAATCACTGGGTTGAAAGGGACCTTGAGTATAGTTAAATGGAATTTTTCCAATTCTACCCATCAGACCCCTCCTTTCCTTATTTCTTCCCAATCTGCTTAATACACTCAGTGAGGGAGCACTTACTACTTCCAGAAGCAACCAGATCCAACTTTGCAGAATGTTTTTTTTTAATGTTGTTTAAAAATCAGTCTCCCCTAAGATAGGATGATTCATGTGGTAATGGATTAGAGTTGGAGACAGTGTGAACATAATATAGATACAGATGGTTACATATAGAAATATTTATAGATAAATGTCTATACATGGGTTAGTATACACACATATATTTCCTTGATCTGTCATCTCAGAGGCCCTAGAAGCAACTCACACTCCAGTATCAACAAGCACACCTAGCCCCCAGATCTTGGTTTCTAATACCATTCTCCAGCAAAAGGAAACAAGGTTCCTTGGAGAAATGGCTGATTCTAGGAATGGGACAAGAAATATACAAAGTGAGCCTGGAGCATCTGGTAGTGCAGACAGTAAGGAGGTGCTTGAAAAGCCGCCATGATGGGATGAATCAAAGAGACAGAGGAGCTAACTGAAAGAGCTCCCAATGGCTAAAGCTGCAGCAATTTGAGCAACAACATAAATAAAGTTGTATTGGATTATAACCTAAAGTACAAATAAATATCAATGAAGCTATACTGATATAAATAAATGATTGTATAAATAAATAAATGAGGGAGAATAGACAAATCTCCCAGATAGAAGAATTCCAAATAATTGATGTCGATACACCACCCCAGAGGAGCTGAAGCAAAACTCCCTACTCCTGCGTAGGTGCCGCATAGTGACTTCCTTCTGAAGCATGTAGGATGTCGGGGGGGGGGGGGTGACTTTACAATGGAGAAACACAGCAAACACAGCTTCAGCCAGGTGATCAAGGTCAACATCAGCAGGGACAAGTCATGTTGAGAGTGTGTGCCCTGGTTATGATGAGATGAAAATGGCACGGTGCTTCTGTGGTCTTCCTCCCAAAAACCCACTAACCCCAGTCTAACCCTGAGAAAAACATCAGACAAATCCCACTGAGGGACATTCTGCAAAAATACCTGACCAGTACCCCTCAAAGCTGTCCAGGTCATCAAGACCAAGGAAAGTGAGAAACTGTCATGGCGAAGAGGAGCTAAAGAGCTATGACAATTAAATGTAACGTGGTATCCTAGGTGGGATCCTGGAACAGAAAAGGGACATTAGGGGAAAACTAAAGAAATCTGAATGAAGTGTGGATATTAGTAAATAATCATATATTGATACTGGTTCAGTAATTGTGACCCATGTAACATACTAATGTAGGATGTTAATGATAGGGGAAACTGGGCAGGGCATGTGTGGGAACTCACTATACTACCCTTGCAATTTTTCTGTAAACTTAAGACTATCCTAAACTAAAATGTGCACTTAAAAAAGAAAATCAGACTGGACACAGTGGCTCATGCCTCTAATCCCAGCACTGTGGGAGGCTGAGGGGGGCAGACCACTTGAGGCCAGGTGTTCAAGACCAGCCTGGCCAACATGGCAAAACCCGGTCTGTACTAAAAATACAAAAATTAGCTGGTGTAGTGGAGTGGCGCATGCCCGTAATTAGCCACGTATAGTGGCACATGCCTGTAGTGGCTACTCAGGAGGCTGAGGCATGAGAATTGCTTGAACCCAGGAGGTGGAGGTTGCAGTGAGCTGAGATCATGCCACTGCACTCAAGCCTGGGTGATGGAGTGAGACTGTCTCAAAAAAGAAAGAAAATCAGCTTTCCCTACCTATGTAGTGGCCTTGGCTCTATCCTTGGCCTGAGTCAACTCAGAAATGACCTAGAACAGGCCAGCCTTATGTCCCTCCAGGCTGCTCCCAAGTGGCAGCCATCACAATCACCTCTCCCCTGCCCCATCTGTCATCTCCTTTCCAAGTCAGGTATCTCCACCTCCATCAGAACCTCTGAATCCTGCTTTCAGCTTCTCTCACTGACTAGACCACCCTTCTTCAGTCACAGCTCAGTTCGACAACTGCCTGCCCCAGTTCACTGAGGAGCCCAGAATTGAACATGACACTCTGAGCATGGCTGCACAGCCCAGGGAAAAGCAGGCCTGTCACTTCCTTCAGTTCATTACACATGTCTCTATTAATATAGCCCATAGAGGCTAAAATGACTTTACTTTAGGGAGCAGCCACCTCACATGAGTATCTCCAACTCAACTATCCAGTTTAAAAAAAAAAACAACAACTCCATTACAATCAGTATAGAGAATAACTTTCCACAAAGTAGGAGCTTACCAAAAAAGAAGAAAGAAAGAAAGAAAAAGCAAAGGGTTGCCTCTGGCGGTAGTAAGTGTTCCAACATTGGGAGTATTCAAGTACATCTGGCAGCTACAAAAGAAAGGGGAGATTTCATGGGTGGAAATGAAAAAGGGGGTTCAATCCAATGATGTTTACAGTCCCCTGGACAAGTTACTTAACTGCTTTTGCCTCAGTTTCCTCATCTTTAAAATGAGGATACTAATAGAACCTACTTCATAGGATGCTGGAAATTAAGTGAATTAAGTGTTTAAAGGCACTTGGGCTGAGTTGGCACACAGAGAGTTCTATACAAATGTTTGCTATTATCTGCTATTATTTTAATATTTGTTCTGAGGGTAGAGACTGTCCAAGAAGAGGACCTTCCACGAGCCTGTGGTCAATCACTCCTGACTACAGGTCTCTTTTTGATCTCAGCTCTGACACCCAGCACTCTGGCTTTCTTTCCCAGTTTTATGTCATGTGCTCATTTGATCAGCCAGCCCATCAGCGTCACCTTCCAATTCATCTGTGCGCATGTTGAATAGAAGGAGAGAGAGAGCACAGCCCAGTGGCAAGTGTGATGGGGTGATAAGGCTGGGTCTCCTACCAGCTGGGCTGGTGTCATGCCAAGTAGAATGAAATGAGTAGAATGAAATGCCCTCCTTCTCGGGACACCAGATTAGTCTTACCACAAATCATGACAAGCGCCTTACATATGCTAATGACCAACTTACTTTGGTTTTAAAGACTGATCATTTCAGGAACATCAAGGTAAATGATGGGCTCAGTAGCTATCGAGAAAGAAGTTAGAGGTGCTGACTTCTGAACTTAATTAGACACCTGTGCCCTTTATACGGCCTAATAAGGTCAGGCGAATACATTCAGCGTTAATAACATCATCAGCACTGTGTGGTCGGCAAGCCTTCCCAAAGTCAATAAGTCAAGTTTTTGCGGCTCAGAACATGTGTCTTCTGTTCACACTCAAGCTTGTTTCTTACGTGCCAACAGCTGGTGCCACATCTGGAAAGGCTGTTTCTGCTGTGGCTTTTCTCCTATGAGTGTTTTATGGGATGCCCCACCCCACCTCAATCTTTTTAAGAGAAAAGGGCTCATTCATTCATTCTCTGATGGCCTGTCAAGCGGCAACTCCTCTGCATTGCTGCAGGGAACCCACGTGAATAAGACAAACTCACACTGCAGGACAGTGGTCCTCAAACATTACTGTGCAGAATAACCATGGAGGAGGGGGTGCTTAGGCTGTCATTTCTCACATGCTTCCCCCCACCATGTGATTCTGATGTAGGTGATCTGAGGACCACACTTCAGGAAATACTCATCTTAGGGCTTTTAGGCCCCGACAAGCCACCCAGCGTAATGCACTGGCTCATTGGTATAATTAGCAAGTAGCTCATTCTGTCTTGGATGAGGATCAGAGTGGTTTCAGGTGGTTGTCTGATCTCCAGGTAGGAGAAGGAGGAAAGGATGTGCTGGAAAGAGGGGACAGCACAAGCCAAACTGTGGAGCCCTGAGACAGCGTGGTAGGTGGGGCGAGTGTAGAAAGCATATCAAGATCTAATTTTGAAAGGACATACATTTAAGGTATGAGTCCTGGAGACAGACAAACCTGGGTTTGAACTCCAGCTCATTGCTTGCTACCTATGTGTCCTTACACAAGTTACACAACCTCTCCGAGCCTCAATTTCTTCTTCTGTAAAAGGCAACGACCTACATCTACCTCTCAGGGCTGAAATGTTTAAAAAGTAAATAAATATCAATACATGGTGTTTACCAAAGCACCTGCAGCAATGTAGATGCTGCTAATAAAATGATGGCTACAAATAAAAATAGTACTAACAAGCAATAACAATCAAATAAGCATTATACTACCTTCCTGAGGAATTTCTATTTTTTTATAGGCTGTGAGTAACCATCAGAGTTTTAAAAGCAGAGGTCATGTTTCATTTAGTCAGTCAATAAACATTTATTGTACACCTACAATGTGCTGGGCTGTGCCAGGCCCTGAAGCTGGTGAGGTTTCCGTTTGAGAAGGTTGGCTCTGGAGGCAAGAGACCATCACGGACTGTTGCAATAGTCCAAGCCAGTGGTTCTTAAAATTGAGAGTGCATCAGAATCACCTGGAGAACTTGTTAAAACCATGGATGGCTGGGCCTCATCCTCAGAGTTTCTGACTCTAGAAGTCTGGGGTGGGGCCCAAGAAATGTGAATTTTTAACAAGCCCCCAGGGGATGCCAGTGCTCCTGGTCAGAGACCACACTTTGAGAACTACCAGTCCAGGAAAAAGAAGAGGACATCAAAACAAAGATGACACAAGCACCAAGTAGGGAGGGTTGGGACGCCGGTTCTAAGCAAGGTTTTAGGGGTGCACTGGACAGGAAATGATGACAAAGGACCCAAGGACACTGGGGCCAGGCTGCTTCTAAGTCTGGCCTCGGGCTTTGCTTGTGCCTAGATTTCAGACACAACTTTGGGGTCCTGCTAGCCAACAGTCTATGGGGGAGAGGAGGAGCTGCTGTTGTGTCGCCTGGCTGTAATTTTGGAACCTTTAGTCTCATCATCCCAGCTAGGACTGGGTTTCTCAGTGCAGTCTCTTTTATCTCTATGGATGTTCAGAGAAGAAGTTTTGTTTTTTTTGTTTTTTGTTTTTGTTTTGGTTTTTTTTGCTATTCTTTTCCTCCTGGCATGTTGATGCCACCGAGATGCGCGGGTACCATTCTGAAAGAGTGCCCGGGGTGTGTACTGAATTTCAGCCCTGGATAATTTAATGCGCGGTGACAGAGAGAGCAGATGTTGTTTGGATTCATGTGGAACTCTCTGCCTTTTCTATTTTCTGTACCGAAAGACCGCAGAGCCTTGCTCAGTAGCGGCCCCTGAATTCCCCACCTATAAGAACCTCATGGCACCAGTAGCCCTGGTCCCCACGGCATTGCCAAAGCTCCTTGTGAAACCCAGTGGAAAATTGGAATGTTTCTGCCAGTCTTCAGAGCATCTGTTTCACTTAAAGCCCTCCACAACTCGAGTTGTTACTGAATTAAACATCGAAACAAACAACAATCAGTAGCCTAATAATATTATGTTCTGAAATGTGTTCTTTAATAATGACTGTGAAGCTCTTCAAGGGAGGAATAAGGCTGTGTGTGCACTAAACGGTGATCTGCATTAATTCCTTTACAGCTGCTGGTTTTGAAAAATGGTTCTGGGTGTTTCTTACTGACGCAGTGTCCTGTTTTCTGTGGATCAGAAACTTCGAGGTAGTTGGCTGTGATCTCATCCCTTAAAGTCTTATTCAGCAAGGCTGCTTCAGATCTGCTCACCTTCTCCCTCCCTTTTTTCTGCCTGGAGTGTTGACTTAGAAACTGGCAGACAGCCCCAACCCTCGTGACCTGAGACCTATGCACAGACAGGCACCGGATGAAGAAGGAAAACCGCGAGCATAGAGGCTGCACATCTGAGAACAGGGATTTGCTGGGCTCCTGAGCACAGTGATGTTCCACGGCTTTCTGAAGAAAGTTAAAGACATAGAAACTGTCTTCTGGGATCTGTGTTCTAAAAAAGACACCTCTAAAAAAGAGAGCAGACATAAAGGAGACACAAGCACCAAGTACGCATGGAAACTCACCAGTTACTGTTAAAATTAGACGCTAGCCTGAAGTAGGTGCTTATCCTAGAGGAAGGAGTGGGATCAATGCATGGAGCATTGGTCTTGAACTCCTAGCTGCAAGCAATCCTCCCACCGTGGCCTCCCAGACTACTGGGGCTTTATAGGCATGAGCCACTGCATCCAGTCAATGAATGGAACCTTGGAAGTCTATGTTTAAATTGAGTCCAGAATTCTCTTCCTTAGCCATCACCAACCTAAGAGGAGAAAGAACTAGAAAAGAGTGTATTTGAGCCTTGGGGCTTAGGGTCATAAGGCCCTATAGAGGTTAATTTCTCCAAGATCCTGTGTCTTGCTCGGTCTCCTCCCTGTTCACATGCTGAGTCTCTCCCCTCCTTTCACTCTGACCCAAGATCCAGACTCGTAATTTGTGTTTTCTAATATAGCTCATATATTTTGGTTGATTTTTTTAAAAAATTATATTAAAAAGTTTTAAACATATACAAAAGTAGACAGAATAGGATAATGAAACCTCTGTAATTTCTGTGAGTTTTTCATGACGTTTTCCCCCCTAAGTAATGATGTCCTGGGGTGCAGTGTTGTTATACTTCTTGGAAGTAACAAAAGATGAGAAAAAGGATAGGTTGTTTGGGGATAGAATATCATGTTGTTAAGAGAGAAAGAAGATAGAAGTTACAAGTTCTGTTGACTTTCATCTTCTCCATAGGGTTGGGGGTGGGGTCTTCAAGCAGGTAGAACCAATAACCTGTTAAGGAAACTCCAGCCTAAGGCAGGTGAGGCTCACACGTGGCCATTACAAGACCATTCTCAGGCTAGTGTTGCTAAAATAAAATTAAAAAAAAATTACAAGACCAGTTGCACACAATGACACGATGGTCCTGGAAAATGGGGCAGCCAGGGAAGAGAACAGGAAAATTATATTTCAAACATGAAGAAAAAAAGAGTGGATCTGAAAATTAAAGAACAGTGAGTTCAAACAAATGGCTTATACATTTTTAGGACATAGTGTGGGGATCAGGAGCTAACACTGGCTGCCTAAGAATAATCTGTACACACTACCCTTGTTTCCCTGCAAGGAGGCATTTGGCTGGTAGATTGGCAGGATGCTGTAGACATAGTTTATTTTTGTTTTAGCGAAGCAGTTAACAGTCTTTCTACACATTTTACATTGAATATGTTGACCCATAAGCCAGATGATCATTCTCTTAGCCAGAATCATGCCCCAAAGGTGGATTCTAGAGCTGGAAGAAAGGCTCTGTCCAGGGTCCTGCCTTGTTGAACCCGTTTTTATTAATCACTCAGCTAAAGACTTGGAGGGCATGCTAATCAGAATTGTAAAAGGCAAACCAAGACCATAGATGGGAGAATAATGATTCAACATTTGGAGAGGAAAAGATTTATTATGTAAGCAGTTAATTTATCATAGATACACACGTGTGTGTACAGAGAGGCCATCATGGAAACATGTGCTATATATACACACATGCATATGTATGTATGGAGGCATGTGTCCTTCATTTTCCAAGAGGGTTTCCAGTTTGACTTGGAGGAGGCTGGTGTTTATATGATGGTCTCTCCTTGCTGTATAGAAAAGATACAAATATGTGATGCTGCTGACAAGAGGGGCTACAATTTATTGACCATCTATTAATACTGTGTGCCAAACAATGAAGGAGGCTGTACAGAAAAGTTACAGCGGGGCTGGGACTGCTGTCCCCAGGGCTGAGACCGCTATCCCCAGAAAGACCTGCTTGCAAGGTTGCCCTTTGGCTGATGTCTGGGAACTTCGGGAGCATTCCTACCATCCCCAGAACTGATGCCAGGGGCTCACTGTACCTAAACTGTTTATCCATACAATGTGGTTCATTCTGAACACCTGTTTTCTTTCTGGGAGACGGTAATTTTAGTACATGCTAGGCAGAGTGTGCCTATGGGGCCAGCCCCAAGTAAAAACCCTGGGCACTGAGTCTCTAATGAGCCTTCCTGGTAGACAACATTTCACACATGTTGTCACAACTCGTTGCTGGGTGAATTAAATGCTGTCTGTGTGACTACTGGGGAAGGATGTTGTGCCAAACCCCTATTAACCTCAATAGGGAAGGCACCTGGTTCAAGAAGCTGAAGAAGAGATCTAGAGCCAGCAAATGAGACATGGGGTTTTATTAGGGGCTTACATACAGAGGAGAGAGTCCAGTGGCAGTGGGCTGGACAACATATCCGCCTTACCTATGGCCCAGTGGCGGTGAGTTGGACAGCATAACCACATGGCCGAGTGGCAGGGGGCCAGGCAGTAAAACCACACACCTTGCAAACAGCATGCAGTTTATATAGCATTTTTACTTAATACCCTCCCCTTAACAGCCTCCACCTGGCCACCTTCATCCAACCCAAAACTCAGGGCCTCAAGGCCCTGTACAGCCCATGTTCCATGGAATGAGCCAGGAGCTCAGATATTCCTTATAGACAAGGAATGAATTTTCCAGCTGGGCACTCCCAGATTCCCTAGCTCAGGACACACATTCAGGTGCATGTGCCACATGGTCATTCTAAGTTGTGCTTAAGTTGTTGCTGTCAGGTGTGTTTACCCTGCAGCAGACTCTTGGAAGCTTGTGCCTGGTGACCCCACATGCCTTTTCCCTTTGCTTATTTTTCTTGCTATTTTTTAATTTAATAATCTTGGCCAGGAGTATGATTCTATGCAGATTTGTGTGTCCTCCCAATGAATCATTGAGTCTAGGGGTGGTCATGGGGACCCCGATCCACCTGAATATGTGATACTCATCATACCATTTACTTATTACTGGTAACTCACAGACCTGTTACTTGAACCCAGGTCTAACTGCAAAGGCTGGCTTGTCCCACAGAGTCTCATAATGGCCGGCAGCTCTTTCACAGTCGCTGCTGCTGCAGGCCTGACACCTGAACGGGTAGCGCTCAGATTTCCAGAGTGCCCATGTCTTGTCTGTCTCATTGTCTTCTGGGATGAGAATAAACCACCGAGCAGATGGCTTTAAAGAAGCAGGGAAGGGGTAGAGAGTGGACCTTATTTTTTAGGACCCGTGAAATTTATCCCCATTAGTTTCATCCTGGTGGATTCTCTCTGGCCCCTGGGAGAGCAGGTGCTTGTATTTTCTGGCAAAGAAAGTGTGTGTGAGCTGATCAGGGGTTAAGGACTAAAGTTGGCTGTGGCCATTATAACCTTGCTGGTTGGCCACCAGCCAGTCACCCTTTCCTTTTCCTATCAAGTAAGAAAGGGTGTGCTCCAAAACCCCTAAAAAGTACAAAACCAATAGTGAACCCTAATATTCTCTATGGACTCAAATGATGTGTCAGTGTGGGGTCATCACTGTAACAAATTAACCACTCTGGTAGGGGATGTCAACGATGGGGGGTAATGTGGGAAATTTCTGTCCTTCCTGCTTAAAAAATAAAGTCTGTTGGTTAAAAAACAAAAAAACAAGGAGATTCACTAGCTCTACAAGTATGGCTTAGGGTATGGGTCAGGGCAGTGAGAGATGGCCACTTCTTCAAAGGATGACTAATTTCTAACATTCCCCACTGCTTCTCCATTAAATGCACTGAGGTATCTTTGAGAGAGATGACATTGTCCCTTTCTTTTGCCAATTGGCATGTGATGCACCCACCCTCTCCCCCAGCCTGAGAATGTACAGAATGCCCAGTGCTGTTTTTAAACTGCTTCCTTCACCTAAGGAGCCCTGGGGCTGAGGGAGCCAGGAGGTTACTGTGGAACTACCCTTTTACCCTGTGTGACTCTGTTGGGAAATGATGTTGTACCAAACTCCTATTAACCTCAGTAGAGAAGGCATCAGGTTTGAGAGGCCAAAGAAGAAACCTAGAGCCAGCAAACGAGATGTGGGGTATCCTGCTTACAAGACCCTGGCAGAGGCTAGAGGAGGCTTTAAAAGAAAGAAGGAAGAGACTTTCCCCTGTGCAGCCCTGGGGGTATTGGGTGGAGGAGGATCTCCCCCAAATTCAAAGCCATGTCACATAGGTTATGATATGTGTTAAAGATTGTTCCTGCCATTTCCTGTTTCCAAGCCCCTCACCCACCATCTCCTCCCCCAACTCCCCATTCGGTGTGTCTTTTGTATTTCATGCACTTCATTCCTAGCCTCCTGGGGATGGAGGGTCCATTGCATTCCAGTATGATACACAGACAATGCCAGAGGACAGTCCCTGCATTTTTGATCCACTGCATCAAAAATGTATCCACTTTCAGAAGACTGAAGGCAGGGAACAGTCAGCTGAAAGGCAAGAAGAAAACTGTGTTAAGAACGTGAGCTCTAGGATCCCATGGGGCCTGGGTTTGAATTGGGCTCTGCTACTTTCCAGCTGTGCAGCCTCAGGCAAATTCCCTAACCTTGCTGAGCCTTGGTTTTCTCATCAGTAAAATGGAGATCATAATGGTCCCTGTCTTGCCTTACAGAGCATGAGGATTGAATGAGACCATTCAGCTACAGTGCACATGGCTTATAGTAAGCCCTCAATAAACATCAGCTGGGGCTGCTCCTGTCACTGATGTTGCTGATGTTGGTGCTGTCCCCGGCCCACCTCCTCTGGACCACAATAAAAGCACACTGCTTTTATCATCACTCATTCCCTTTCTCCATCACCCACTTCTGCACCTCAATTCTGTTACCTGTCCCTCTTCATTCTAAGAAGTCTACCATTACCCTCTCCAGAGAGACTGCCAATGCCAGACACATCCTTGTCCCAATGTCTTTTTAAAGCATCGCCCACTCCTCCCCAAAGAGAGGTCCCCTTCTCTTAACATAAGTGCCCTGGCTGGGCACAGTGGTTCACATCTATAATCCCAACACTTTAAGAGGCCAAGGTGGAAGGATCACTGAGCCCAGGAGCTCAAGGCCAGCCTGGGGAATACAGTGAGACCATATCTCTGCCAAAAAAAAAAAAAATACAAGTATTAGCCAGGTGTGGTGGCATGTGACTGAAGTCCCAAACACCTGGGAGGCTGAGGTGGGAGGATCACTTGAGCCCAGGAGGCTGAGGTTGCAGTGTGCTGAGATCACACCACTGTACTCCAGCCTGGCTAGAGTACAGTCTTTCAGAGAAAGACTCGGTCTCAAAAAAAAAAAAGAACTCCAGAGAGTTCTCCCTGCCCCTGACACCTCTGAGATCATTTTTGTGACCCCAGCAAAGTGCTGTGCCTTGAGGGAAACTGTCTGGGTTATGTTAGTGTTTGTTCCTTTTGAGAACCTACAGTTGTAGATTTCAGTGATTTAGAAGAGGATCAGCCCAAAGATACTTTTTTTCATTTGTTTATATTTTGTGGGTGCTAGTGGTAGGTTTTCTGTTTTGTTTTGCTTTGCTTAATCATCACTGTTACTGCATATGCTGTTTATTTTTAATGAGAAGGATAAGATCCTTTCCAAAATAAAGATGCCCAACAGCAGGCAGTGCAAATTCTTCCTCAGGAACACTGACCCTAGAGTATAATTGTGTGCCGGATTGACAGCACAGCCACCAGGGGCTCACGCAAGTCCCAGTCTGATCCGTGCACTGTCACTTTGTAACTCAGTGACCTTTGGGAAGTCACTTGAGCTCTTACGCCTCATCTGTAAAAAGGGATAACAGGTTCATTTGGGAGAACATGAGAACATGCATATAAAGTGCTTAGCCCTGTGCCTGGCAGACAGTAAGCAGTCAATACGTGCTAAGCTGACATTAGGATGCGTTCTAAAATTCTATCAGAACCTGTGCTTTAAGCAGCTGTTTTGGAATATGTGGAAGAACTTGGTGTCAGTCAACTTGCCTCCTGGAAGTCACATGTTTCATCCAATCTGGAAGCAACTGTAATCGTAGGCCTTTAACAGAAGCAGGTGTGATTCCCTTTGCCTCTTACGTGGCCTTTATGGTGAGTTGTGCTTGGCCACTGAAGCATTAGTTGCTCACTACAAGGTTATTCAGAGGCCCACAAATGTCAATAAATAAATCTGTGTGATTATCAAAGATATCAAGAAAGCCCCACAGCTCCCTGTGGTGTTCAACCTTTGCAAGTTTAGTCATCGTGGCCTCTTTGGGACTCCTGTCTGAGGCAATGACTGCACCTTGAATTCCTCACCGTGCACCCATGCATATGATGTGGACCCCTTGGGCACAGCGTAGATAACAGTGTCCTCCTATATGAGCCAAGAAGAACATGTCATCATCCTGGGGCTACCAGCTATCTCCTCTGGAAGGTCTAGCGAGAGAAATACAGCCAGAGCTGCCTGTTCTGGATAAACATTTTTATTTTCATGACATCCCAGATTGAATATAAGGGAACTGGTCAGTAGAGGCATGCACAAGACAATGAAAATGGGAATGAGATACTCAGAGAGGTTAGGTAAACTTGCCCAAGGACACAGAACAAGGAAAGGATAGAGAAGAGGTTTGGGTCCAGGTGTGTCTGACTCTAGAGACAAGGCTTCTTAACCTGGGCTCCTGCTCAAGCATTGCTAAGCAGTGCAGTGTACAGGGGTGGTTTTAAGACTTTATTTTCTCAGTGTAACCCTTTGAAACAAAAAGAAAATCTTATGCAGTATCCTAACATAGAAATCAGATCCAAGTGGAACGACTTGACTGAAGGGGTTTAGGGGCCCAGAGCCCGTCTCTTTCTCCCCCTCTTCTACTCAGGGTTCTTGAGGACTCTCTGAGAAACCCTTGGACTCCATAGGACACAGACCCAAAACCTCTGGTGAATCTGAAGGAGGGTGGACTTCAGAGCTTTTGTGTTCTCTTTGTGAAAGAAAATACAAACATTGTCCTTGCAGAGTTGTTGGGAAGATTCAGTGAGCTGCATAATGAAGCATCTAGTACACTCCCTAGCTGCTATTATTATTATTATCCTAACTGTTAGGTTTTATGGGAAAATAAGTGTCAATTCAGAGGGGATGTAGTGGTTGAATGGTGGTCCCCCAAAGAGCTATGTCCATGTCCTAGTCCTTGGAACCTGTGAACAGTACCTTGTATGGCAAAAGACATGATGAAGGTCAAGATCTTGAGAAGAGTTTATCTTGAAGTGATGCAGCCATAAGCCAAGCAATGCCTGCAGCCCCCAGAAGGTAGAAAAGGCAGGGAACGTCTTCTCTCTGAGCCTCTGAAGGGAGTGTGACCTTGTTGATACCTTGATTTCAGACTTCTAGCCTCCAGAACTGTGACAGGATAAGTTTCTGTGTTGAGCCAGAATTTGCAGCACTTTGTTACGGCAGCCCTAGGAGACTAATACCGGGGTCATTGCCCCGACATGGCCCCAGCTCATGCGCTATATATGGGAATTATTTCACACAAAGATGAAGGCCTAGGGCATGTGCCAGAGTCCTTGGAAGAATGCATTCATGGTGTCCTCCTCATTCCTGCATGTAGGTAAGCAGGATCTGGCAGGAGTCCTCTCTGCTATTTCAAGACCCTTCAAAGGGCAGAATCTGGGTCACTGCTCAGGCTTCCGCTTTCCTCCTGAACCCCAGCTCTAGCAATCACAACGTCGAGTCAGTGATTTGTAATGCTCAGATTGGCATTTCTGACAACAGGTCTGCCTTTATCTGTGGAGTCTAATGATGGTGCGGACAGGAGCCTTATTTGTGCTGTCACCATCCCACTTTATCACCATCTACATCCAGTCCTGGGGGGTCCTCTCAAGATAAGCAATCATGCCTCCTAGATGCTGTTCTTGCTGTATATCCTCTTCCCTCATTTTACTTCAATATTAGCCTTCTCCAGGAAAGTGGAGCTGAGCCAAGTTAGTAGGAATGTTCTGCCACAGAGAGACCAGGAGCCTTGTGGGGTCTGGGGTTCTGCAGGGTCTTGCCACGCTCCTCAGCTGCAAAGATGTTTCTCCCAGGGCGATGCCACGGCAGCCCAGCTGTAGAGACGTCTCGACAGCCACCTGGCATTGATTTTTCAGCTACACCTCCCGAGAATTTGCCAGAGCCATAAAGTAAAGAAGCAGTAATTCTTCTTTTTGGCCATCACACCTGCCGAGGAGTATCACATGCTAGTTCTGCACTCACTGGTATAATTTAGAGCAAGCTTTGCCAAAAGGAATCCCTGGTCTAGTTGAAATAATATGTTTGCTCATGAATAGGAGGAAAATAACACATTATGGTTGGGTAAAAAGAAACTAGAATTTGGAATAAGGAAACAAGTTCAAAGTCCAGCCCTACATTTTCCAGTGGTGTGACTTGGGCACATGACTGACCTCGGGCTTTAGTTTCTCACTGAAAGGTGGGGGAGATAAATAATGACCCCACTGGATTGCTGAGAGGATTAAGCCATCAATGCGCTATGCAACTACAGACGCAGATGACGAGGCCATGAGAATGGAAGGAAAGCTTTGTCCCTCTTTAGTTCTGTGTTTTGAGTCCCAAGGTCAGGGCTGGATTAAACCAACACAGACAGTGTTCCTCTAAGGGACCTCCATTGAGGGTCTGCTGGCCTCCTGGCCATTTATCGAGGCTACAAATCAACAGAGACCTCCGGCTGGGCTGCTATCACACCTTGATGCATCTCTGCTTGTCGTACATTGAATTTCAAAAGATACTGGCTGGTTTCTCTTATCTCTAAAAGAGAGTGTTATGGTGCATGTCACTCTCTTTCTGAAGAAACCAAATGCACATATCAAAAGGAAAAGAAGAAAGGTAGTGCCATCCCAAAGGACTGGGCGCTTGCAGATGCCTAGGCTTGATCTGACCCCTTTCTGACCTGTGTCTTGGGAACTGAACTTGGGCAGAGCTGCAGAGGAATGGGCCAACTGGTCCTTGGAAGGCATGGTGGGTGCAAGGAGGAAGGGGGAGGGCTTATAGGAAAAAGCTAATGAAATAAAATCGCTGGCTTCCTGTCTGCCCTGAGCAAGATGCTAGAGTGGCAGAGGCATAGGCTCAAGAGAATGAATGGTTCCTGGGAGTGGGAATCTACTCAGCTCCAGAACTGGGAAGGATGGAGGCAGCATGTTGGTTATTCTCCATCCTCAGGGAGGACATATATTCACAGATGTGGAAGGGAGAATCAAATGCATTGTGAATTGTGAATTAATCAATAATATAGTCCTTCTAGGTATTCACACCATAGCTTGTTCTCTACATGTTCAACTGTAGTGATATTATAAACTCCTAAATGGCACAGACAAGATTTGTGCAAGTCTTTTTTGTACTAGACTCAAAGCACCATGTGTCAACTGGTCCTTAATGGATCCTGATGAGATTGGAAGGACCAGGGATGGGTCTCACATTTTGGTGAACATAAAAACCACCTGGGGTTTGTTTGGAATGCTGATTCCTGGACTCCAGGTCTAGCAATTCTAATCAGTAGGTCTGGGTAGTGCTCTAGAATTTGCGTTCTTTTTTTTTTTTTTTTTTTTTTTTGAGATGGAATTTCACTCTTTTCTCCCAGGTTGGAGTGCAATGGCATGATCTTGACTCAATACAACCTCCATCTCCCAGGTTTAAGCAATTCTTCTGCCTCAGCCTCCCAAGTAGCTGGGATTACAGGTGCCCACCAACTCGCCTCACTAATTTTTTTATTTATTTATTTATTTATTTATTTTTTTTTGAGATGGAGTCTCACTCTGTCGCCCAGGCTGGAGTGCAGTGGCGCAATTTCAGCTCACTGCAAGCTCCGCCTCCTGGGTTCACGCCATTCTCCTGCCTCAGCCTCCCAAGTAGCTGGGACTACAGGTGCCCACCACCACACCTGGCTAATTTTTTGTATTTTTAGTAGAGATGGGGTTTCACCGTGTTAGCCAGGCTGGTCTTGATCTCCTGACCTTGTGATCTGCCCGCCTCGGCCTCCCAAAGTGCTGGAATTACAGGTGTGGGCCACCAAGCCCAGGGTGGAATTTGCATTTTTAACAAGGTCTGTGGATGTTTTCATTGTAGGTGGTCTACAGGCTACTCTTTGAGTCAGGCTGATCCAGACCAGCCCTTCTGAAACATTAATGTGCATGTGAATCCCCTGGGCACCTTTTTAAAATGCAGATTCTGATTCAGAGATCTGGGATGGGGCCCAAAATTTCACACTTTTTGATGTGCTCCCCAAAAATGCTGGCACCACCAGTCCCCACTCCACAGTTTGAGTAGCAAGAATCTACTTGCTATTCTTTTCCTGCAGGTGGGAGGTACCAGCTCTAGCAGGGGCTTTATTCTAGATGAATGATTCAAACCATAAAATGTCTGCTTACCTAATATCTTAGATTATAGTCATGTACCTTTCATTTGTAATTAAAATAACTGTTTATCTTAACTGGCAGTCAGGTAGGTAATTTTTATACAGCAAGCACTTCAAAGAAATAAATGCCTAGGTACAATTTGGTACTTTCTCATTAATACTTAACACACAACATTTTCTATCCCTAAACTTTAAGGCACATTCTCTCCAACATCCAGATTCTGATCAGTGTCAATGCTTGGCTGAGGAAATTCAAGGCAGCCTGCAACAAAGACCCCTCTGAATGACCGCTTTTAGTAGATGGCAGCTTTATACATAAATTTTTTAAGCAAGAATCTCTTCTAGAACTATTTTCTTCAAATCAAAATGAAGAGTTTAACTCATCAGTTAACATTCCATAGCAACTAGAAGGCTTTTGCTGCTTTCTCCAACCATTATTTCTCAAGACATAGCCAGTCCTACCCCCACTAGCTGCAGCAGGAAAGAGACAACTAGAAGGATTTTGTTGTCTTGATTTTGCCACTGGGATGGGATATCCACAGTAGGAGGTAGATCCAGCAGGCAGAACAGTACATGCACAAGGTATGGACAGAGGAGGTGGAAATGCAGGTGAGCAAAGGGTCCAACACCACGTGGCCCATTTGTCTTGACAGATACAGGGCACTCAGTGACTTATATTAAAAATTCCAGATAGTCATTGTGGGGGAATTTCACCATCATGAAGAGGGGGCAGTCAACCCGGCAGAATTAGCTGGCCCCCAAGCTAGCTTCTCAGTTGCTGCTCCAACTTCTCCTTCCTCAAGCCGTGACTTCACACCCTCCTCTCAGCTGATAACCTCACCACTTATGTACCTATGAGAAGGCCAAGGTCTCTGGGTGTCACTCTCTAGTTACTGTCTTCCACCTTGTCCTATCTTCTTGTCCATCTTGACTTCCTTTCCTATTAATTCCAGGCCTACCCCTCTGTCTGGTTGGACAGAGCCCTGGGCTAGCAGAATAGGCCTTTTCTGATCTGAAAATGGCCTTTCTGTTTTCCCATCCATTTCCCCATGAGCGGTGACCAGCAAGAGCTCACCTGGTCTGTCTTTATATGATAGCCCTACCCTTCACCAGGCAAGTCCTGTCTGTTCTCTGCCCCAACAAGGCCCGTGACCTGTGTCTAGTAACCTGTGTCTCCTTGCCTGTCCAACCCAGACCTCAGACCACGCTGGCTTACAGCAGTCTCCTGCACATCTCTAGTCCTGTGCCCAGCCCCGGACTTCCTCCTTGATGGAGAAAACCACACAGATGCCAGCTGACCAGGTCCTCAGCAAATTCCTGTCTTCTCCTTTAATGGGGCATTTCTGCAGCTCAATGGGCCTATCATTCAGCTCCTGTCAAACTGGGTGGAAGACCTAGGGCTCCCCAGGGCCCAGGCAGCTGCCTCTGCTACAGATAATAGCCATACTCTCTCTCTCTCTCTCTCTCTCTCTCTCTCTCTCTCTCTCTCTGTGTGTGTGTGTGCACGTACATGCAAAACCAACAGCTGTGTCATGGTTTACATATATTATCTCGTTTGACCTTGGGGTAAGACAAATATTGTTAGCCCCACTTTATAGATGAGGAAACTGAATCTTAGTGAATATATGCAGGTTCCTTTATCAAACACTGTGTTAAGGGCTAGAAGAATAAAATATAGACCAGAACTCCATGGAGCTCACAGTCTTCTGTACTCAAGGCTACACAGGTAATAACAGTAATTCATTCTTTCAAAAATATTTTTTGAGCTCCCATTATGTGTCAGACACTGAGTATATAAGGAGAAAAAGACAGACATATTAACCAGTGTTTACTGAGCATTTGCTCTGTGCCAAGCCCTGTATTCACTGCTTTATAGATATTATCCTAATCCTCTGCACAGCCCTATGGCCTGGAAGCTGATCTCAGCATCCTCACTTTGTACATGAGGGAACTGAGGCTTGGACAGGTTAGGTGGCTTGACCAGGAGCACCCACACAGCTGAAGAGTTGCAGAGCAGAAATCTGCCCTCAGGTGGTCTGACTGCCCGGCTGAGTGCCTCAGCATGGAGCTATGCTGCCTCTCAGCCTTTATGTCTGACTTCAAGTCCAGGGCTCTCTCCGCCACTCTGTGCTACCCCCACAGAACTCACCTCACTCTGGAGAGCAGATGCTTCTGCCACCTTTACCAAGACACTCCGTAGGGTTGGGGGAAGGCAGCCCTTGTCCCGGATCTTAAGACCCTAAATGCCTGCCCCACATTCTGCATGGCTGCCTTCCCTTGTTCCACCCCAGCTTGGTTCCCTGAGACAGCCCTGCCTCTGTTCCACCTCTGCCTGTGCCCTTTTGTCCAATTTGGCTCCCTGGCCCTGCCCAGGACTCTCTGCACAGATTGCTCCCCTCCTGGTGCAGGGTCTGTCTTCTCTGTGGGACCAGGGTCCCAGCACCTGCTCACAGCAGCTCACATTCCTTGAGTTGGCCTGACATCCCCCTCTGAGGTGGCTGATCCTTCAGGCCCTGTTTACCATGGCAAGTGGTCATGTGTAAGTCTCTCACTTGCTAATCTAGCTTCTCCTTCAACATCTCTTGCTAATCCAGCAGGCTGCTGCACTGTGACTTCCACACTGTCCTCTCAGCTGTGAACCTAACCCTAGCTTTCTGGGTGTGATATGGTTTGGCTGTGTCCCCACCCAAATCTTATCTTGAATTGCAGTTCCCATAATCTCCATGTGCTGTGGGAGGGAATTGAATCATGGGGCGGTAGTTACCCCCATGCTGTCTTTATGATAGCGAGTGAGTTCTCACGAGATCTGATAGTTTTAAAAGGGGCTTTCCCCCACTCCTTGCTCTGCACTTATCTCTCCTGACGCCATGTGAAGAAGGAAGTGTTTGCTTCCCCTTCCTCCATAATTGTAAGTTTCCTGAGGCCTCCCAAGCCATGCGGAACTGTGAGTCAATTCAACCTCTTTCCTTCGTAAATTACCCAGTCTCGGGCAGTTCTTTATAGCAGCATGAGAATGAACTAATACAGGATATTACTGTCTAGTTGCTCTCTTCCACCTCATTCTATCTTCTTGCCCATCCTGGCTTCCTTTCCTCTTAATTCCAGGCCCAACCCATCAGCTGGTACATGACACTCTGTTCTGCTGACCTACTGCACACCCTGCCTAGATGCCTGCAGCATCCACTGCCTCTCCTAGGTCTTTTCCTCTTGCTCACAAACATGCACAGTCCCAAAGCTTGGTGAAACCCTTGCTTAACCACGTGTCCCCCAGCACATATCTTAGGACTTTCAGAGCACTTTTTGTCCTAAATGACCCATCCACACTGTGGCCCCATCCACTCCCATGCACCCTCCTCAGTCTAGCTCTCCTCTCCTCTCCTCTCTAAGGAAACAGCTTTCTTGAAGGTTATCAGTGGCTTCCAAATTGCCAAATACACTTGCTTTTTCCAGTCCTTGGCCTTTTTGACCCTTGAAAGCATCTGACACTGTTGGCTACCCCTCTTATTTTAACCCTTGCCTTCCTGATTTCTGTGCTTTTTTGACTCTACTTTGTCTTAAGGGTAATTTACTTATTATAAGGAACAGAAACCTAATCACATTAGCTCAGAAGAGTTTTTTTTTTTTTTTTGCAATAATTCAGGGAATGCCATGGAATCCAATTGCCATTATTCTGCACTATCATTTCAATTCTCTTCCTTGGCCAATCCTTCATGCATACCAGACAATGATCTCCAAAACATTGTTTTGACATAACAGTATACCCTGCACGGAATCCTTCAGTAGCCCCCTATTTCCTAGCAAACACAATCTTCATCTATTTCTTAATTATTATTTTATTTATTTATTTTTAGAGATGAGGTCTCACTATTTTGCCCAGACTGATTTCAAACTCCTAGTCTCAAGCGATCCTCCCAACTTGGCTTCCCAAAGTGTTAGATTACAGGCATGAGCCACCATACCTGACCCAGAAAATATAAATCCTTAGTTTCATGCCACATCTTCCACAATCTTAGTTGCCCAGTACACCAAGACCATGCTTCTGTCTTTAAGTTCCCCCAATTAAACATCCTTTACCGACAATCTGTATCTGTCTACCTCATTCTTTTATTTCTCAGCTCCTTTAACATTTGGGGAATGCTTTGCATATACAGGCTTTTCACGGAACGTGTACTTTTCCAATTTGCTTTTCACTATTTTTCACTTCTGTCCAACACACACTTCTATGTTGTCCAGCTAGTCTACCCCGTATTCCCTAAACATATTTTTCTGTTCCTTGCTCACACCATTTCTTTCATAAATGCCTGACCCATATGTCTCTTACTAAAATCCTATACATCCTTCAAGTTCCAGATCAAACAAACCTTTATTAAAACTTTTACCCCAACAATTTTTGGCCCTCTGCCCTCTGAAAGCTTGGGATTGGGACCACTCCTTATTTGCTATACTAGGCTGGAGACTCTGAGCAGAGAATTACATCATATGCCATGTGCGTCCATCACAGTACCTCGCGGTGTGCCTGCCTAGAAATAGGATCCCAGAAGGGTGGAATGAAGTCAATGCCTGACTTATCTTTTTACTCTTAAAGAAGAGTGAAGCATTCATTGGCTCCTTGCCCCAACTATTCTGTCCCTAAATTGGCCTACCTCCTCAACTGAAAGAGAGATAAAGACCAACAGCTTTTTAGCTAGAAGCTTCTGGGTAGTTATAGCATGAAGGAAAGAAAGTTTGAATAGATATTTAAAGTGTTTTGTGACCAAGCAGTTAGTGATTTGCCTGAATCCACAGCAAGTGGGTGAGCTCTGGCCAGACTCTGGGATCCACTTGCTGATCTCATCGCTGCCAACTCTTAGTGTCCTCGAACCAGACCGTTTCGAGAACCTAGTGACTCAAACATTGTTCCAATTTCTGTGTTTACTTCTTTCTGGGGCTTCTGGAGGGGAATAGGGGGCCCTTGAGATGTGTCTAGAGGACACAGTGACTTGGTGGTCCCAGGGAAGCATTTGTTGTCTTCCATCAGGAGGCCCTGGTAGGTTTGTCTCCAGAATATGCAGACCCAAATGAGTCACTGTCATCTAAAACCACATCCTTATCCTTCCTGGCACTTCTCTTCCTGCATATAGGTGGATCCCAAGATGCCACTTTCACTGGCCTTGCTACTAGTTGAAAGCTACCAACCACAGGCTCCCAGCTCTTGCCTCTGGAGATGGACAGGTGACCCACCCTGAGCCAATCAGAGCTCTTTTCTGGGGTTTTTTACATGCAAACTGAGGAGAGAACACAATCTCCCCTCTGGTCCTGAAGCTGAGATGTGAGTCTGGGAATGCTGCCATAGTTGAAGTCTTGGGAAGGAGGATCATGTGAGAGAATGAGGTCCATAGGCAGAGAAAAGAATGAGAAAGAAGGAAAAGGAAGTGCTGACCACATCCTGGTTCCAGTCATCCAGAAGCCTAGCTGCACTTTTGCTGTTCCTGCAGTTTGGACATTTAAGCCAATACATTTCTCAACTAGTTCACTTGCAACCAAAGAATCCTGATTAACACAGCCTCCATCTGTCACCTGAATCCCTTCTTTGACAGTTTATGGGAATTCCTGACTCCCTGTCTTCTTCTTTTCCTAGAAACATGCATTGAGAAATGGAGTTATGGTCTTCGTCATCATCAGCAAACATGACTGAGCACTTGGTCTTTCCTGGCACTGGGCTAGGTGTGATGGGGAATAGAGCTGCATAGGATAGTCCCTGCCTTCTGTGTGCCTCTATGCTCATGAAAATATAAGAAATTCCGAGGGCATCGAGCACATGCTGAGCACAGATCTTTTTAAGAACAAGGCCGAAATCAATCAGTCTGTGTGGAGTTTTTACAGAACACAGACACCATCACTGCAGATTATTCTGACCTTTTGGTGCCAACCATCCCTTTCTTGAAAAACCATCTGCCCCTTAGGACAAAAGGTTTTTCTCTTTTTTCTTAAAGTTACCTTCTTCAGTAGAGCACTCTATTTGTGGAGTCTTCTCCACTCTGGCCAGCTCCTAAATCAGGATCAAATCTGATTTTGTTATTGTTATTTTTCCAACCTTACCCAATTTATTCCCTAGCGGAACCCTGCCCCAGATTTCTCATCACGCCCAGAACCTTCCCATTACCAAAGTCTCTATTCCTTTAAACTAATATATGGCCTCTGGATATATCCTATTCCAGGATACATTCTGTGAATCTCCTGTTTGAATGTCTTCCCATATGTTTTCTGGTCCTATTTAACTTAAATGGCTTTCAAAGAATAAAATGTGTAAAAACAAACAAAAAAAAGAGCATTACACACATTTCCAAAGAAATGATCTATTCTCAAGAGTGTGCATTCAAAATGGGAAACATTTAGATATGGTTAGAAAGGAAAGAAGAAAGAGAAAGAGGAGTAGAAAAACAGGAGTTTCTGGGATCCCTGTATTCTTATTACCCTTCCACCCTCGGGCTCTGCACAGACCTTCCCATATCCTCAGATCCAAGTACCAACACAACTAGTCCAGGCCTCCCTTGGGGAGACCTGCCTACTGTGAATTCAAATAGCCATCCTAGAGAATTCCACTGATTTATGAATAATCCTTTTTCCTACTTGCCAGAGATAAATTTTTCCTCTCCTTAGATCTGAGATGATAGGTCATCATTATCTACTTTCTTTTCTGAAAACTTAGGGGCTTAAAAACAATTTATTATTTTTCACTATTCTGCCAATCAGGAATTTGGAAAGGGCTCATCTGGATGGTTCTTCTGCTCCATGTGACATCAGCTGGTGTCACTCACTTAGCTGCATTCAGCTGTCAGTGAGCTAGGCTGGAAGATTTGAGAAGTTCTTGCTCACATATCAGATGCCTTGGTGCTCTTTCACATGGCCTCTCCATAGGGCTAGCTTTGATTTCAGAGCATGGTGGTCTTAAGGTAGCCAAATTTTGTATATGGTAACTGGCTTCCTCCAGAGACTAAGTGGAAGCTACTGGGCCCCTTGCAGGCTAGGCTCAGAACTGCTCCAACATCACTTCCACCGTCTTCTGCAATCAAGGCAAATCACAAAGCCAGCCCAAATTCAAGGGGAGGAGAAATAGACTCCATGTCTTCATGAGTGGAGTAACACATGCATACAGAGAAGAAAGGAAATGATGGTGACCATTTTTAGAGACCATCTACCACAACCTTTTTACCCCCTCACTTAGAGCACAAATGCTTTTGCTCATTTCTTAGCCTTAGATTAAATCCCTGTTTAGAGAACACTGTTGTCATTTTAAGCAACTCTTTTATCATTTTTTTTTTTTTGAGATGGAGTTTCACTCTTGTTGCCCAGGCTTGACAGCAATGGGGCGATCTTGGCTTACTGCAACATCTGCCTCCCCGGTTCATGCGATTCTTCTGCCTCAGCCTCCCAAGTAGCTGGGATTACAGGGTGTGCACCACCACGCTCAGCTAATTTTTGTATTTTTTTTAGTAGAGATGGGGTTTCACCATGTTGGCCAGGCTGGTCTTGAACTCCTGACCTCAGGTGATCCACCCACCTTGGCTTCCCAAAGTGCTGGAAGTACAGGCATGAGGCACTGCACCTGGCCCTTAAGCAGCTCTTCTCAGTTTCTTTTTCCCCCAAAGGTTATCTTGCCTTACAGTCGCCATCCTAAGACCTAAAATCTTTCATACATTTAACCTTCAGTCTCCCTGAAATACTTGCTTCAGGAAACTATGTATTCCCAAGTACTAAGCCCAAATTAATTTTTACTAAACCTTATTCTAATTTTTTGTTGTTATGATAATTATCATTTAAAATTTGTAATATACTCATACTATAAGGCTGACAATCCTGGAGACCAGGGATTGGCAATCTTTTTCAGTAAAGCGCCAAATGGAAAATATTTTCAGCTTTTGGCCATACGGTCTCTATTGCAATTAATCAACTTCAATATTTAGCAAAAGCAGCCATAGATAGTACATAAGTGAATGAGTATGTCTGCATTCCAATAAAACCATATTTACGAAAATGGAAGCAGACCATTTGGCCCACAGGCCATAGTTTGCTGATCCCTGCTTTAGACTAAGGGATAAGTTTGTCTTTCCATTTATTTTATCTAATGACCAGCTGTTTGACTTTAGAAGTCACTTTTCTCAGAAACTTTGTGTATCTATAAAATGAGAGTATCAAAGTGACCAACAATAAAATACTCCTGTGTGCCCATAGTTGTGAAAATGCAACACATTTTTAAAAACGTTTAGAGGAAATGCCCCAAGTGGCCACAAGATGGAATTATTTCTCTATGATCATATCTCAGAGTCCTGTTGATGTGTCCATGACTTCGAGACTTTCTAGGGGTCTCTCCATTTGTCTTTGTAGATCTGCAGATGCCCTTTTTCATGTGGCTCCCTTTATATGGGTAGGTGTCTTTACCTCTGTATCTATGTTTACTTAAAAGGTTTTAGGTATGCTCTGATATCATTTTCTCTGTGCTTGTCGGCTTCCTCTTCCCTTTTTGTATATTTCCTCATTTCCATTTTTGTATATTCCATGTGTCTCTGGTCTCGGTCTTGCACTCTTTGTGCATTCATACATCTCTCTCTTCTTTCTGCCCTGACTCTCTATCTTGACTATACTACTGAATAGATATATTCTTTTCACTTTTCACTTTTTTTTTTTGAAGACAGGGTCTTGCTCTGTTGCCCAGGCTGGAGTGCAGTGGCATGATCACAGCTCACCACAGTCTCGACATCCTGTGCTCAAGCAGTCCTCCCACCTCAGCCTCCTGAGTAACTGGGACTACAGGAATGCACCACCACACCCGGCTAAATTTTTTATTTTATTTTTTTGTAGAGACAGGTGTCACTATGTTGCCCAGGCTGGTCTCAACCACCTGGGCTCAAGGGATCCTCCTATCTCGGCCTCCTGAAGTGCTGGGATTACAGGCATGAGCTACCATACCCAGCCTTTTTTTTTTTTCACTTTTTAATGGAAAAAAAATTTTAATGAAAACAATTTCTCTGTTCTTAATTTTCAAACAGATAGCATATTTTCTGTATCTTTCAAATCTAAAAAATGTTTCTATTTATATATAATGAAATGTCATATGTAAATTACTTAGCACAGTTTCTGGTATATAATAGGTGCTCACATCCTTCTATCTGGCTTCCCCTTATGTGACTCCCTAAGCGATTTTTTTCACATAGGTCAAAGATTCTAAGCGAAAAGAAGTCGATCCTCCATAACTATAGCATTTGTTGTTTTCTCTCCTCCTCACCCAGGACACCAATTCTTGGTGCTGAAAGCTCTTTTTCATGACTATGTTTGTACATATATTAATATTTTGGGAATTGATGAAAGTGTAGAGTCCAAGAACAAACAAGGGATTGGTGGCCCAGTCAACCTTTTGTTCAGCTCTTTGTACCTTCCACGGGCTTCATCTCTTCCATTCACTCTGCGGTGGTTTATTAAGAGCTCACTATGGGCTGGATGATGGAGAGACAGGAGTGAACAAACCAGACACAGTCTCTGACCTCAGGAAGCTTATAGTTTACTGGAAGAGACAGGCAATAAACAAGTGAAGAAACAGGAATAGGTGCTGGATGCAGCGATGAGAATACCAATGAGGGAGATCTCTCTGAGGAGCCTCTGAAGAGGAGGCCAAGGGATGAGAAGGAGCTCACTGTAGGACCAAACAGGCGGGGAATGGTTGGAGAGTGTTCTGGGTGGTGGGAGCAATTCTGCAAGAGAGTGCTGGGTTGGGAAGCACTTGCCAGAATTCAAGGAGCTGAAAGGAGACCCTGTGGCAGAAGGAGGCCAGTGAGGTAGGGGAGCAGACCATGCGGGCTCCAAGGCCAGGAGTGATCACAGGTCTGGGTTTCATTCCCAAGCAATGGGAAGCCACCAAAGGGTTTTAGCTATGATCTGATTTATGCAGTAAAAAAGATGACTCTGGCTACAGTGTGGGGGAGTTAAATTAGGGGACGGTCAAGTGAGGCAACAGAGAAGGGTGTCTGCCCAGAGATGGTGGCAGTGGAGGAGGAAAGAAGAAAAAGGATTTGTGAAACATTTTTGGAGGTAGAAACGACAGGATGGGCCAATTAATGAGAGGCGAAGACAAAGGGGAGGGACAGCCAAGTCTGACGCAGGTTCCTGGCCTTAGTATTTGGGTGCTCCTTTGTGGGAGGGAGGGGTGGAGTGGTCAGTAGCTCCACTTTGAACATGTTCTATTGGAGGTGGCAGTGGACGTCCAAGGGGTGATGTCAGGTAGCCAGTCAGAGATATGCATCTGACCTGGGACTGGGGATTTGGGTTGGAAGTATGAATTTGGAATTGTCAGTCAGGGTAATGAACATTATCCCATAGTGAAAGGGGAGAGAAAGAAGAGAATGCCCAGGACTGGGGACTCCAACATTAAAAGGGAAGGGAGAGGAAGAAGGAATTACGGTGGGGAAAGGAGAGGAAGCCAGAGAGAGCGCAGGAAACCAGAGGAAGTTGGCCTCCTTGGCCTAGAAGAGAGAGTGCTTTCAGAGGACAGCGGTGGGGAAAAGGAAGAGAGAGAGCAGCAACTGTGCCAAATACAGCTGAGAGGCCGAGGGGGATGAGGACAGAAAAGGGCACCCTGAGATATGGCCTCATAAAAGCCACCGATGATGGTAGCAGGAAAAGCTGTGGCAGAATTGGGGTGGGAAGGTGGATGGGGGTGGGGCAAATAGGCAGCGGGAAAGTGGAGAGAGAAGTTTGGTTTTACATGGGAATAAAGAAATATACCTGCAGAGGATGAGCTACCGAGGGCGGGATGTTTGGGGACAGGAAATGCTGGAGTGTGTTTGGAAATATCAACATGATCACCAGAGAGTGAGAGATTGTGCCCCGGGTTTGTTGTTTTTCTAAATAATGATAAGAACTTCTGATTGTGTAACTCTTCACAGTTTACCAAGTGTTGTCACACACACTCTGGCACCTCGTCCTCACAGCCATCCTGTGAGGTATGCAGCAGCCCCCTGTTCCAGATGCAGAAGTCAAAGCTTAGAGGAACCGAGGGACAAGCTTGGGGTCAGACCAGGAGGTGGCAGGGCCAGGACCCCACCCCCAGGCTGCTCTCGGCAAACCCCAGGCCCCTGCCCTCCCCACAGTGGTGCTGTCCCAGTGAACTGGCACCAAAATGGGATGGCTCTCACAGCACGGGTTGGTCATGCCCTTGATGGCGTCTCTCAAGCATATTTTACAGTTGCCACTGAGCCCATCACCCCTGCCTGCTGGCCCATCCTTTAGGAAGCCATAGCTGCTTCAAAACATGGGACCTTGCCCCACTTCTTGGCTCCATTTAACTGAGCTTTGAAGCCTCCAGAATTTAGCTTTGAAGCCTCCAGAATTTCTAGAAGTGCTCAGAAATCTGACAGGTGTCAGAGAGAGAAAGTGTGTAAGCCCATGTAGCTCACACTCAGCTTCCCAGGCTTGTCAGCGTGGGGACTGCCAGCAGAGTGATAGTGGGCAAGTCATCTAACCTCTGAACCTCAGTCTCCACATCTGTGAAATGGGGTGTTAATAAGACCCATGTCCTAGGATTGTTGTGAGGACGGAATGAGACAATGGGTACAAAGCACTTAGCATAATTCTAGGCACGCAGTGGCTGCTCTGGTAAGGCTACCCATGATTATTTTTATTTATTCATTCATTCATCCACTGATTCACTCATTCTTGTATCAAACAGACATTTGTTGAGCACCTACTCTGTGCCAAGCATTGTTTCAGGCACAGCAAATGAAGAGATGCATCCACTCCACATGCTTCCTGAGCTCAAGAAGCACATGTTTTAATGAGGAAAGTGATGTTGGAACACAAACAATTCTGGCCTCACAGGAATAAGCGAGGTGCAAAATGCTGTGGGTTTCCAGAGAAGAGAAGGTCACATCCAGCAGGGGCAGTCGGGGCAGGCATTGTGGGAGGCTGGGAAGGTGGGGAAAGCATTCCCCGTGGGAGGGGACTGCTGCAGCTGAGCAAAACCACAGGAGCTGGAAAGGGCAGAGCACACTCAGGGGATGGTGAGGAAGCAAACAGGAACGTCAGCCTCAAGAAGAAGCGGGGAGGGAAGAAGACTGGTTCTCCTGGTTTTCTTGGGGGATTGTGAGAGGCTCTGAGTGTTGGTCCAGCAGACTCAGCAGAGAGCAGCCTGGGTGAAAGGAGGAAGTGGCAACTCCAGGCACTGCCCTGGCCTTGCACCATGGGGTGCCAAGAACCCAACCTAGGAGCTGTTGGTCTGGCTTTGTATCTGTAGTCCTGGGAGGCAGTGGGGACTGGGGGAGATGAGGGCCAGAGTGTCAGGATGCATCCCAAGCTACCATGTCAGTTTAGGGAAGCCTTTGTGGCGTGTGCTCACTCAGTAACTGATCGAAGAATTTGACCCAGCCTAGCAACCTTACCTCTGGAACTGGCACCTTAAAACTCTTTAAAGAAGAGAGCCGGGGCCAACTACCTTTCCGAGGTTACTACCATGGTGCAGGGACCTTGTGTGTACCCCAGCTACTCCAGATTCAGGGTAGAAGGACTGGACTCCAATATGTGAGGAGGCCATGATCCCTCACCTCTCCCTTGGAACTGGCTTCAGGGGGTGGTGAAGACATTCTAGGAGACCCAACGGGCAGGGGTGCAGGGGAAGGGTGTCAGTGCTGGGCTTCTATGGTGGCTTCTCAGCCACAGCCTGGGGCAGGGAGCACCTGCTCTGATCGTCTCATAAGGTTAGTGAGACTCACAGACCCACAGAGTCCAGGGGCTTTTAAACTCTGGCTCTGGAATCCCTTGTTCAAACAACATACTGTGGAACGTGATGCATAAAACATAGAGATGTTCTAGTTGAATGGAGCAGAGGGCCCCCAGGGCTGCCTTTTGCCACACATTTCATGACCCTCAGATTTTGTCCAACTCTTGCATTTCACAGAAGAGAAATGCAGAGCCTAGAGAGAACTGACCAGCCCAAGGCCACCAACCTCATCTCTGGCAAATGAGCCCAAGGATGAGAAAGTGCTTTGTAAAGTGTAAAGTGCTATTGAAATGTAAGACTATCATAATCTTCGCCATCTGCATCTCTGTGAAGTTCTCAGGCATTTCTCAGGGGCACTACTTTGTGGGAGGCAGCCAGGGGGAAAAATGAACAGGCCTGAGAGTGCTGGCATCATAGGCAGCACGGAAAGAACATGGGGTTTGGACCCTGAAGACACAGAGGCCCAGCGCTGCCACTAACAAGTTGTGTAACCTTGGACCTCACTTCAGTTTCCTTTTCTGGAAAAATGCTTTGCCTACCTTCCTTCTGAGATGGTGTGGGGCTCAAGTGAGACTGTGCATATGAGGGTGCTTTTAACAAGGCCAAGCACTCCACAAATACAGCCATCTTACAAGGTGCAGTAGTGATGGAAAAGCAGAAGACCCCAAGGCTTGCAAGACTCGTGTTCAGCCCTCACAGGCACTTCCTGTCCCCAAGCACTGGAGCCAGCTGCTGACAGTGCTGGAACCCAAGTACCTGTCTCTCCTGCCTAGACACGTCTCCATAGGTCATGCCACGCCCTGGACATGCAGCCCTCAGACACTCTTCATCAAGGTGTCTAAGGCATGACCTTCCATCACCGGGCGCTGACTCAGCCCCCAGGGAGCTCCATCTCTCCTTTCACACCCTATGGGTGCCCGAAGGTGCCCAGCCAGCTGCTCAGCATCCCCCAAACCTCACTGGCTTCTGCATCTTGGGATGATGCAGCGGGCCAGACTGGATTTGTTTCAGGAAAGAAAGACGTGATTTCTCTCAAAGACCTTAGAAAGCTCTTCCTGCCCTCCCTGGGTGTTACCAGCTGGGAACCCTCTGGAGGCAGTATCTGCATTTCCCTCGGGATGTGCACATTCAGGCTGAAACACAGGAAGAGGTGGGGGACCCTGTGGATGGGGTCTGTTCCATTCTTTGGGAGAACCTGGCAAGCTGGTGCTCCCAGTGGGCAGGAAGAGGCCTCAGACATTCATTTCTGTGCTGCCTGGGGTGTGACCTTGGGCACACCGACTTCCTGCAGGGCCCTTGTTTTCTCCATATGGGAGGGTGATGTGAAGAAACAGACCATGGGACACCTGAGCTTTTATGATTCAGACATGAGCTCTGAGCTTTCATTCATTCAATCAGCTAGCAAATATTTATTGAGCACCTATTGTATACTAGGCATGGTTCTAGGCACTGGGGAACAAAACAGACAAGAAGTTCTGCCTTCATGAGGCAGACATTCTAGTGGGACCAGACAGAGAAGGAAGAGGTAAATGAGAATATGGAATTGTCAGCTGTTGGTCAGAGCTGTGGGAAGAGAGCATTAGTGAGAGATAGAGAACAGGGTGGTGGTGCAGTGGCGGGGGTGGTTGCTAATTTTGGGAGCATGGGCAGGCAAGCCCTCACTGAGAAGGAACAGGGGAGCAAAGGTTTAAAGGAGATGAAGGAGGGAGCCAGCGGTGTGGATGTCTGGAGGAACAGCATCCTGGGCAGAGAACAGCAAGTGCAAAGTCCCTGAGGCAAGAAAGTGCCTGGGGCTTCAGTGCAGCGAGGAGGGAGTTGCAGGCGCAGGAGAGTGAGACAGAGTAGAGATAAGTAGTGATGCCTTTTAACCTTTTCTCTTGATTTCTTAGAAAAAGATCCAGCAGGTCTGTCTAATAACTTTAGACGTGTTCATGTTCTCCCATCTGAGATGCAAACTTCATCCTTTTGTTTAAATGCAGGGACTTTGTCGAGAGAGTTGTTCAAACCTCAACAACAAAGCCTCCTGCTCCTCCAGGGCTCATTCACACAGGGACTCAGGACTCGGGATAGTAGAAAGCACCTTGGTTCAACTCCCAGCACCTGACACTTCCTAGGCCGTGTTACCTTGGAAAGGGCATTCAGCCTCTCTGAGCCTCAGTTTCCCTGATAAACCTCATCAGTTGCCTCATCCATAAAATGGGTTACTAATACATGCCTACCTCTCTTGATTGTTAAATTTAAATTAATGAGATCATAAATGTGAAAGTGCCTTTTGCATTGAAATGGGCAAGATGAGCATCAGGAAGTTCTTTGTTTTCTTCAGTGAAGCCTGTGGGAACGGGCTGTCCATGGCTCCCACTCCCCTCTGCCACCCTGCTGCTTATATGGTGTCCCACATGGCCCCTGCTGACTCTCACTGCGCCCGGGCGCAAAATCTGATTCAGGGACACTCATCCAACACTCAGGGTTCCATGAGGCAAGGCTGGCCGTGTTCCCTGGGAACACTCCAGGTCTGACTTGCCCCATGGCGTGTCCGGGAGGACTCCCAGCCCGTTGCTCTGGTTGGATGGGACTGGGTGGGCCCAGCGGCTCCTCCCCAGCATCCCCTCCCCATTCCTCCTCCAGGTACAATGGACCCAACCTGGTTCTGAAGTATGACCGGGCCCAGAAGCGGCTGGTGAACATCGCGGTCGATGAGCGCAGCTCACCCTACTACGCGCTGCGGGACCGGCAGGGGAACGCCATCGGGGTCACAGCCTGCGACATCGACGGGGACGGCCGGGAGGAGATCTACTTCCTCAACACCAATAATGCCTTCTCGGGTAAGGGCTGGGGCTCAGGCCTCTTCCTGCTTCCCATCTTCTCCCTCCCAGTAGCAACTTGGGGAGGGCCATGGGAACCCTGGCCCTTCCTCAGGCAACTGTCATTGTCCCCCTAGGCACTGCCCCCTGCTGCCACAGGACCTCCCTGGGTCCCAGAATGACTTATTCTTCTCTTGCGTGTGAGCCTGTAGGTCTCATCTCCTGAAACCCGAACCTGGAGATGGACAGGGTGAGCAGAGACCGAGTCTCTCCCTCAGACTGTGTGTCCCCACCACCGCCTCCTAATGTGAGCCCTCCTGACCCCTCCTCTCCTCTCCAGCCCCACTGCCCTGCCCTGGCTCAAGCATGCATCACTCTCACCTGGGTTATGCCGTGATCGGAAGATGCCACTAGAATCAGCCTCCATGCTAGCTGTAGAGGACCTTTCTAAAATGTTCTGAAATCCTTCAGGAGCCCCCCACTACTCTCAGCTGAGCTCACTTGTTCACTCCCCAAATTCTTGCTAAGCACCTACACTATGCCAGCCTAGAGATGCTGAGGACACAACCGTGAGGAAGACAGACCTTGAGTTCGTGGAGCCTTTTCTTGCAGGAGCTTCCCGAACTGAAGTGTGCATCCGAATCCCCTAGAGGTCTTGTGCAAATGCAGACTGACTCAGCAGGTCTGGGTGGGGCCAAGACCCTGCACTTCTGACCCGCTCCCAGGCTATGATGATGATGCCTCTGGGTCAGGGACCACACTTTGAGTAACAAGGTCCTGCACACTAAGGAATGGATGACGGAAATTGATGCCCAGAAGGCTAAATGACAGTGACAATAATAACAGTTAATACTTAAGTAGCACCTATTGCGTGTCAGACCCTGATCTAAACATTTACATTAATTATCTCATTTAGGCCTCACACACCTCGATTAGTAGGTACTGGTAAATGCCACTGTACAATTGAGGAAACTGAGCCACAAAGAGGTTACCTGACTTGCCCAAGGCCATGCAGCTTGTAAGTCCCAGGATTCAAACCCAGGTGTCTGACTCCAGATCCATCCTCTTAATCAAGATGCTCTACGGCTTTCCTCAACCCTATGTCCTCACTGCCTCTTGGAGAGCCTAGCTTGCAGTTGTTGCTCAGTGTCTCATGATTTGGGGGCTGTGCTCTTGTGGCAGTAGATCAAGGTGGTTTCCCCGCCGCGCCCGCCGCTCCCCCCCACCCACGCCCCCTCCACCGCGATGCTTGCATTTTCTTAGGCTCAGCTCTCAGGATCTCAGCCCAGGCCTGTGGGGCTGTAACATCTCTGCGGAAGTCCCAGGTCACAGTGTCCCTAGGTGAGGGACACTGTGAGGGATGTAGGGCCCTGTGTCCCTGTGGGGCTAGGTTGAATGTGCAGTGGGCTCCTCCAGAAGGCAGCCCTCTTTTGGGTCAGCTTTGGATGAAGCCCTGGGGTTCAGACTTGAGCAGTCATCATCCTGGACCTCCCAACCTCCTGGAGGCCGGTGACTGCCTGGCTATGAGGACCACCTTCCTTGTGCTCCGCTCCCCACCCTGACACATATACACTGGCTTTCCCCTGAGCCACGACATTACCATTACTGGTTGTTGAGCCCAAACCAGGATCCAGCCCCTAGACTGCCCCTGATGTTGAGTCCTGCAGTTGCATAAACGGGAGGGGAAGAGGTTGGGGCTTATGCCAGGGGCAGGGGCAGGCAGTGCTGTCTGGCTGGCAGCCAGCCTTGTGTAGCCAAGAAACAATGAGCCACAGCCCTGAGTGGTGTTTTATGGGTTTTCATCTCATCTTGCCACCAAGTGAGGCCTGAGAGATAGTAATTATCCCTACACAAATATCAGGGCATGATTATGCAGCTGGATTTACTGCCCTCTCTCCAGCCAAGCCAAGATTGGATTAGGACACAATTAATTGATGGGCTGATCAACTCTTTAACGTTGGACAAGGTCAGAAAGGGATCAGCGTCAAGGGATGCCTATAGAAGGGGTGAGTCCCCAGGAAGTCTCCTGGAAGCTGGAGCGAGGAGAACTTTGGAAGTTTGGGCTCAGCAGGCAGATGCCAGAGGAAGGGGACAGACCATCCCCTATTCACCAAGCACAGAGCATCTGCAGTGGCAGCCACCAGGTATCTATCTCTGAAGCAGCAGCCCCTCCCACGCTCTTAGAGTGTTGCATTGTGAATCCCAGAGCCCTGGTTCCCTGCCCAGGCTGCACATTAGGGTCACCTGGGGAGCTTTCAACAATCCCAGCTAAGCTGCACTCCAGTCAATCCCATCAGAACCTCTAGGAGGGGGACCCAGTCACCAGATGGTAAAGACCTCCAGGCGATTCCTGCATACACCAAGGTGGAAGGCCACTATCTCAGAATCATGCTAGTTTCATGCTCAGCCCCACAACAACCCTACTCATTTATTAATGCATTCATCCATTGGACAAATATTTACTGAGCACCTACTATTCTAGGGACTGAGGATGCTTCAGTGAACAAAACACAAAAATCCTGCCCTCGTGAAGTTCACACTCTATCCTCAACACGGCCTTGTGTTTCTCCGGGTATCTGAGTCCCCTCTCCCAATCCTCTGCCTGGACTCTAAGCTCCTTGAAGGCAAAGCCTTGTACGTTCATGTTGTGGCCCCCTTTGGCCCCAGCCAGACATTGCATATCCTAAGAGCTAAGTTAAAATTTGATAAATAAATCCCAGGAAGAACAGGTGGGCATGAGCTGTTGGGCCTGAGAGGAGGTTTGCCAACTGAGGGAAGTCAAGAAAGGCAGACACGGTGAAGGCGCCAGAAGGGCCCTGGGCTCATGAGATCGAGGGCATAAGTGTGCACTGGGAGAGGCCGGAGCCGGCCTCCAGGGTGGGGGTGAGGCAACAGTGCCCAGCAGCCTCAGTGCTGTTGACCTTGTGTGGGTTTGAGGGATGTCTGTCGGTTTTAGTTAATTTTTCAGTTGAGTGATCCCATTGGTTAATCGACAGTGGGCGGGGTGTGGAGCAGGGACATTGTGCCATGTCAGCACTTCCTTGGGCCCAGCTGGCATGGCACTTGGCCATTGCCACCCTTCCCACTCTCCAGGGGTCCCAACCAGCCCAGGCATGCCCATGGCATTTGGCTGTGCCCATGGCATGTGCCAGTGTGTTAGAGCGACCTGTGGAAGCATGGTCCCACTCTCCTCCCTTGGCCAGCCTTTGGGATGCTAGCGTTGGAGTTCCTGGAAGAGGGCAAGCACCCTGCATCCCAACAACATCCTGTGGGAGTCATTTTGTACAAACCTGGGGTCTGCCCCTTATTTACTGTGTGACCTTGGACAAGTTACTTGACCTCTCTCAGCCTCAACTCCCTCATCTAAAATCATGCCAACTTCTTAAGCTCAACTCCCACTAGTGGCGCCATAGACTATATCCAAAGCCCTTCCCATCGCTTACAGCACCCCTCCTATGTGACCCGGGTTGCCTTTCTGACCTTCTTTCCTCCATCCTTCCTCTCACTCACTGCCTTCCCACCTGAGGCCTTCGTACTTGCTGTTCCCTCTGCCTGAAATGCTTTTCCCACTGATGTTCTCCAGGCTCACTCCTTCATTCAGGCCCCTCCTCCAGTGAGATCTTTCCTGAGCCCCGTATCTAAAATTGTACCCCCATTACCCCCTGTGCCCTTAACTGGCTTTATTTTCCTTCACAGTGCTGACCACTATCTGAAAACAGGCGATTTTTGTTTGTTGTCCATCTCTCCTACTAGGGTCTTAGTTCCATGGGGGTGCCTTTTTCACTGCCGTACTCCAGATCCAAAGGAGTGACTGTCACTTAGTAAGCATTAAATACGTATTTTTGAATGAACACCTGAGATAACGAATGAAAGCACTTATTACAGTGCCCAGGACTTTATAAGCCCTCCACACAATAGCCGTTCTAGTCCTGTGGCTCTGAAGAAAGCCAGAGCCTCTCAAAGTGTCGTGGGCAGAGGTCCACAGGCCTTCCTCCTGGCCTGTGGGAAAGAGAAACCGTGGGAGCAAAGAGAAAAGGACCGCATTGTAACACTGTGCAGATGGGGGGCCCAGTGAGTCTGGGTCAAGGGCTGAGAATTGGTAAGCGGGTAAGGGAAAGGAGAAGGAGGAAGACTGACCACCATCCCAGGAGGGCCTGGGCCAGGAAACTGGCTTATGGCTTCAGCAACCTAGAAAAATACAAGCCACTGAGTAGCATCTCAGGCAACACTACTCAGTGAAACCAGGTAGGAGAGTGTGCAGGACGCAGGGGGACAAGAGACAGGTGCTGACACCTCCCTCCACATCCAGGAACCTAGGATGTTCTGCAGCTCCTGGTCAAAGCCCATCCCCTGGGGGGGGTCACACACTAGCTCACCCCAGCTGCTTCACTGAATAGCCCTGAGCACTCCCGCCCGCATGAGCTGGCCTGGGGTAACAAACAGGAGCATGGGTAGTGGATGGGTCAGTGTGAACTGTGAGCCCCACCACTACCGTACTTTCATGCATTCAGTTCCACAAAATGATTGAAGAGCTGCTATGTGCAGAGCACTGCTCTAATAATTTATGTGTCTCCCTCCTTTCTACACAAACAGCATGCCCAACTCATGGTTCCACTCTTTGCTCTTTTCATTTAACAATGCATTTTGGATTTGATTTCATGGCAGTACACAGAGAGCTTTCTCATTCATTTTATGGTTGTATAGTACTCCACTGTGCCATTAATTTAATTGGTCCTCTATTGATGAAAGATTACTTGCAGTCTTTTGCCTTTTGCCCTCACAAAACGTGCTACCAAATGAATAAGTTTGTACAACATGCTATTTCCCACAATTGCAGGCATATTTGTGAGTTCATAGAAATAGAATTACTGTCTCAAATGAATATACATGTGTAGTTTTCATAGCCACTGCCAGATTGTCCTTCCTAGGGCCACTGCTCAGGAAGTTCGTGTCGACCAAATATGCAAGCAAGCACTTTCCGACACTCCCAACAAATATTTCATCTATTTTTACAGTATTTGCTAATCTGATGGGGAAAAATTATATCTAAGTGCAGTTTTAATTTTCACTTTTGTTAAAATGAAGGAGACTGAGAATATTTTTATATATTTGAATTTCTTATCTGCTCATAGCCTCTGCCTATTTTTGTATTGATTATTGGTCTTTTCCTTATTGAGTTGTAACAGCTCTTTATAAATTAGGGAATTAGCCCTTTGTCTATAGGACAAGTTTAAAATACTTTTCCCTTGTTTGTCATTTTTTTTTTTTGTCTTTGCTCTTGGTGGATGTTGTAATGTGGAAAATTTTCCTTTTTATGGACTTGGATTTATCACTCTTTTCTTTTTTGGGCTCTGTGTCATACTTAAAGAGGTCTTCAGCAGAGGCTCTTGTAACTTCTTATAGAGGAGAGGGAGCGTCAGTCACCACGCTAGAGAGAAGGGTATTTGGATGGGTGGTACTTCCAGCCTCTTCTGCCCTCACAGCAGAGGAGCTGACTGCTTTTGAGAGAAGCACCCCTGGTCGGGCAGCTCCTCCACCTAGTCCAGTTCCAACTGTACCCAGATATTCTGCACCTCACTACTCCAAGTCTGATGCATGGGCCAGAAGCATGGGAATCAGCGGGGTGCTCTTAAAAATGCAGACTGTTAGGCCCCACACCAGACCTCCAAAACCAGAATCTGTATTTAATCTCCAGGAGCTTCCTGAACCCAGCAAAGTCTGAGATGTATGGCCCTATGGCTCCACCCTCTTTTCCTAGGATTCTCTAGGTCCTAAAATGGATTCTGGGGTCTCCTGATCCCCCAGCCAGATTTCACTTGGATGCAAAGTCCTGACTTGCAGCTCTCCCAGCATGGGCCAAAGCAGCATAATATGGAATATGGGGCCCCAGAGGCCATCCCCATGGTCCTAACAAGGAACAAGCTTCCTTAGGAACTGGGACTGCCTCCTACGAGCAACCTCAGCTCTTTAATAACATGAGAGGGGGATCTGCAACAGACAGACCACCTCACAACAGCTGTGCAACCTTAGGCAAATGACCTAAGCCTCTGAGCCCCTGTTTCTTTCTGTGAAATGAAGACTCTGCCTTCCTGGCACTGCTACAGAGAGCACTGAAGGAGCTGATGTGGGCAAAGTGCCTGGCGGGAGCTGATCGGGTTTCCCTCTTAACCTTGGGATGAGGGAAGGAAGGCTGGGGTCAGCATTTACATCAGGGACCCAGCACAGCCTGGGCTCCTCTTTTAAAATGTCCTTTGCCTGAATGAGTTCTTTCTTCCCCTGGAGCCATCACTGTCTTGCTGGTTTTCCATTGACGAAGTCTTATAAAGCCTTTTATACTTAACATCACAGTTGCCTCCTGAGTTGAGGATCTGCTGTGGTCATGTGCTGTGATTTCCTGGATGATGGTGGTGATGGTGACGGTGTTGTTATTATTTATTTAACTTATCATGTGCCAGGTATTGTTCTCAGCACTTTACATACATTATCTAATTTAACCCTCACAACAACCTGACGAATAGGTGGCCATTCTCATTCCATTTTACAGATCAGGAAAACACAAGTTCATGAGTTGCCCAAGATCCACCTAGAGGGAGGGTTGCTGGCTACTTCCCCAGCCCTGCTGTTTGCCTGATGAATGAGGTTGGAGGCTGAGGCCTCTGCCTTGCCACACAAACCTGCCCACCCTTCTCTCTACCACCAATACCAGACCATGAGTCAGGACATCTCCCAGGTGGGGAAAGCCTCCTGGGGAGGAGGCATTCTGATCCAGTGATCCTTTGGAAGAGTTCTTTATGACACAACCTCATGCTCCCAGTGGCTCTAGGTGCCCTCTTGTTCCCCTTTTCTAGTCTTCTGATGCCTCCATCTCTGTCCCAAATGTGGCTTCTCCCTGGGACTCAAGGGACCCTGTTTATGGCCTGGTCTTTCCCTTCTCCCTAGCTCCAGACTCTATTCTGTAAGCAGTCATGCCTCTTGGCCAGTGACCTCTTGGCCACCCCATGGTCACTTTAAATGCAAACTGTCTGAAGTCAGGCTCTTGCTCACCCCCAGTAAGCTCAGTGTCCCTGCTTGGGTCACTGTTTCCACATTTTGGACAGCTCCCTCACTCTGCCGGCCACACTCAGCCAACCCCTCCTGCACCGGTGCTTCTTCCCCATCCCGATCAAGCCTGAGCTCCTAAAATAGTGGCCACTCGCTGCATTTTCTCCTTTGCTGGCGCATTCACCCTTCACTCCACTGCCAACTTAATCTTCCGGAAACACTGTCTTCCCCTGACTTTCCCCAGATCAGAAGCCACCAATGGCCCCTTTGCCCTCAGTCCTGGAATTACTGGGTCTCCCCTGCCCTGCCATGCTTTGCCTCCTCCACCTGCACAAACCCCCCTCCCTGGGCAAACTCAATGTCCCCTCTGTGCCTTTTTCTCGCCATCCTGCCTAAACTGTAGAGTGCATTGCTGTTGTTACTCTGACCCTTCCAGTCCCAGTTCAGTTGCCTCCTCCCTCATGAAGCCCTCCCTGATCACAGCGACTCTTCCATCCTGATTTCAAGGCATCTCCCAGACATACTGTCTGGTTCTGCCCTGCTGGGCTCTGCCAGTTGTGGGATCTTAGGCAAGTCCCCTTCTTTCTCATGCCCCAGGCGCTTCATACGTAAAGGGGTCATGAAAATAGTACCCACCTCGAGGGGTTTTGGTGAGGGTTAATGAGAATATACGTGAATTGCCTGGTACCTGGCAAGTGCTATAGACGTGGCAGTATCATTCATTTCATGGCTGTCTCTTGGTATCTCCTTTACCTGTCCCTGGTGTTGTGGATGGACTCTAAAAGCCCCTAGTCAGGGACCAAGGCGTACTTCCCCCAGCCTCCAACGGCATCTGGTGTAGCACCTGGCCCCCTGCAGGGCATGGTGGGCACCTGAGCCTCACCTGCAGACCCTTCCCTCTGGCCTCCTGGCAGCAAATGGTGGTTCTACTGGACTGGACTCTGAGACCTTCAAGTCTCCTTTAATGCCAAGATGCCAGAATCAGGGTGGAAATGGGAATCACTAGACTTGCCCCTCGTAAGGGCTGTGGCTCCATGGCCCCCTGCCCTGCCCCAAATGCTCTCCTGTTTCTCCCACGCCTCTACCTTCTCAGTGTCTTTCCCCAGGGGACTCAAGAGAATACCTCTCTCCTGCTCCTAACAGTCTCACCTCTTCCCGAGCAGCTGCCCCCACCCTCTCATGAGGGACCCCAGGGCAGAGTGCAGCTTTTATGCAGCTACAAGGAGCCAGAAGGCAGGACTGCATGCTGACATGGGCCAGGGGCCAGTGCTGGGTGTTTATTGCCTGTGCCATCGACCCGCACAGCTCGCTGTTTATCTGTCTTCCTGACACACCTAATTACCCAGATTGCAGCTGCCAGAGCGTTTGCTCTTCCTAAATCACGGGCTCCCATCTCTCCCGTCGCCCAGGCCTCCGGGCCTCTGCCTGCAGAAGGGCTGCCATTGATTTTGCCGTTCCCATTTATGATCTACAAGGCTCTGCATGGCTGTTGCACATTTTACCTTAATTAGTTTATTCTTCTGGGCATCCCTGGTGAGCTCGGGAGCCAGGAGGCTGAAGAGGGGGAGAGGCCAACAGCACAGGCGCCCTAACACCTCCAGCTGAAAAGCTCTGAGCCTGACCAGACATCAGCAGCTTAGGATGGCACCTTGCTAAGGACAGCACCAGTTACGCAGGGTGCTAAGAGGTGGTCTACAAAAAGGAGTTCCATGGCCAAGGAACATTTGGGAAAGGCTGGGTTAAATAAAATTAAACAGGTAATTCATTGCAGGACTTTCTGAAGTTCTAACAGATCAATGTCCAGGGGGAATCTCCAAGAGGTGGGTGAGTGTGCGTTCTTTCCCAAGCTCACATGATCACAGAGTCCTTTCTCCAGGCACCTCGTAGAGATCAGAGTCCCACAAAGCACTCTTTGGGAAATGTTGCTCGGGATGGACAGGAGGAACTGGAGGTGAGAAGGCAAACAGAGGGGGACAGAGTCACCCTAGACCTAGTTTCTCCTCTAGATAGCTAACGCAGGAACTCTGCAGCTTGAGAAATTTCTCTCACTGAATCCAGAGGTGTCCATCAGAGCTCTGCAGAACCCCAGCTGCCACACCCATTTTCTCCCCGACTCCATGCTGGCCCAGGCTTCAGTGGAGTGTGACCCAGGCATCTCAGGGATGAAGCTAGCTGGAAGTACAGCATCTAAAGGGGCCATGGTTGGGCAGAGATGGGCAAGGGCTGCTTGCTGATGGTGAAGGCTGGAGACCCAGAAGCCTGCAGAGACCATCCTCAGAGGCTCCCAGGCATCTGGAAGCAATAGCAAGCCTGCCACTGCCTCCAGGACAGCCATGATGATGGCGGCCTAAGTCCAAGTCCCTTCTCGAGAGCCCTGAAATCCAGAACCCTCTGAACACTTCAAGTGCATTTTTTAAGTTTTGTGGGAAATTCAATTGATAGCAAAACCTGTCCTGGGCTAATCTGAGCTATTTATAGGCTTTATTTATCCTACTTAGGGTGAATATTCATATAATTCACTGCAGAAATATTAATGTGTTTAATTACTGGGTGCTGCCTCCATCCCTGCTGGGGGTGTTATGTAATAAACCCCCATCCCTGCTGGGGGTGTTATGTGTGCACTGTGTTACCTTTCCAAAGTCTGAAGGAAAAATATGCAAATTCCTGAACACATTTGACTCCCAGGAATTTTGAGGAGGGGCTGTGGACCTGGGGTCTCAAAGCTGCTGCCGAACTCTCTCCAAGTGCATTTCTCGTGTAATTCCCACAACGACGCTGAGAGGGAGGCAGAGCTGTTATCCACAACTTTTAGATGAGGAAACCAAGACCTGGGGCCTCGCAGCTAACAAGCCTCAGATGTGGGATGCGACTCCGGCCGACTGGGTCGGGGCCCTGTGCTTTTCTCAGGGTGACCCGCAACTCAGTTTCCCCCCTGTGCATCCAGGCCACAGCAGCTCAGCGCAGGTCCCTTCTGGGCTCCACAGAAACAGGCCTGTGCTGAAGCCTCCACCTACAACCCCTGCAGGCCTCCTGGGTCTGCCTCCACTCAGCGGAAGGGACTTTTCCTCCTCCCTGGGTCAGGCTTCTCCGGACAGCAGGCAGGGAGAGAGGGTGCCGGTTCCCTGCTGTCGGGTGAGGACCCTTGAGGCCAACTCCAGACCTCACAGATGATGCTTCTGCTCCTGTGGGTCCTGTGGTCTCAAGGGGTCCCAACGTGAGGCCCCCTCAGAGACCAACCCTTTTGTCCTCTCCTGGGTGGAGCCACCTGAGGGGTCAAGGGGTCACTTACACACGCTTCTTACCTATGCACACTCCCACAAGTACTCACGCTCATCCGCTCACTTCCACACACACACTTGACTGTTCTCGCGCACTCTACGCTCACACTCACTCTCAGTCATGCCCACACTCATTCTCACTCACCCTCCCCTCACACTCACTCATCCCCCCACACACTCACTCTCACCCACCCCCCTCTCACACTCTGACTCATGCCCACACTCATTCTCACTCACCCTCCCCTCACACTCACTCTCACTCATCCCCGCTCTCACACTCTCATCCCCACTCTCACACTCACTCTCACTCATCCCCTCTCAACACTCACTCTGACTCCTTCCCACACTCACTCTCACTGATGCCCACATTCTCACTCACTCATGCCCACTCTCTCACACTCACTCGTTCTTGTCCACTCTCATTCTCTGACACACTCTTACTCTCGTGTACTCACCACACACCCTCACTCACACACCCACTCTCATGCTGACACACACTCATTCTCAGCCATTGTCTCACTCTCACACCTACCACTCATTCTCATGCTTACACTTTTTCTCACGCACTTGCTTTCACATACTCATACCCTTTTCTTTTTTTGAGACAGGGTATTGTTCTGTCACCCAGGCTGGAGTGCAGTGGCACAATCACAGCTCACTGCAGCCTCTACCTCCTGGGCTCAGGTGAGCCTCCTGCTTCAGCCTCCTGAGTAGCTGGGACTACAGGCATGTGCCACCACACCTGGCTAATTTTTGAGGGGGAGGGTTTGTAAAGATGGGGTCTTGCTATGTTGCCTGGCTGGTCTAGAACTCCTGGGCTCAAGTGATCTGCCCGCCTTGGCCTCCCACAGTACTGGGATTACTGGCATGAGCCACTGTGCCCAGCCCACTCACACACTCTTACTCTCACTCATGCTGGCTCTTACTCCTGCATACTCTCACTCATTCACACATCCACACACACATTCACTCTCACAATGCTCACTCTCGCTCATGCTCACACTCACATACTTCCCACCCTCACACACACCCACTCACAGAATCACTGGTTTTCACCAAACCCCTGCAGTGCAGGGCTGATGTCTCTAAAGAACCTTGGAAAGTAGTTCATCTATAACATGAGAAAAATCATTCCTGTCGAAAAATAGCTACCACTTTGGTGGGGGGACCATCCCAAACCTTTAATGTGCATCATCTCATTTATTCCTCACAGTAAACTTGACTGTAACTACTGTCATCCCCACTCACAAGTAGGAAAACCGAGGCTCAGAGATGCTGGGCAGCATGCCTCGAGTCTGGAGCCTAGAAGTAGAATCCAAGCAGAACCAACACTGGGGCTCCAGATCATTTCCATCACCCTGAGCTCTTGGCCCCTGGGCCCCTGTGCCATGCTGTCTCTCCTCAGTCTAAGCCTGCTGCCTCTTCCCTGGCCCAGACAGTCAAGTTCAGGGTTCTGTCCCCAAGTCCACTCTTCCTCAACCTCACCTTCCCCAATTCCTTCAGCTGCTCCTCTCCCTGTGTTTCCTGTCCAGCCCAGGGGGTAGAACGAGGACCCCCCTAAACTACGAACATTCGGGGTCTTGCATTAACAAGAAATTAACTAAGGATGATGGCGGAGGAGAGACCTCTGCCTTTCAAGTGGTCACTTGAATGGGCTTGAGACCTCAGCAACCAGCAGTTATTCCCTCTTCTCCAGAACAAGGCTTCTTAGTCACGAACGAGCTCCAGAAGGCCACAGACCTGAAATGATGTATGGCATGTTGTGTGGTGTGCAGACCTGCAACTCCCTGAGCTGAAGGTCCTTCACCTCCCTCCAATTCTCAAAGGGGCCAGTAATCCAAAAGAGGTGAAAACCACTGCCTTCTGGGGCTCCCCAGTCCTGGGACCAGGGGCCTCCCAGGGCTGCCCAAACTCATCACACCCCAGGCAGAACAACCCCTCATTTCTCACCCCATCAGAGCTCAACTTCCAGCCCCTTCCTCAGGGTGGACTGAGACCTACCCATGAACCAGAACCATTTCTTCTGAGACCCAAATCAGGTAGGTCCTGCGATCCAGTAGAGAATGTAGGGACAGCGCCTGGAGAAAGAGCCATCCTGGGTTGAGTTTGGATGTTGCCGTATTGCAGTCCCAGGAGCTCCTTGATGCTGTTGCAGGAGCACGGGGCAGGGCATGAAATCCAGCTGCTGAGGGTCATCTTGGGCACACTGCAGCAGTGGCACTTCCTCCCTAGTTCCTGAGGCCTGGGCCAGCCATCTTCATGAGGCTCAGAGTCTCTTCCCTCAACTGGAAACATGTGAGTGCTCCCCAAACACAGAGGAGTCTCACCTGCTTGAGGTCTTCCTTGCCGCAGATGACCCAACCTCCTCTGGTCCCAACCACCTTGTGAAAGGTGCCATGAGACATACCCAGAGATCAGAACCAAGACCCTGATCCACTGTCCACCAGCCCTCCCTTTCCTCCTCTCTCCAGGGGTGGCCACGTACACCGACAAGTTGTTCAAGTTCCGCAATAACCGGTGGGAAGACATCCTGAGCGATGAGGTCAACGTGGCCCGTGGTGTGGCCAGCCTCTTTGCCGGACGCTCTGTGGCCTGTGTGGACAGAAAGGTGAGTGCAGGGGCACATGGGGTCCTGGGGAGAAGCCACATGAGAGCCAGGAGAGGAGCCACTGTGTAGACGTCCCCTGACAGAGTGGCGTCTCCCGCGGTGTCTTGGATAGATTGGGTGCTAAATACCAACAACTAAGACTTGCAGAATGCATTCCTATGTACCTTTCACATCCTGTCTCCCATGCAGCCCTCCCAGAAACCAGTGAGGAAGCCAGCCAAGGGATCATTGTGTCCTCGGGACACTTGTGGGGATGGAAGCCTAGCTTGGAGCAGTGACTTGCATGGGAGCCCAAAGCAGATGAGTGGTGTGGCTAGGACATGAACCCACCTCTTCTAGCTCTAAATCCTGCCTGTATTCATTCACTCAACTAACATTTATTAAGTGCCTCCTGTGTGCCAGGCACTGAGCCGTGGGGCCCTTCATAAATATTTACGGAATAAATGAAGGCACAATGGAGGGGTTCCTAGATGGGTGAAGGGAGGGTTGCCTCAATATACGAGTACTTTAGTTCATCAATAGCTCCTCCAACGTTTTCATGCTCTGCAAGTGCACCCTACACAGAGGTGCCCCACCCAAACTGGATGGGGAGGAAAGACGGAGTGGGAAGGGGCATGAGCCACTGCAGCCATCTGCCCGGTGAGGGGGCAGCCGCCCACCCAGGCTTAGGTCCCAGCAGGCCTCGCCAGAGCCAGCAGCTTGCTGCAAAGGTGATTTATCCCTCCTGTCACCTGCTCCCCTGCCACCCACCTCCTTGGCTTTGTAAACAGTCATCACTAAATCAGGGGCCCAGCTGCTGCCCGGCTGCCACAGGAGTGTCTATGGCCCCCATTCTGGGGGCAGGGGCAAGAGGTTTGGCTCACTTTGGGATTGAGATGGCACCGAGGGGATTGGGGATTCAGTGTGAATCTTTACAGCAGGGGCCTCCAGGCCTTGGGAGAAGGCAGGTGCCAGGTATAAATATTTATTTCTTAACAAGCTGGCGCTGGGAAGAGAAGCCAAGCTGGGCTGTGAAGCCACATTTAGCCTGACCTGAATCTGTGCCACCTGGACTCCTGCCTGGTGGGAGTAGATGGGAAGGCAGCTCTGTGAACAGCCCCAGAGTGTGGGGTGGAGCTGGGGGGTGCCAGACCTGGTCACGGTTAGGGGCCTCTTCCCAGCCTCCTCCCGGTTTCCCATCTCACCCGTTCAGGACCAAGGCTTTTGACACTCAGCTAACGTGGGCAACTTCTCAGAGAACTGGGGGGAGAGGCATGCAGGTTAATCACAAAGAGATGCACTCTGTCCTAACAAGGTCATCTGCACACCCACGCATTTAACCACAGGACAAAGGCACTATGTGAAATGAAAAAAAAAAAAAAAGATGACCTGGCACTGCAGCACAGGAGGCAGGCGTCCAGAAGCTTGCTCACACCCTGCTTAGCCCCTGACTTCAGTCTCCCAGGCCTCAGAGAACTAGAAAGAAGCCCTATGGTCAGTCTGCCAGCAGAGGAGGGTTGCTTTCTGAGTCCAGCCACCACCTTGGCCATCCCTGGGGCCTGAGGACTGCCAGGGGAGGAATGGAGAGAGGCCAAGGGCAGCCTGGAAGTTGACAGAGAGGAATGCAGCATGGTGCAGGAAAACACGAGAGCAAGGACAACAGTAACAGCCAACACCTCTTACACTAGGGACATGCCGAGCCTTATGCTGCATGCTTTAGCTGCCTCGTCCTACTGAATCCTCATAAGACACCAATGAGGTAGATGCTGTCACTATCCGATTTGACAGATATGGAAACTCAGGTTTTGAGAAATTAGGCAACTTGACCTTGATCACACATGAGGCAACAGGCAAAGCCAGGAATTGAACCTTGCCTGCCTGAAAATGAAGATGCCTTTTTACCTTCCGCCTCCCTGCCCCTGGGTGAAATGATAGCAGACACAAGTTTCTAACTTTATTATAGCACTCACCCTAGTCATCCTTCCATAGCCCCATAGCCCCTACCTGGGGCAGGGCCTTTTAATCTAGCTACCTGGTCAGTGGATCTCAGTGTAGCCTCTGGGCCAGCAGCAGCAGCATTGCTAGAAATGCACATTCTCAGGCCCCGCCCCACTCCACCCTCCAGACAGACTGAATCAGAAACTCCAGGGGTGGGGCCAGCAATCTGAGGTTCAGTTAGCCCTGCAGGTGACTCCAATGCATGCTGAAGTATGAGACCTTTTGCTCCATAAATGCCTCAGCCCCGCCCCCACTCTGCCATGTGCTGTTCTCTCTCTCTCCCCTTCCACCCCTCACTCATTCTCTGCTCCAAACCCGGAACATCCACTTGTCCTTTCTCACCAGTTGCCTCATCACTCACCCACCTTTCTGGATCCAGCTCAAAGCTGATCTCTTACAAGAACGTCCTCTGATCAATAATGATTATGCCTCATTGTTTATATAGCATTTTTATCTTTTCAAAGACTTTTCACATACATTGTCTCATTTCATCTTCTCAAGAACCCTGCAAGGAAGCAGGGGGAGTATGATCTCCATTTAACATCTGAGGAGATGCAGCCTGGAGGCAGCCAGGGATTTGCCCGAGGACGAGGAGCAGTTAGGGGCAGGCCCTAGACTAGGACCCGGGCTAATGGCCCTGGACCAGTGGTTCTCAAAAGTGTGGTTCCCAGACCAGCAGTGTCAGCATCATCTGGGAACTCGTTAGAAATGCAGATTCTCATGGCTCACGCCAGACCTGTTGGTCAGAAACTCAGGGGATGGGGCCAGATGTTTAAAAAAAAAATCTGTGTTTTAACAAGCCCCCCAGGTGATTCTGATATAGGTTAAAGTGTGGGAACCACTGCATTGGCCCCAAAGCTGCAGAAACATCTTCCTTCCCTTGGAATCATCTCACCCTCCCAGAATTACCATGGTCAAGTTCACATATGAATTTCTGCAGTCTTCTACAACCGTAACACATCTGCGTTTGTCAGTTTATACCCCCGAAAAATCAAAGTAAGGAACTAGGTATAACTGAATTTTGTAAATATCCTAATTTCTAGCAGAGTGAATTTCAGTCCATTGAACTTATTGCTCATTTGTTGATGAGATTGCTGCCAGCTGGTAGGGTCGGGAAGGGTTTGTGATGGCGCACTTTCCTCTTTGGCCCCTTCATTCACTTTTCATCCAGTCATTCTGCACAGCCTAGGATGGCTGAGAACTTCTCAAAGTTCTCCCCTAATCAAGAAGCCATGTTAGGCCAGGTGTGGTGGCTCAAACCCTTAACCAGCACTTTGGGCATCCAAATGGGGAGGATAGATTGAGACACCAGGAGTTCAAGACCAGCCTCAGCAATATAGGGAGACTCTGTCTCTACAAACAAACAAACAAAAAAAAAAATTAGCTGGGTGTGGTGGGGCACACCTGTAGTCCCAGCTACTTGGGAGGCTGGAGTGGGAGGATCACTTGAACCCAGTCGAAGCTGCAGTGAGCCTGAGTGACAGAGGGAGACCCTGTCTTAAAAAAAAAAAAAAAGGCTGTACTGTAAAGCAGTGCATCTCAAACTCCAATTTTGCACAGGAATCACATGGCGGTTTTGCCACAATGCAGATTCTGATTCAGCAGGTCTTAGGGGGTGGTTGCTGAGGGTCTATATTTCAAACATGATCCCAGAGGTCACCAATGCCACTGGTGTAGGGACCACTTTGAGTAGCAAGATTTGTAAAGCACAGATTTCCGGGTAGCAGCATAAAGACTCAGATAACCAAAAGAGAAGGAACAGAGCAATCTGTAGGGAACAAATTTACCACCTTCTCCAGCTTCATCCCTTGACACTCTCTGCCTTGCATTTTATATTCCAGCAACATTGAACTAACTGCTGTAGTTTCTCTACATACATCCTCCTCTTTCTCATCTCTACTTGGAAGGTTCTTTTCCCTCCAATTCACCTGACTGAGACTCCTTTAAGAAAAGTTTTTCAGAACTTCCCATAGTTAGGTGCCCTTCCTCTGGGTGAGGAGCTCCTCTTCTGTGTGCCCAGGAAATCCTGTACGTGTTCTCTGCCATATGCTTGTATCATTGTTGATACATCTGTGTCACCCAGGAGACTCTAACAGGAAACTCTAAGCTCCCTCCTTGGCCTCACCCACCAGTCAGACAGACTCATGTGGCTCTTAATCAGCTTCCTCAAAGAAAATAATCCCTTCAAAGATTGGCCAAGCACGGTGGCTCACACCTGTAATTCCAGCACTTTGGGAGGCTGAGGCGGGGGGGGGTGGTGGATCACTTGAGGTCAGAAGTTCGAGACCAGCCTGACCAATATGGTGAAACCCTGTCTCTACTAAAAAATACAAAAATTAGCCAGGAGTGGTGGTGCGTGCCTGTAATCCCAGCTACTTGGGAGGCTGAAGCAGGGCAATCGCTTGAACCTGGGAGGTGGAGGCTGCAGTGAGCCGAGATCACACCACTGTACTGCAGCCAGGGCAACAGAGTGAGACCCAAAAAAAAAAAACAAAAAACACCAAAAAACCCACAAAGATATAAAGTCACTGACCAGTTAGGTGGAACAAGAATTGTGCTCATGGTGCCAATGGATGAGACATTGAAGCAAGGAAAGAGGACCACCAGTCTTGTTGCTGTGAGCTCAACAGTTTCTCTTAGGACCTTTTAGGTTTATGGCTTGTCTTTCAAACTAGACTACAAGCAACCTACGGTCAGGGACTTTGTCTTAAGTACATTTTTAACACAGCACTTGGCACATAGTTAGAGCTTAAGAAATATTTACTGTCCAATTAATTGGAGGGAAGTGATGAAAAGGATGAGAGAAAAGCCAGAAAACTGATTTAGAAAGTGTGTGGATCTCTTGGGAAGAAGTCATCCATTGAAGAAATAGCACCATTATAATAACAGGCAGAAGAGAAGAGTCTTTCATCAGCAGTGTTTTGGACTAGAGAAGAGAATGACTCTTGCACGGAGGAGCTGGTGCCCAGGGCTGCTCCTGGATGCAAAGGGAAAAGCAAATCTTTGAGACAGTGTTATAAAGACAGAAGTGATATTATCTTTCTTCCTGGTAATACAGGGGAAATAAGGGAAGGGACGAGGGAAGTAGGACCCCTGCAAATCTGTGCCTCTCGTGCTACCAAAACAGAGGAATGAAGAAGCGCGGGGTGGGAACAGGGGGAGGGAGATGGCTCAGGAATTTGCTTGTCATCTTGGCTGGAGTGAGCTTGAATGGGAGAGAGAGACTGAGAATAATGGGAATTGGTAGATCAATCAATCAGCAAATATTTATTGAGCAGCTACCCTGGCTGGCAGCTGGAGAGAGCTCAGCTGGAGGGAGGCACATTAGAAAATTGTCTATAAAAAGGTGGTTGTGGGGGAGAGGGAGGGGTGTGTTCTTCTGGAACAGGATGGAAGGAAAAGCAGCCTGCTTTGTTGTACAACTCCTGGGAGTGTCATTCACATGGTAGCCTTTGTGAAAAGCCCCTCTGGAAATGCGCCATGCACAGCCTGCAAGGCCATTTGCAACAGACCTGGGGAGAAGAACCCAACCCTGTGAAAGAGCTATGGTCCTACCTGGGGTGGGGAGGGGGCGGTTTCTGGGATGAGCCAAGGTGGCCCTGCTCACCTCTCCCTTCCCTTCTTCCTCAGGGCTCTGGACGCTACTCTATCTACATTGCCAATTACGCCTACGGTAATGTGGGCCCTGATGCCCTCATTGAAATGGACCCTGAGGCCAGTGACCTCTCCCGGGGCATTCTGGCGCTCAGAGATGTGGCTGCTGAGGCTGGGGTCAGCAAATATACAGGTATGCAGAGTGACATGGGAGGTAGTATGCTGGAGGGGCTGGGGCTGGGGGCCAGGGCCCTGCAAGGCTGAGTCTAATTCATCAGAGACCACAAGGAAAGGGTGGCCTTATGTCCCTGGTGAGGGGAGATGAAGGCTCCATTCCATCCTGCCACCCACAGAAGGCTTCTCCCACACTGCCTCTCCAAGCATTGGTGAGATATCTGGCAGGTACGAGTTTTGGGGTACCCAAGAGGGGACATCTGGCTTGCTGGAAAGTGGGATGTGAGAACACCACATCATTTTCTCCCTGGAACCTCTTGCCCCACTGCCTCTGGTAACCTCAATGATGGGTGAGCAGGTTCTGTAGGAGAAAACTGACAAATCACAAAAGCCGAGATTTAAAGCATTCTTTATTGCCAAATCGCAGATGAAATTATTTACTTACACATAAGCAACCAGGAATTGAGTGCTAAATCCCTAGGCTTCAGCTGGGTCCCGTCTCGGATAACTGAGCTCAAAGAATTGAGTTCTTGTTCCAAAACCTCTCCAGCACTTTTTTTTGAAGGCACGCTCTCCCCTCATCTTTCTGGTTGGGGGACCTATTGTCAGACTCTCTGACAGGGAGATCTTTCTAGGGAAGGCTGTTTTTCTAATTCCAGCACGGCTGCTGACTAAACTCTGATAATCTGCCAATAGACTGCTGATGGCAGAGCAATCCAGTTCCTGTTTTGGGTGCCAAAAATCAGGAAGCCAGAGCTGTACACAACAACTTGTCATGTGAACTTAAGCCACATTCATACCAGACCTGCACTTGGGACAGAGAGATCCTCTTGTTGGTCGGCCTTCCCAACATACCCATCCCAACGTGTGCAGCAGAGGCTTCCAAAGTGGCAGCCTCCCTCAGTCTGAATCCTGGGGCTGGAAGGATGGTTGAGGGGTCCTTTGGGGTACCACCCTGCCTCCAGACACCTGGGTGGTGGCATCATCTCAAAGTCCTGCCCAGAAAGGGTTGTCACTGCCTCTCCTGAGTTTACAATGCCTTTCCCTAGCCACTTTTCACCCTGGTGAAAGGGGGAGATTAATGTTGACCTGTCTTACAAAGTTTGTGGGAACAAATGACTAGACAATAAAATGGTTAGCACAGCTCAAGCCCCATCTAAGTGCCTGAGAGCTCCGCGCGTGAAGGTACCATGGAAAGGCTGTATCAGTAATAAACTATGTTTCCCCCGGAAAAGAAATAAACATGCAGGCGCTTCAGCCTAGATTTGTACAGTCAATTTTTTCTGCATAGTTGCCAGTTCTGTGCACTGGGCTGGCTTGGCAATTAAGTGCCTTGATCTTGCAAGGGAAGGGGGGTGCACTGGGGGGATGAAGCACTTGAAAATGACAAGGTGGAAGGGAGGCAAGGACTGGGAGAGCAGGCTAGACACAGAATAAAAGAATCTGGAGGTTGCGGCTGGGTTTGAGCATGAAGGGGGCATTGTTCACGCTGGCTGGGCTGGCACAGAACCGAGGAGCGGGAAGGAGGAGACCCAGAGGAGGCAGATGAGGAGCACAGTGGGGATGGAAGCACCAGCCAACTGTGCCGGCTGGGCTGGAAGGACGGGCAGTTCAAGGAAGAAGCAGCAGCTTTGGTGGAGGAACAGAGGGAGGCTGGGGCAGCTGGCGTGCCCAGAGGACGTGTTCGAACAGCTCTGCAGACTTCCAAAAGCCATTTGGCTGACAAGAACCTATTTGGCCCACCATGTTACTATTCTGTCTGCGCGCCTTCTCCAGCCCACCCTTTCCCTGCCCGCCAAGCCCCCCAACACTACCCTGTAGCCCCCCTTGTCACTCAGCTAATGACACATGGACGTCTGGCTGGAAAACTAGCCCGGAGTGTCCCCCACCCCCGAGCCCCAGGAATGGACCCCAAATGTAAGGGCCGCCATGCTGAGCCCGGCCTGATGGCTGAGGCTTTGGGCGCGTGGCCAGCGCTCAGCACCACTGTGGTGCCAGGGGGCCTGAGAAGCTGGGAGGAAAGCAGGCAGAAGGGGCAGGCCATGTCCAGATGTGCACTCAGGGAGCTGGGAGGTCCCTGGAGCCAAGCCACACAGCACCTGCCTGCTAGAGAGCTGTATGACCTGGGAGAACCTCCCATTTTACAAAGAACAGACGGAGATCCAGGGAGGAGAAGGGACTCGCCCAAGGTCACACAGGAGGTTGGTAGAGAGCTAGCACTTAGAGCCCCATCTCCTCCTGATGCTTAAACTGCCACAGCCCGCTGACCTTTCCGATGACCTCCAACTTAAGAACCCTACCAGCCTGCAAGACAGGAGGGGCTGTGAGGGGAGGCCCACACCCACTGGGATGACAGCCCCAGGCTGGCACCCGGACTTGAGGCAGCCCCACCCGGGTTGTTGTGGCTGAAGCAGCTGCCTGGCTGAGTGTTCAGGACAGCGGGGGAGGTCCAGCCACCCCAGGGCAGGCTAGGCAAAGGTGCTATCCAGGTACCGGCCTTCAGCACTGCGGGAGGGGGAGGGGAGGCCTCCTCTCTAGACATTATCCATTTCCGCAGCTGCAGCTGCTCCGCTGGGTCACAGTGCCATCTAGTGGCCACCATGCCAGCTCTCGGGGGACTCGAGGGCCCCGGGAGGGTGGCCAAGCGAGAGATTGGGAGAGAGACTGGGGCAGTAGGAAGACCACTCTCCCATCCCCTGGTCCCCAACTTCCCCAGCTGCTTGAGGCCTCTTGAAGCCGGGACAGTGCCGGGAGCTGCCCTGCCTGGGAATCCTGGGAACTGGGTTCTGGACATGGCCAAGGCCCTGGCGTGGAACCAGATGGAAAAAGAGGAGGGGAAGGTGAGAGGCAAGAGTCCTGCACTGCCTCCGCGGTCCAGGCCCCAGTGACCTTGGGCATGCCCCTCAGCTTTTCTGAGGACATTGAACTAGCAGGTGAGGGGACAGGGTCTGGAGCCAGGCCACAGGTGCAGGTCCAGCCTACCCTGTGCATTACAGCCTAGGCAGTAGTGGGCAAACTATTCTCCCAGCCTCAGTTTTCTCATCTTCAAAATGAGAGTGTTGTGAGAACGAAAGGAGGCGCACATGGGACATGGCTGGCACATGGCCTGGCACACGGGCAGTGCCCACCTAGTATAGCAAATACCAACACCTTCCACTCTGAGGCTCTGCCAGAGCGATGCCAGGGCCTTCTGCTGGGCACCTCCTGGGTACAGGGAGCACTGTGCAAGGTACAGGGGGATGCACAAGAGAAGCAGGCCCAGCCCCTGCCTGGGAAACATTCTCTGTGTGTCCCCCCAAACCTCCAGTCCTGGGCATGGCCAGCGGCATCTTCATCCCCATCCCCTCTGGGGTCCATCTCTCTGCTCTCCTTCCTGCCTGCCCTGCCTCCCCTAGGCCTCGCCTCCTCCCCAGGAACTCTGCATTTTGGCCTCACCCTTTGAGGCAGCATCTGTCCAGGCTGCAAGGTGGTGATTAAAGAAGCCTTAAAAGAAATTCGGAAAGAAAATGAAGGTGGATTTATGATGTCAGGTGGGGAGTTTTGCTGTTGGCTGGGAGCAGTATGGAACAAAGCGGAGGGCAGATCTGATTTATAGGAAGTCATTATTGAAGGAGACGGAGATGCCTAAAGCCCAGCTGAGGCCTTCTGGCAGATCCTCACCAGTGAGCTCAACCAGGGGCTACAGAGTGGGGGCCAAGGGGCCTCCTAGCTTCCCAGGTGGGCGCTGGCCTTTCATCGGGAGTGAAGCCAGATCTGACAGCCAGGGACCAGGCAGGGCTGGAGTGACAGGCTCCCCAGCCAGGGCCCGGGACCCCCAGGAAGTGCAGCACGGGCCTGCTAGGGGTACCCAAAGCCCAGGACACACAGAGACCTTTTCCCTGGGGTGTCAGATGCATTTGATGAGTATCGGGGGGAACATTGCGTTTCTTTTAAAACAAACACAGATATGTTATAGAATTGAAATGTAATTTTTGTGTGCATTTTTCTCAACACAAGAGATTTTAAAGAAATGTCAAGCCTGTGGCTAGCCTCTCTGGGTTATACCCCTAGGCTACACCCCCAGGCTTTGCCAGTGCAAATCCCTCCTCTGTCAAGAGGAAACAAATGATGGGGCCTGTCCTGCTGCCCCACCCCTTGCCTTAACATTCTGCAGAGACAGGGCAGGAAGGATGAGCGGGGGTGTATCCTTGTCTAATACCCGCCACACAGTCAAGTCCTGCCCAGGCTCTGAAGGCTCCCAGAAGGCTTGGGAGTGGCAACACCAGCACCTACACAGTTATCTTGTCTTATAATTTTTCAGGAAATTTAGGATGAGAGACCCTGTTACCATCCTGCACTTGATCCTCACATCCCATTTTCCAGCATGTTTACACACACACACACTCTCTCTCTCTCTCTCTCTCTGTGCCCATTCCTGCACCACGTTTCCAGCATTTCTGCCCTACTCATTTACAATATCTTGGATGCTCTTGGCAGCCTGCGAATCATGGCATTCACCAGAATCCTGTTTCTATTAAGGTCTCAGCAGATGGCCAAGTTCCCTGGCCGAGGGGCCTCACCTCAGAGTCTCTGCTGATGCAGAGGGTGCAGGGCTAGATGGGCACAGGAATCAGCCCCCAACATGCTTATCCTGTGTCCACCCTGGAGGATGCATTCATTGCAAAGTAAGCTAGTAGCAATCTTGGAGATCTTCTCAATTCCCACCCACTTTACAGGAAGGAAACTGAGGCCTGGAGAGCATGCTTCCCGTGATCCTGAAGGAGGGGAGGTGCAGAGGCCAGGCAGGAAGCAAGAGGCTTTACCTTAGCACCACGAATCCTTGTGCTGCCTCATCCCTGGGTCCTCAGACCCACAGCTTGGAGAAGTTCAGCTGCATGCACACCCTCCCTCCCCACCATCTTTCCCTGTCTCACCCCCCAGTCCCTGAGGGCTGGCCCAGATGCAGTCTGAGAGATGGATTGTCTGCACCCGACTTGTACTTGGGTCTGCATTGCCAGCGTGCCAGGGCTCAGAGGTAAAGGGATGGTTCTTGAGGACAACCAAGGCTGCCCTTTGGGGGTTGGGCCCAATGAACAGATCATCAGAGTGCCAGAATGTGGCTAGGGGAAATGGGGACCTCCAAGGGGCATTTTCCCCTCTAACTCCAGCCCCTACCCAGCCTGATGGGCAGGGTGAGCAGAAGCCTTCAGCAGGGATGGGCAGGGAGGAGCAGTCACACCCCAACAGCAGAACAAGGAGGTCTTTGAAGCCTGAAAGTGCTGGGAAAAAATAAAGGGATATTATTCACCCAGCAGGTGGTAAATAGTCCCAGCTAATGACTGTGTGGCACCTGACATTTTCCAAGGCACCTTCCAAAAACCAGCTCACTTAATATTTATGACAGCCCCGAGAAGGAGCCATTATTATTATCACTCTTATGTTCTAGCTGAGAAAACAGAAGCCCAGGAAGGTTCAGTGATGAGCCCAAGGTCACACAGCTCAAACTTGGACTTTCTGACCCCCGGTGCCGTGGTGTCTCCCACAACCAGCACTGCCTCTCCAGCTCCGAGAGAATGCGCTGGCCTCAAATTATAAAAGAATTAATTGATGCAAGGTGGAGTTAATTCCCTGTTAGAACATCATTCTCCAAAGCTAAATAAAGATGTTCCTAACTGCCCCCTGGGTGACCGAATTTGGTGTGTACTAAACCTTAAGAGATGGAGGAGAGGGAGGGTGTGACAAAGGAGAGAGGAGAGGAGGGGAAAGCCCTGGTAGAAGACATTTGCTGAATAATTGGCCTTTGACATTGGCCTGGCAGAGCATAGGCATGGCAGCCTACATAATGATGGGTGGATTCTATTGGTTTGAAGAAGATTTGCTTGTCGACCTGGGAGTCGTTTCCCTATGGCATCAGTGAGGGGTGCAGGTACCTGGCTGCCCCACCTCAGCCCCCCGTTGGGCCCCCATTGTAAAGCTGCTGGGGCTGGCACCCAGGAGGCCAGCTTCCTGACTGTCGACTCACCTGCTCCCCAACTATGCAGCCAACTTGCCGAGAAGGAGGTGTGGGTAACATCTCTGTTATGGTCCGGTTGCCATGGCAATAAATTGTGGCTAATTAGTAGTGTGGTTACCATGGCAATTTTCTAGTAATTACAGGTTACAAATGGTACAAGGCTTCAACCCAACCCAATTAGTTAATTAGAAAGATTTAGAAATTTGTCCAAAAGGGAAATAACCTGCTTTGTAGAAAATGAAGGGAATGTGTCACAGCTTGGGAGCCAGAGGCAGAGAGGAAATTGGAGGATGTGGAAGCGGAGGAAGAAGGATGGAGCTGCGTGGAGGCAAGTGCCTGAGTCCCACCTGGAATTTCCAGGGGCCCGGGCAGGGCTGAGGGATTCTCAGAGAAGCTGGTAAGACCAGGGCAGGGACAGCTGCCAGCAACCACTTAGTGGCACCTCTTTTAATGGGCAGAGGTGGTGCCCAGGTTGTGACCCCACATCCTTTCCTGCTGGCTTTAGGACAGGCCTCTGGAAGCCACCCATGCCACTCCATAGCTCCCATCATGAAGAGTGGATGCTGTGTCTTGGAGGACATTCCAGAGGAGCAATGTGAATTCAGTGGCTTCATTTTCATGCGGCTTGGGCTCTCTTTGGCAGCTAATGAGATTATCTGGGAGGAATCTGGGAGGCATCCAGCCCAGAATGTGTTAACTATGAGCGCAATAAGAGTGGCAGTGCCATCGCCCCACCTCATCTCCCTGGCCTCAAATGCCAGCTCTGGTGGGCAGGCTCCATTTGCATAGGCGAAAAAGGCCCCATGATTTCCCCTGGGGGCATCTCTCAGAGGATGGGAGGCACCTAGAGACCAAGAGAACCCCTGTCTCAAATAAGCATGGTCACTTTGGGGAAACCTCTGCCCCATCCAGAGGCGGGCCTGGCCTTTCTTTACACAGGTGTACTTGAGCTTTCGTTTATTTTTTTAAAAATCAAGTTCTTCTGGAGTGCTCTGATAACTCTTCTTATTATAGTAAACAACCCTTTAGAGCAGTACTTTTCAAACTTTAATGCGCACATAAACCACCCAGGGGTCTTGTTAGAATGCAGGTTCTGATTTCATTAGGGGCCTGAGATTCTGCAATTCTAGCAAGCTCCCAGGTGACATTCCTGCAACTGCTTCTCAGACCTGGCTCTGAGCAGCAAGGCTGCAGCGTCCACAGAGCCCTTTCATACAGCTCATCGTACAACATGATGTTTTGAAATAATGTAGACATTGTGGAATGGCTAAGTCGAGCTAATCAACATATGCATTATCTCACATACTTTTTTGGGGGTGACAACACTTAAAATCTACTCTCTTAGCAAGTTCAAGTATATAGTGCATTCTTATTAACTAAAGTCACCATGTTGTACAATGGATCTCTTGAACTTATTCCTCCCGTTAAACTGAAGTGTTGTATCCTTTGACCAACATTTCCCCAACACCCCTACCCCTAGCCCCTAGTAAACACTATTCTACTCTCTTCTTCTATGAGTTCAACTTTTTTAGATTCCACATATAAGTGAGATCATGTGGTATTTGCTTCTCTGTGCCTGGCTTATTTCACTTAGCATAATGTCCTCCAGGTTCATCCACGTTGTCACAAATGACAGGATTTTCTTCTTTAAGGCTGAGTAATACTCTATTATGTATATATATCACGTTTTCTTTATGTATTCATCCATTGATGGACACTTCGTATCTTCATTCCATATCTTGGCTATTGTGAATAATGCTGCAGTGAACCTCAGAGTGCAGGTATCTCTTCAACACACTGATTTCATTTCCTTTGGATATATATACCTAGTAGTGGGATTGCTGGATCATATGGCAGTTCTATTTTTAATTTTTAAGGAGCCTTATACTGTTTTTTATAATGTCTGTACTCATTTACATTCCCACCAACAGTATACAAGGGTACCCTTTTCTCTACACCCTTGCCAACACATGTAGTCTTTCATATTTTTGATAATGGTCATTCTGACAGGTGCATCTTACCTCATTTGGTCCTCTCAAAACCCCAAAGTAGAAAAAGCAGGTCGGACTCTCCCCCATTTTACAAATGAGGAAACTGAGGCTCAAGGGTAACGTAAATTGCCCAGGGTCACAGAGCTTGTTAGAAGCCAGGCTGGGGCTAGAAGCCGTGTCTTGATCCTGGTCGGGCCATTTTCTGCACAGTATTTCCAGCGTTTGGGGGCGTGGCTGAGGGAAGGCTTTCTCAGGGCAGATTTGTGTTCCTGGGAGCTGGAGGTGGGGCCTGGCAAGCAGAGAGTCTTCATTTGAAACCCACTGGGTGGGGGTGGTTTGTTCAGGACGTATTAAGGTTAGACTTCTTGACGTGGATAGCTCAGATTTGATCTTAGAGACTTCAAAGCCCAATGTGGAGCTGGCTTGATTTCTTTCCGTTTTAAAAAACATATATACTTTATTGGATTTCTTCCTTTCAAACTACAGAAGCAGTTCTTATTGCAACAAGTCAAACACTACAAAGACATTCAAAGAAAAAAGGCCAACTATCGTTTCTCTTTCCTTCCCCACATCCTACCCCATCAAGGAAGGTAGCCAGTGTTCACAGCTTGGGGTGCGGCCTTTCCCACTTTTCTCCGAACTGAATAACTCTGCACAAACATGTGTATTCAGAACTAGCATGTATTTTCCTATTTTAAAAAATAAAAGCAAGATCTCACAATACCATTACTTGGTGAATTGCTGATTCTTTCAACCATATATCACAGGCACTCCTCCAAGTCAATCCATATGGATCTATGCAGTCTTTTTACTGCAGAATGGTTTGTCATATGGATGCTCCATAATCCATTCAACCCATTCACTATTGATGGATGTAATTGTTTAACGTCAAACAAAGCAAAGTAAGCATCTGCGTACCTATAGCTGGGACCTATCCCTATAGGTTCTTAAAGCTGGGACATACCCAGTGGTCTTGACCAGCATATGTATCACTCAAAGTGAGAGTCGGGAGTCTGTTGGGGTATCTGTGACTTGACCAAAATGGCGTGCTTAGAGTTGGGTTTAGGATTATTGTGGGTTTAGGATTTAAGATGATTGTTCAGCCACTTCTCTTAGAAGGGGAAGGCAGATGCTGGCCTCTGTGTGGGGTCCCCATGCCCGGTTGAGCTCCTTCCTTCCCTCTTCATCAGTGTTGTTACCTTCCACACAGATTCATGGAGACCATGAGCCCAGATTTAGGCTCAGGAAAGCACGGGAAGCAGAATTCCCCCCAGGCTCCTCTGAGGAGCCTCTGCTGCAGTTCCCCTCAGGCCTCAGAGGCAGCCCTGTCCTCCAGGTGGGCCTGGGGCTTGCTTCTGCCACTCACTGTGGGTCGATGTCTTTTCTAGGGGGCCGAGGCGTCAGCGTGGGCCCCATCCTCAGCAGCAGTGCCTCGGATATCTTCTGCGACAATGAGAATGGGCCTAACTTCCTTTTCCACAACCGGGGCGATGGCACCTTTGTGGACGCTGCGGCCAGTGCTGGTGAGTGGAGGCAGCCATGCCCTGTGCACCCTGACCCCTCACCCCAGACCCACAGAGGACTCCAGACTGCCCTGCCCCCTCCAGGATAGTCTCTTCTGGCTGAGGGAGAGCAGGGCAAGTCATCGTCTGCACCACACAGAGAAACGCTGCTTGTCACTTCCTATTCCTTAGCTCCCTTGGCTCCAGCCACAGGGAGTGTTTGCTGCTGGGGAAAGGGGTCTGAAACTCCTGCCAATTGCCATCTTCCAGTACCTGAGATTGCCCGCGACCCTCCAAGTCCTGCTTGTGTCTCTCAGCATCAACCTATCCTCCAAGCTGCCTCTCCCCACCTTGGCCCCCTCCCACATTTATCTTCAACATTCAGTTCAATACAGTGAGCATTCATGGAGCCCCTACTAAGTGTCAGGTTGGCACTGGGAACCAGGGATGCCCACTTGAATCAGGCTAAGACCACCCTACACACAGAAAAGGCAATGACTTTCTAGAAACAGATGTAGACAAAAATATCCGGCTGTAATAAGAAGCAGGATAAAACCCACACAAAATAGTGCCCCAGGCCCCCAGCTGTGCTCCTCCTCCTTCCTCTGCACTCATCCCCCACCCACCTCAGGGCCTTTGCACTTGCCATGGCCTCTGCCTGGACTGCCCTCCCCCTTCTCTACCTGCAGAACGTCGTTTAGCCTTCATCGTTCACCTCAAATATCACCTCTGCAGAGATTTTCCTCACTCCCTGTGCCACCTAGCAGAAACTGGTCCTTCCTCCTCCTGCTGCCCGTGGCATGCACGTCTTCTTCAGGCTCCACATTGCCATCATGGTTTGTCTATGAGCTTTACAAGGACCGGGTCACGGTTCTATTCATTCTTGACGCAAGGCTTGGCCTCCAGTGCCCACCGGTAAATTCTGCTGAATGACAGAGTGGACACTTCCTGCGAGTTTTCGGATGTATGATTGCATCCCAGGCACCCCTGACCATTTCCCCCGACCTTGCCAATGAATGGGAGGTTTGATTTCACCTCCTTCTTGGAGGCATGGGGAAGAGCTCTGGCCTGCAGGAGTGGTGAGTGGGATCTAGACACAGAGATCAAGGGTCCTGCAAGCTCTGGCTGTTGCCAGCAGTTCACATCGAATCCCTGCACGTGTGCCAGTCTGTTCTCTTGGATTCTTGGACTTACGAGTACCTACCACCCCAGCATTCTGCCCAGGAGCTCCACTGTGGGGACTTACTGGCCCAGAATGCACACCCACCCCCAGCTTTTTGCCATTCAGCTCCCTACCTTGCCTTACCTCTTATCCTTCTCTGGCAAGGCAGAAGTTGGACTCCCCTGGCCTGTCCTCCCACCTGGCTCACCCCTCCTAGTGCTATCCTTTGGCAGCAAATTTTCTCATTGCTGAAAAATCATAAAGCAAAGGGGAGGGAATAGTGGAGAAAACCTAGAGGATTTGATAAGGTGTTAAAGAGATGGAAGCAGAGGTGAGCGAACAAGTTGGAGTGGGAGAAGGTATCAGGCGGGAGGAGAGAGGCAAGGTGCTAGGCCCGTAATTGAAAGTCAGAATGATTGCAGGGGTTTAACAAGACATGTCAAGAGGGCATTCATCACCCAAACAGATGCTGCTGTGAAATGCAGCCTGGCACCGATTATTCCCGTGAAAGGGAACCAGCTCCTTGTCAAGGTGCCTCATAGATAGGAGAGAAATGGGCCAACGCAGAAGGCCACCGACATTTGGGCCGAGGAGTTTGGCAGAGAATTAATGGAGTATTAATCCTAGGGATTGGAGGCTGCCCCTAGTCCTCTGCGAACCCTCTTTCTCAAGTCTCACTGCCTCTTCTTCCCACACCTCCCCCAGCTCCTTCTCTCCCCCAGGAGGACACTCAGCCTCCAGGGTTCTCAGGGGGCCCCACCCTGCCTTCTGGCAAGAGCTCCCTGTGTCCTGGGGTCTCTGATCCCCACTGCCTATTACATTGTCCTGTGGTCTGCCATCCCAGAGAGCCTGATGACCCACAGCTATTTGTCCTCTGAAAGAGTCAACGTGGGTGGGTGCTTAGAGTCGCATTCACCTCTGTCTCTCAAGCTATGCACTGGCCAGTGAGCAGCTAGGAGGTCAGCCCATCGCTCTGGGCAAAGCCACCCTCTCTCCTCCCCCAGCACCCACTCCGTGGATAGTATAAGCAGGTGGCATTGGGCACAGAGGCTTCGCTTTCCAGGTCTCACCAGGCATGCTGTGGGCTTCTCTGTCGTGGCTGTAGTATTTCCTCTGCTGTCACCCACGTCCCCGGTTTGCCTTCTGTCATGTTATTTATGTCTGTGCACTCATTCAGCAAGTATTTACTGAAAACTACCAGGCAACCACAGGCCCTGAGATAGATGCTGCGTGTACCCAGGTGAACCAAGAAGAGAGTCTTGACCTCATGGAACGTCAGGGATAGTGGGAAAACCGGACCCTAACAAGTCAACCACAAAGGAACGTAACCGCACATTGTGATCAACATGTTGGAGGAGAAGACTAAGAGGCTGTCAGGGAGATTGACAGGGTGGGCAAGATGAGCTGTCTCAGATGCGTGGTCAGGGAGGGCTTCCCGGAGGAAGTGACATTGTGGCTGAGAGCAGAATAACCAGGAGCTGGGTAACCTAGAGCTAGAGGGAGAGCATCCCAGGTAGAGACCTGCTTGAGCAAAGGCCCAGGAGCTGGAAAGATGGGGAGAGTGGGACCAGATCAAGACCAGATAAGGCGGACAGGACCATGGTCAGGCAGAACCCTGTGCTCCCCAGGCAGGAATTAGAACTTTCCCTAAAAGGATTGGAGGGCATGATCAGCTTAAGCAAAAGAGTGGCATGATCAGCTTAATGTCTTCCAGTGGCAGTGTTAGGGGTGGCCGGGAAGAGCCTTTGGTCCTCCAGAATTTCCCCCAGTCTCCCTCCCCCAACCCATGCCACCCCCCAAACAGGGTAAAAATAATATGCATGCTGGGCAAACACAGCTTGAACACAAGTCTTGGGTCTTCTTTTCAAGCACATGACTGTCCCACTTCCTGCCCCTATAGAGAGCTTCTGAGACTGCAGCTATGTCTCCCGTATCTCCTCCCGGGAACAAGATGAGAGTCACCCTCCCTAGTTGCTTGTCACAGAGCTAGAGCAGGGTGAGTGTTTGTGGAGTGTGCAGGGGATGCCGCCCTGAGAGTTCCTGCCTCTCCTCCCCAGGTGTGGACGACCCCCACCAGCATGGGCGAGGTGTCGCCCTGGCTGACTTCAACCGTGATGGCAAAGTGGACATCGTCTATGGCAACTGGAATGGCCCCCACCGCCTCTATCTGCAAATGAGCACCCATGGGAAGGTCCGCTTCCGGGTAAGAAGGGGCCTCACCCCAGGAGTTCAAGACCAGCCTGTCCAACATGGCAAAACCCTGTCTCTACTAAAAATACCAAAAATTGGCCAGGTGTGGTGGTGCGTGCCTATAATCCCAGCTACTCCGGTAGCTGAGGCACAGGAATCTTGAGCCCAGGAGGCAGAGGTTACAGTGAGCTGAGATCGTGCTACTGCACTCCAGCCTGAGTGACAGAGCGAGACTCCATCTCAAATAAAAAAATAAATAAATAAAATAAAATAAAAAGAAAGGGCCTCTCCCTCACTCCTCCCTACAGCACCACTGCAGGGGTGCCCCGGCATGCCATGGAGCTGCCTCGCTCCTCCCACCAGGCTGAGCAGGGCTCAAGGCTCTCAGGGCCCAGAGTGGGGGTGGGGTGACAAGGAAGGTTACACCAGGGGACGAGGGACTACAGCTGGGCTGCTGTAGGAGCTCTGGATCCAAGAGTAGGAAGAACCAGGTCAGCAGAGGTGGGAGAGCAGCCTCCGAGGTGGGCCGGAGTCCTGGGAGGTGGACTGCACTCTCTGGATCCAGGCCATTTTTTCTGGTGGCTCCTGGAAAGGATCCAGCAGCTAGAGCAGAGAGTGTTTGTGGAGTGTGCAGGGGATACAGGATGGCATCCCCTGCACACTCCACAAAAGCCAGGCCTCAGCTTTTTAGACCTTTTCAGACTGACGTTCAAACCAAGGGCAAAGTGGTGGAGAGAATGGAAGATTGAAGCCACGGAGTTCCCAACAGCTGCCCCTAAAGACAAACAGCAGATGGCAGGCAAGGTGGCCTCAGAGCCCTCTCTGTGCCCCCTCCCTGAGCTGTTGATAGACCGATGCCAAGAATTCTTCAAAAGGGCTGTTAGTGACAGTGATGGAGGTGCCAACAGCATGAGGGGCATGGGTTTGGAACTTTCTCAGGGAGGGCAACAGAGGGCATGGGCTGGTTGAAGCTGATCTCAGGGATCCAGGACTGTTCTGCAGATACCTAGGTCTGCCAAAAACCCCTGAGGAAATGGGAAAGTTCCAGGGTTTTCCTGAGGCTTGAGGATCCCAGGGAAGTCCCCAGGGACCTCATGTCTGTGTAACCAAGAAGAGGCCACCCCTACCAAGTCCCTTCCCTGTAAGCAGCCACCTTGGGACGCCCAGGCCCAGCCACTCCCTCCCTGCTAAGGCTTGAGACTCAGGCTCCCTGGGCTGGGAAGAGGCATGCCCTGAGCCCAGGACAGCTCGTCCTGGGATCTTGGACGATTTCCACCTTTATTCTACTCTTGTTCTCACCCAGCTTCTCAACAGGGATGATCTTGCTGCCCTCCCTCTGGGACATTCAACAATGTCTGGGGACATTTGGGTTTGTCACAGCTGGGGAAGGGAGGGCTCCTGGCATCTAGTATGCAGAGCCCAGGGATAGGGCTGAACACCCTACAGTGCACAAAGCAGCCCCACAACAAAGGATTATCCAGTCCCAAACGCCAACGCACTGAGGGTGAGGAACCCTGTTAATTCTTCCGAAGGCCCCTCCCCAGAGCTCTCAGGAGCAATAATAATACTAATAATACATAAATGCCCTATTTATCAAGTGCCTTCCATGTGTCACGAACTGTGCTAAGCTTAACATACATTATCTCGGAAGCTCAGGCATCGAATAGGGCAACCCCAAGGGGGCTATGGGAGGTTTCCATTTTTATAGGATCAATAGAATCATAACGGCTAGAGATCCTGAGGTCTTTTTGCTCCCTGGCTCTTAAGGCCCAGCTCAACCCACCCAGACCAGCTGGCCAGGCTTATTCAACCTCATTACTCCTCTGATGGAGACAGCCTCTTTCCCTGGCCTCCCCAGAGCAGGCAGCTCGACCGCTGACCCAGCCTGCTCATCCCTGTGGCTGCCAAAGAGGGTCTGCAGCAGGAGGCCGAGAGCAGGCCCAAGTCGGGTAGAGGATGCTCCCAGAGACACCACCTGTACCTTTCTCAGCCCTCTCCACGTGGGCCCTGGGACTTAGACATGTCCCCAAGGTCTTTAGGGGAAAAACCCACCTATGATGAGGATATTACGCTCAGAAATAGAAGATTGCCCTTCCCAGCTCTCCTTCTATTTCAGAGGCAGAAACACACCTGGGACCCTTTGCCTGGTCCCCCAAGGCCCTCCCAGTACTTTGGAGTCCCAGCTGGGCTATCCTGGGCCTGGGGTCTCCCCATTAGTCCTGGACAGGTGTAGCTGATACCGCAACCCCCTCAAAGCAAATGTCTCAAAAAATAAAAATAAAAAGACTCCCAAGAAACAACGTAAGGTAGTAGAGGCAGCCAAATCCACAGCTACAGGTAACCTCTTTCACCTTCCCTGAGGCAGGTGGTGGGTAAGGCAGGACAGGCTGCCAGCGAGCTATGTCATGCCCACTCTGTGCCAGGCATTTTACATGCAATCCTCACAACCCAGGCAGCTATTACTATTCCCACATTACTGATGGGGAAGGTGAGATCCAAGGGGGTTAGTAACTTGCCTAAGATCACACAGCTAGTCAGTGGTGGAGCCTGGATTTAGATGCACAGAGATTTCCGGTGCCCACCCAGCTTCTGACTCAGCACAGAGGAGGAAGGGTGCCTAGGAGAAAGGGCACAGAGTCCGGAATCAGAAGCCCTGGCCTCCCCACTCAGTAGCTGTGACATCGCAGTTCCCCTCCTTCTCCAGGACTCAGTTACCTCACCCGTCAAATGGGAAGGCTAATGTCTGTACTGCCTCAAGGGATGGACAGAAGGGATGGACAGGTGTGATCCAGACTAGGGATCGGCTAAGCACTTCACTGGTGTCTAGCACGACTGTTATTCTTCCCTCCTTCTTCTCGTACAAGCAGCCTGAGGTCTGTGTGGTCCTAAAGGCAGCCCCCAGGTCCTTTGCGGGAGGCAGGAGAGGAGCTTTTGGGTTGGACTGTCTCTTATTTTTAATTGCCCCCACACTCCATAGAGGAGAGCTGGCCTCCCGCCCCAGCCCACTCTCCTGCCACTGACCCCCAGCCTTGTTTCCTCCAGGACATCGCCTCACCCAAGTTCTCCATGCCCTCCCCTGTCCGCACGGTCATCACCGCCGACTTTGACAATGACCAGGAGCTGGAGATCTTCTTCAACAACATTGCCTACCGCAGCTCCTCAGCCAACCGCCTCTTCCGGTAGATGCTCCATCCTGGCTCGTGGCTCTTCATCCTTGACAGCTGGTGGGAGGAACGGTCAGGGAGAAGGTTTAAGAATCAGAAGGGGAGGGTTCCCAGGGCCAGGGGGTCAGGCCAAGGTCAACACAGGTCCCCTGATGAAGAAACAGAAAGGAAGGAAGGACGAGGACTGGGCAAGAGGCTGTGGGAATGCAGGGCAAAGCCTGGCCAAGGAGCCGGCCTCTGCTATTGCAGGGAAAGGGAAGGGAAATGTGGCCCAAAGTGTGCCCAGAACCCAAGCGCCACAAGATACAAAGCCACACTACCACAAAAAGGGGCTACAGGGTCCAATCACTACCAGGAAAAGGGGCTACGGGGTCCAATCACTACCAGGAAAAGGGGCTACGGGGTCCAATCACTACCAGGAAAAGGGGCTACGGGGTCCAATCACTACCAGGAAAAGGGGCTACGGGGTCCAATCACTACCAGGAAAAGGGGCTACGGGCTCCAATCACTACCAGGAAAAGGGGCTACAGGGTCCAATCACTACCAGGAAAAGGGGCTACGGGCTCCAATCACTACCAGGAAAAGGGGCTACAGGGTCCAATCACTACCACAGAAAGGGGCTACGGGCTCCAATCACTACCAGGAAAAGGGGCTACGGGGTCCAATCACTACCAGGAAAAGGGGCTACAGGGTCCAATCACTACCAGGAAAAGGGGCTACGGGGTCCAATCACTACCAGGAAAAGGGGCTACGGGCTCCAATCACTACCAGGAAAAGGGGCTACGGGGTCCAATCACTACCAGGAAAAGGGGCTACAGGGTCCAATCACTACCAGGAAAAGGGGCTACAGGGTCCAATCACTACCACAGAAAGGGGCTACGGGCTCCAATCACTACCAGGAAAAGGGGCTACGGGGTCCAATCACTACCAGGAAAAGGGGCTACGGGCTCCAATCACTACCAGGAAAAGAGGCTATGGGGTCCAATCACTACCAGGAAAAGGGGCTACGGGCTCCAATCACTACCAGGAAAAGGGGCTATGGGGTCCAATCACTACCACAGAAAGGGGCTACGGGGTCCAAGTAAATACAGGTTTATTTACTGCAGGACTTCTCAGCGCCTTTAACTTGACCATAAATATTTTAATTTTCCAAAAGATGGATGGAGTATTCCAAATAGGCCAGATCACAGGGCACTTCTTCCACAGATTTTTCTGTTGAGACTGGTGTTCTGCAAACCATCCTTTGGGAAATTCTGGATGACAAGGGTTCCTGGTAGACAAGGAAAAGGGTTTCAGAAATGGAGGGAATGTGCAGGCCTCTGAGCAGTGTGTCTAGGGAGGAAGGGCTGGATTTGCTGCGGCAATATTTCTCCAAGGGGACGTCCAGAGACCATTGGCATCAGAATCACCCAGAGTGCTTAAAGTACAGAATCCCGGGACCTACCCCACAGCCCCTGACTTAGAATCTCAGGGGGTGAGGCCCAGGAATCTGTATTTTAACAAGTACAGTAGGCACCAGGTGATTCTCATCACACTGAAGTTTGAGAACCACTGTTGGGGAACTGAGCTCAGGGTCTCCCCATGAGTCCTGGATAGGTGGAGTCCTGGACAGGCATGTGGCCTGAGATGTCCCTGTTCCTGGCTTAAAACATTCCAATGGGGCTCAGGACCAGGTGGGGAAAGGAGGGTGTGCCAGGGCCTTGGATCCAGGACATGGGCCAGATCACTGGCTCGGCCCCCCAAGACCCCTACCCCATCTCCCGGGAGGGCCCAACTATTTATACTAAAAGGCATGAGTGTGACTAAGCGTGTTTTAAAATATAATTATTAACAAAGCATCAATCCTGACTGGATGTAATCACCCCCTGAAGGCGCTAGATTTACTAATTAGGTGCCTTGCGAAAAGCTTATTCACAACTTCCAGATAAATTGCAGAAGATCAATTGCTAGTTAACAGAGACACTGCTTTCCTTCTCTGGCTAATAAAGTGTCACTCGCCAGGAGGACGAGGCCTGAGCACTGAGGAATCTAGTGCTCCTGTCTCTGTGGCCCGAGAACCTAGTCTCTGTCTGCCTGCCCATCCTGCCCATCCAGCCTGCTTCAAATCTCCCAGCGTCCCCTGCAGCGGGGAGAAAGGGCTGGGTGGAAGGACAAGGCAGGCTGGCCCAGAGCTGTCAATGGACAGAGCAAGTCACCACGTGGCTGCCCAATGGGTTAGTGTGTTTGCCTCCACACAGCAGCAGCAGAAGCCACTTCCCAGGTACGTGGCTGTGCCCCAAGTCCCTGTGGCAGATGGCTGGGTCCTGAGCACGCAGCAGAGAGGACAGCGAGAGGGGCTGCATCTGGGACTGGCACTCAGCTGGCAGCTCTGGAAGTTTAACCCCCAACTGTCCCACACCACGGGGGCTTTTCACCTGTCACTGAACAGGCACTGTGGGCTCCTTGGCCCTGGTGCTCTCCAGGAACATGCCAGGAACTCTGTGGGGACATAAAGCCTCAGTGTGCTTGAGTCTGCACGTCCTTTAATGATACCTGCAGCACCCAGGGAACTCAGCACCCAAACAGTCACTTAATGAGAGTGAAAGGGAGCCCTCTTAATAATTACAGCAAAAAAAAGAAGAAGGAAAAAAGAAAAAGAATCACAGAGGCAAAAAGGCATGAACAAGGACACTCCTAGGCCAACTGCGGTGTGCAGGGTCACCCCCTTTCACATCTAGCCATGTCTCCAACCTGCTCTTCACTCTCCACCATGACACCACTCCTGGTCTCCCACGGAGATTCCTGCACCTCCCCCAGCTGCTCTCCTTGTCTCTAGTCCTGCAGACAGAGCCGTTGAAAATGCAAGTCTGGCCACACCCCTTTCCCACCGAAAACCTTCTAGAAGCTCCCCATTGCCTTTGGATGAAGTCCAAACTCTTTGACACAATCCACATAGCCCAGCTTGGCTGCGTCTCCAGCCTTGTCACTTTCTACTTCCCTGTTTACATCTAAGCAGCAGGCACAACAAGCTTTCTTCAGTTCTGGGCTATGCCAGGCCTCACCCTCAGGCTGCCCACTCCCTCTAGCCCCCAATTATCCCTCTTCATCTGAGCGACATGTGCTCACTCACCATGGTGGTCTCAGCTTAGCTGACCCTTCCTCTAGGGAGACTTCCCTGATTGCCCGAATCTGGGTGAGCTTCCCCAACTCTGGACTCCCCATGACCCACTCTCCCTAGGCCTTCAGCCCTCTGAACGGTGGTTCCTGTTAACACGGACTCTGAGCTCCATCCTTTCTGCTGTGCACCATACCTCACGCAGGGCCCGGCACACAATAGTTGCTGCCTAAGAATGTGTTCAATGAACACAGAAATACAGTGGAATTGATTGCTGGGTGTTATCCTTAGGACTCCTTAACTGCATTGTCACCTGAACCAAGAAGTGTCTCTGCACAGCTGTGGCAGAATCTGCAGGACACATATGGTCAAAGGGACTGTGGGCATCACACTCATGCACACCAACACACAAGCCCACCTCATGGGGCATCTGCCAGCTCTTTCTGCCACCCAGCCACCAAAGGCTCCAGCTCAGGGGACTCCGACCCCCTCCTGAAGCTATGACTGTATCACGGCCCTCTGGTGTTTCTCACATGCAACCTGCAATGTGGTAGGAAGTGCGATGCCAATTCTTCCTTACACCCTACCTTCCCATCATTGCCCCACACATCTAGGGCAGAGCACCCAAGGCTGTGAGAATACACCAAGTGAGAAAAATTCTAGAGGAAAGCTCACTGCCATCATCAGCTGAGTGCAGAGAAAGAGCAGGACTTTTCTAGCAGACGTTTCTGAAATAAATAACATCAAGATTCAGAGTTCCAAACAGAACCGCTGCAACCCAAAGGGACCCCTTTCCTCTCTTTGCCTCTGGAATTCACCTTTGTATCCTGCAGACATGTGCTTGGAGCTTTCTGAGAGCCAAGCACTGTGTTAGATACTGCAAGAGAAGCAAAGATGAACAATGCAAGGTCCCAGCCTGCAGAGAGCTCACATTCTACCAGGGGAGATCAGATGCATTTATACAGAGCTGTAACACAGGCAGAAAGTAATAAAGCCCATGAAGAAAGAAGGGATTGCTTCCAGCAGGATGGTCCAAGAGGGCATGGAGGAGGTAGCATTGAGTGGGGTTAAACCCTGGGTAGCATCCAGAACTAGGAAACCCAGGGGCCACTTGAAGGACAAGGAAGGTTGGTTGAAGGTAGTTGTGTCCCTGCCCCTTCTTCATCCATCAACTGCCCTTCCCCAGGCTGCCTATAATTCATCCATTAGAGAAGGAAAAATCAATATTTACCAACATAAATTAAAACCCAGGCAGGGAACAGGCAGAGTATAGGCAGGGCCTGGGAGCAGAGAGTGGCTCCGTGGGCAGCCAGGTGGTAGCCCATGCACATTGGGACCCGGGGATGCTCAGGGGACAGAATGGAGCAGGTGGGCCTTCTGGTCCAGCGGCCTCTGAGACCCCACCAGAGCAAGCCTGTCTCCTCTCCTGCAGCGTCATCCGTAGAGAGCACGGAGACCCCCTCATCGAGGAGCTCAATCCCGGCGACGCCTTGGAGCCTGAGGGCCGGGGCACAGGTGAGGGGCACCTGGGGGATCTGGCCTGCACTGCCCCCTTAGCACTGTTCATACACTGGGGTGAGGGCGGGAGGGACGGGGCAGCCAGTCCCACAGCAGAGCCACTCCTGTCCCTGCCACACTGAGGGCTGAGACTCAAGGGCAGGGGTGAGAGTGGAGATGGGAGAACCCTGGGGATGGCCAGGCAGGAAGCAGAGGAGAGGATGGTCCACTCCCCCAATCCCAGGCTGATGGGGGGTGGGGGAATGGGAATCTGTGGGTCTGTGGGCAGGAGCTTCTCTGGCCATGCCTTGCCAGGTGGGGATGGAAAGGAGAGGAGAGAGCCCCTTCTGCTCTCAGGCAGAGGATCTTGCCATCTGACCCCTCCCCTCTTGGCACTCAGCTTGTTGTCAGACAGAGCACTGGGCCAGGGGTCCCAGAACCCAGCTCTGCCATTGCCTCACTTTGTGGTCTTGGAAAAGTGACTTTACCCTCTGGGTCTTGTTCTCCACATTCATAAAATGGGGATAATTATATCTGCCCTCTTCACCTCTTTGGGTTGTAATGACGACCAAAAGGAGCCTATGTATATGCAAACACTTGGTAAATTGACAAAAAAAAACCTGTGCAAATATAACAGGTGTGTATTATTCAAACCATAATAGAAAGACCAGAAAGAAGACCATGTGGTCTGAGTAATTTGCACACACCCTCTCCATGCAAAGACCAGGGGAAGGAAGGAAATGTCTGTCCCGTGAGTCCTATCATGAGGCTGCTGTTAGGAAGGATAGGAGATGGGTGCCAAGCCCCAGCCTTCCTGCCCCGGTGCTGTGCTTTCTCTGGCTCCCACGCCCAGGGCTGTGGATACTGCACTTGGTTGGGAGCGTGTCTCCTTTGTGGGTCTCCTGGATTACGGCCAGAGGTGAAATCTGCATTGTTTGTAGGGGGTGTGGTGACCGACTTCGACGGAGACGGGATGCTGGACCTCATCTTGTCCCATGGAGAGTCCATGGCTCAGCCGCTGTCCGTCTTCCGGGGCAATCAGGTGCGCTAAGACCTCAGGAGCCACAGATCCCAGCCCTGTGTGCTCTCGGGTACCTTGAGTTGGTGAGGGCAAGGTGCCGGGGTGCTGGCTTGGCCAGCATGGTGGGTAATGGAAGTCCCGGGCCCTGGAGGAGGGAAGTAAATTCCAGCAGCACCGGGAAGCTCAGGAAGGGCCGCCTTGGGAGAAGCCCTTGCCTCTCTGCCTTCCAGTATCATTTATCTGCCAAACACTGTGCCCTGAGTCCCTCGGCTTTTGTCTCCTCTGTCTGCAGTGCCTCTCCTTCATTCAGCCAATCTGTCTTCGCCTCATTCATTTTTCTTGTTTGGCTTCCTGTTTCTATCTTTTTCCTCTGCCTGCTTTCTTCTCTTCCTCCTTCTTCTCCCTCTCCCCCTCCCGTCCTCCCTGGCTCCCTGCTCTTCCCACCCACCATGCTGATGCCCACCGGGTGTCTGCCTCTCACCCTCTCTGCAGGGCTTCAACAACAACTGGCTGCGAGTGGTGCCACGCACCCGGTTTGGGGCCTTTGCCAGGGGAGCTAAGGTCGTGCTCTACACCAAGAAGAGTGGGGCCCACCTGAGGATCATCGACGGGGGCTCAGGCTACCTGTGTGAGATGGAGCCCGTGGCACACTTTGGCCTGGGTGAGTCGGGGTCCGGTGGGGGACAGTGAGCTGTTATCAGGATGCTGACTGATTCAGGGACTCACAGCCCGAGCATCCTTGGGCACCGCTCCGCTCTACTGTGACAGCCATGGTGGACACCAGCTACTGGGGACAAACCCTACTCTGAGATGAGCCTGAGCTCAAGAAGAGGCGAGTGGGAAGTGCTGGTTAGATTTTCATGCATCTCACTTGCTGGAGTCCCCACCCCAGTGCCTCTGTGGAATTAGTTCACCTTGGGGTCAGAGTGTTTAATCCTCCATTTGTTCAAGGCTGTAGGCTTGTTCAAATGCTGGGCTGCACCAAACGTGTCCAAACCAGCTGTTTCCCTGGCCTCTTGGGAGCTGGTTCAGTCTTGGACAGAAGGCTTGGGAAACCATGCGTTCTCAACGGGAGTGAAGTCACCCCAAAGGGGAGAGAGTGGGTTCTTGGCAAGGGCAGGGGGATGACAAAATCCTATCATATATATATATATATATATATATATATATATATATATATATATATATATATATGTAAAAGCATCAGGGGCTGGGCACAGTGGCTCATGCCTATAATCCTAATACTTTGGGAGGCTGAGGCAGGTGGATCCCTTGAGCTCAAGAGTTCGAGACTAGCCTGGGCAACATGGCGAAACCTCATCTCTACCAAAAGTACAAAAAAAATAGCCAAGCGTGGTGGCGCATGCCTGTAGTCCCAGCTACCTGGGAGACTGAGGTGGGAGGCTCGCCTGAGCCCAGGGAGGTAGAGGCTGCAGTGAGCCGTGATTGCACCACTGCACTCCAGCCTATGCTGGAGTGAGTGAGACTCTGTCTCAAAAAATAAAAAAAGCATCAACATGCATATAGCACATGAACAGATATACAGTATATCTGTGGCATTAATGGAACTATCACTACACACCTATTAGAACAAAAATTAAAAATAGCAACAATACCAAGTGCTGACAAGGATCCAGGTAGCTTCTGGAGATCAGAGAAACTGGATCTCTCCTACATCACTGGTGGAAATGTAAAATGATACAGCTACACTGGAAAATCGTTTGACAGTTTATTTTAAGAAAACAAAACAAACCTAAGCAAACAACTGCTACCCTATGACCCAGCTATCATATCGCAAGCCACTTATCTCACACGAATGAAAACTTATATCCACACAAACATCTTTACATTTGTTCATAGTATCTTTATACTTAATAGCCCAGAACTAGAAACAACCTAGGTGTTAATAGTTCAAGTGACTGTGATACAGCCCTTCCATGGAATATTATTCAGCTATGAGAAGAATAAACTATTGATACGTGCAAAAACTTGGTAGATCACCAGGGCACTATGGTGAGTGAGAAAAGGGGAGAAAAAGCTCATCTCCAAAAGTCACGTATGGTAGATTTTTGTTTACATAACATTCTCAAAATGACAAAATTATAAAGACGGAAAACAGATTGGTGGTTGGCAGGGCTTAGAGATGGTGGAAGAGAGAGGGGTGGGTGTGACCATCATCAAGGGCAGCCCGAGAGGGTCTTTGTGGTGCCTCATGCCATGGCAGATCCCTGGGTAGGCAACCTGCAACCATTGGGTGAAACTGGGTGAAGGGCGCAGAGGAGCTCTCTGTACTATCTTTGCAATTTCCTGTGAATCTATAATTATTTTAAAATACAACATTTTAAAATAAATGTATGGGGGGAATTGGGGAAAAAGTCTAAAGAGGCTTCTGGCAGGGTAAGGGGATTACAGTGATGGAAAAAACATTGAGAAACACCAGCAGGAGTAGAGGAGCCCAGAGTGTCTTCACTGAAATGCAATGGTTCAGAAAGCACTGGAGTCAAACATTCCTAGGTTCAAAATCAGACACCTTCCCCAGGTGTTCACACCTCATGAGATGATACCATTTTAATATAAAAGGAATAGGCACTATGGTCTCAAATTAGTAAATACAAATGTTAATATTATACACACATATGTGCAGAAAAAAAACTGAAAGGCAATGCAAAAAGTGAGAACAGTGATTCTGTCAGAGTGGCTGGATTAATATAGTAACTCTCACTTATTCTAGACACAGTGCCAAGCACTTCACTCTTATTACTTCATTTAATCCTCATGACTACCTTGTGAGATGAGCAATATTATCCCCATGTTACACATGGGAAAACTGAAGATCAGAACAATTAAGAAACCTGCCAAGGTCACATGATACTTAAATGGCAGCACTGGGATTCAAACCCAGGCTTCCTTGAGCGTGTGGTTTTTATTTTCTTCCATATGTTTTGTCGTGTGTGTGTGCTCCAATTTTTATAGGGAACACATAATATTTATGTGTAGTCTGAAAAAGAAGCAATAAATATTTAGGGGACCCAGAGCCTGGTTATATGATCATTTTCTTGGGCTATTTCACCCTGGATAAGTCAGCCTGAGGTTGGAGTGTTTATCACTCCTAAGGCAGCTATGTGCTAAGCTGGCCCTAAAGGCACAAGATACCTTTTAAATACATAGTCCTGTCTTGCAAAGTAGCAGTAGCCGACACTTATCAAGCAATTAGTATGTGCCAGGCACTGGGCTGAGTGGTTTGCCTAAGTCACTTCATTTGATTTTCACAACTTGAAGAATCAGGTAACATAACCCACATTTTACAGGTCAGAAAACTGAGGCTGAGGTCAAGTAACTTGCCCCAAACCACACATCTACAGAGTAAGGAGAGCTGGATTTGGATCCCACCTCCCTGACGCCACGGTCTGAGTTCCTGACTGTGGCTTAACACCTCTGGTAGCTGCTTTGTGCAGCCAGCCAAGCACCAAGGTGACCACCACGGTATCGTAGGTGGTTGCTTATCCAGGGTTCTGGTTGGATATCAACTCCCCCACTCCGTTGTGCCAATAAGGACATTGAGGCTCACCTCGCAAATCAATGGCAAGGGCAGAATGGGGGCTGAGATTCTCCTTCCCCACATCTCAGGGGCAGCCTCTGCTATTTTAAGAGGTGTATTAGGGGCCTCACTTGGTCCCTTCTCTGGCCAGAATCTGCCCTGCCAGGAGAATAGATTGCTTTTTTAACTGGAAAGCCTTAGCCAGGTCATGTGGTGGGGAGAAGGAGGCTCAAGAGCCCCTTCTGGGCACCTACTCCCCACACTCAGGCTTATGTACACTGCACTTCATTGGGAGCTCCGCCTGGTGCAAGTCCTTGCTATTTTGCAAGGCCCTGGGATTTGTTCTTGGTCTGAACTCTGGCTCAAACTGCTCTAAGGGGCCTCCCGGCAGACTCCTCTCTCTGTTGACAGGGTCCATTCCCAGCGGCACTAGAAGGCAGGCTGCTCTAGGGGCAGGGCCCTTGGGTCACGAGGCGCCTCAGCAGGTGGCCAACCCAGCCGCCAGGGACACAGCGAGAGGCGGGGCAGTTCCATCCCTGCAGCTCCAAGGCCCCTCTGGATCTTTTATGAGTGGAGCTCAGCACAGCCCTTCCTGACCGATGGGGGAGCCAGCAATGGAGCAGGAGCGAGGGCGCCAGTGGAGAAGGCCAGATGGAGGGAAGGACATGGGGGTGCGAGAACAGGGGGCGACAGAAAGACAGAGGTGAACCTGTGGAAGACCAAGAGAGGCAGAGACATGGGGAAAGAGGCAGAGAAGAAATGCCCCCTGCCCTCCAGGCTGGCAGTGGGCGGAGGAAGGCAGATGGACACGGGACTCTCATGCAAGGCAGATCTGGACACACCGCCATACTGGCCCCGTGGCCATGAGAGGACTCAGGCGAGAGAAATCAGTTTTGTTCTGGGCAGCTTCCCAGAGGAAGTGGGACTGGAATTAGGTCTAGAAGGACAGTAGGAGCTTAGAAGGGGTGGACGAGGGCCTAAGGAGACCATTCTAGGAGTTGGGCTGGCTTGGCCAAAGGCCCAGAAGTGGGAAGGTCCAGTCCAAAGAACGGGAATGTTTGGGAAATTTTTTTTTTCTGATTGTAAAAACAATGTATATTGATTATAGGAAAATAAGAAAACTATTTTTAAAAGAAGAAAAATTACTCATCATTTCACCACTGTTTGGAATATTAAGGAAAAAGTAAATGTTTCTTCCTTCACCTTCCCTCAATATCATTTGATTCATTTAGTGACTACATATTTACTGAGCACGTACTGTGTGCCAAACATAAAACTGAAGATCCTTGCCACAAGCCATCTACGTTCCAGTAGAAGGAACTTATATACATAATACACATAGTAAATAGGTAAATATATAAAATGTTAGAAGATATAATGGGCTACAAAAAAAGAAAATGCAGCCGGGTGCAGTGGCTCACGCCTGTCCTCCCAGCGCTTTGGGAGGCCAAGGCGGGCAGATCACCTGAGGTCAGGAGTTTGAGACCAGCCTGACCAACATGGAGAAACCCCGTCTCTACTAAAAATACAAAATTAGCTGGGCGTGGTGGTGCATGCCTGTAATCCCAGCTACTCGGGAGGCTGAGGCAGGAGAGTCACTTGAACCCAGGAGGCAGAGGTTACGGTGAGGCAAGATTGTGCCATTGCACTCCAGCCTAGGCAACAAAAGCGAAACTCCGTCTCAAAAAAAAAAAAAAGAAAGAAAAGAAAAGAGAAAAGAAAATGCAGAACAGAGGAATGGATTGGGAGTGCAGAGAGGAAGGGGCAACAAGGAGCAGTTTTCCAACACAGTGGTCCAGGTTGGACAGGTCATGCTTGTGATATGCCTTTATTACGTGTCATATACACAGGAACACACTTACAGACACATATTTCTTGGCAATTTTTAAAATCAAAAGAATGATATTTTCCAATTGTTTCTGTAACTTGCTTTTTTTCCCCCTCTTAACCTATGTCCAAGGCTGGGTACAGCGGCTCATACCTGTAATCCCAATGCTTTGGGAGGCCAAGGAGGGAGGATTGCTTGAGGCCAGGAGTTCAAGACCAGCCTAGGCAACATGGCGAGACCCCCCTTTCTACAAAAATTAGCCCGGTGTGGTGGTGCAAGCCTATAGTCCCAGTTACTCAGGAGGATGAGGCAGGAAGATCGCTCAAGGCCAGGAGTTTGAGGCTGTAGTGAGCTATGATCACAACACTGTACTCCAGCTTGGGTAACAGAGTGAGAGCCTGTCTTACATACACGTGTGAGAGTGTGTGTGTGTGTGTGTGTGTGTGTGTACACATCCTGGACAGCATACCAAGTCTGTGCATATATCTTGTTTCCTTTCAGTGCTGTGGAGTATTTCACTGTGAGACAGCACTCACACTCATCATCTATTTACCCAGTCCCCTCTGGAAGGACAGTTAGATTGTTTCCAATTCTGAGCAGTTGGGGTGAGAAGCGGGAATGTCAACAACATGAATCTGAGAAAGGCCTGCCTTGAGGTCCCGCATGACTGAGGAGTAGAGGGGAGGGGCCGGCGGGAAGCTCCCCTGCCAGCACTCACAAGGCTTCAGCTTGCCTGCCCCCAGGGCCCCTGCCCCCTTCCTGCCTCCATGAGTCACGCGCTGCCTCCCCATGACTTTGCAGCAAGGTGCAGTGCGCATGTGTGAGTACACGGACATGTATGTGAGTGTGTACACGTGTGCATCTCTCAGACAGCCTCAGCCTTGCCCCATGTACATCGTGTCTGCTCCCGCGGGAGCACACCCAGAGGACGCAGGCCCTCACCTGTACTCCCCACCTCCGTCCATGGGTAATGAGTGCATGCGGGGTTCCCAGAGGGCCCACTGTGTTGTGCAGAGCTCTCATAGCGACATCTTGCTGTGGGGTCCCTTCTCAGTGGACCCTGCCTTGCTCAGTGGACCCCCCCCCACCAAGTTCCACAGCCCCTCTTCACCCTGGCCTGTCCCTGCTGCTCCTCGGTGCAGACGGACCTCCAGCTGAAAATAAGCATTTCTGCTTATGGCCCTGGTCGAGGGCTCCCCCACCGCCAACCTGGTTGCTCGGAACCCACCCCCAAGCCCCACATGCCCACCCTCCACTTCCCAGCTGGCAGCGGGCTGAGGCAGCTCACTCCCAAACCCGGAAAATAAAAACAACACCAATCATCTATTTGCCTCCGCCAGCTCCACTGGGAGTCACTGGCTCAGGCAGCCACCCCAACCATTCTCCCTCCCCCCTTCCCCCTCCCCCCCTTCCCTCCCGCCTCCACTGCCCCTGGTATTGCTGGTGCCCCAGCCCCACCCACACATGCCACCGCCTTTCAGCTAATTGCTTGCAGGTGACTCAGAGCTGCCTCTCCGAGCCGGCTGATGCTCATTTAGGGAAGGGAAATTCAGTGGCCCACATAAAAATTGCTTTATTAAAGTGCAAAAATATTCTACCAACTGTATTCCCACCATCTGTTTTGTTTGTAATTCTTCTGAAAAGTGCAATTCTCTCTGCCTCCTTGGCCTCTGTCCTTTAAAAGCTGCCAGAGGTGACTCACTGCTGCTCCTGACCTCATGTCTCTGCTGGTTAATGGGGGGCGCTCTTCTGCTCAGCCCTCCCCTATACACAGGCCTGGCAGGACCAGCTGGCTTCGAGGCTGCTGGTGTGCGGTGTCTGGGAGCCAGTCCCCCTCAGCCCGTGCAGCCCCGGAAAGACTTAAGATGTTACGCAGATTTCCTGGGCAGAGGGATGAGCTGCGCCTAAGGACAGGAGACTGGTTTCCAGTCCTAGCTCAGACACCTGCAAGTCACTTCCCCTTGTCAAGCCTCAATGTCAGTATCTGGAGAATGGGGATAAATACCCACCTCGTAAGTGTGAAGCCTCTGAAGCCCCTCCCCAGTCTCCTCTGATACACATTCCCACCTGATACACATTCTGACACTCTTTCCCGCTCTGAACTTCTTCCCGATCTTCAGCTACAACTTACCCTTTCACGCTGCTGTACCTTGGCCCACACTGTATCCTCTCCCTGGAACGCTCCTTCCTTCCCTTCTCCGCCTCACAAACTCTTACTCCTCCTGCAATACCCAAATGAAATGACCCATCTCTCTCACCACATGGTAACAGTGCTGTTGTGGCACTTTCCCAGCTTATAATATAATCACTTGTATTCATCGCTCCCATGGGAATCATGAGAATGGGGCCTGGGTCTGTCTCATTCTCTGTTGAATCCCAAATCCCTGCACAAAGCTTGGTATATGGTGGCTGCTGGGCGTGGGATAGGGTGGGCAGTGTAACAGGGGCACAGTAGATACCGGCTCTGGGATCTCTCGGACCTCTGCTGGGCAACTGGGCGATTCACTGCATCTGTCCATGGCTCCACCTTCTCATCTCTAAGGCAGAAATGATAACACTGGCACCTTCCTCGTGGAGATGTGAAGTTTCGATGCGTTAGCATCATAAAGCACTTGGTACAGCTTGGGGCACGCTGTCAGTGTTCACTGTTGTTACCAACACCTGAAAGCCCTTTGGAAACTGTAGGGAGACCCCATGACCAAGAGCCGATGGTGCCAGGGATGCTGAGGTGAATGGTTAACAGCAGGCCAGGACTCCTGCTCCAGGGTAGAAAGGCTGTGCTTCCTAGGAGTGGTAAGGCTGTTGGCCAGCACCCCCATCTTACAGATGAAGTAGCTGAGGCCCAGAGAGGATGCCCAAGTTAGCAAAACACAGTGGCAGAGGAGGGAGTCCTGCTGGTTGTGCTTTCTGAGGCCTGCTTATCTCATAGCCCCAGGCCCCCTGCACCACGTCTGGGTCTGGAGGAAGCTGCGGAAGCAGTACTCAAAACTAAGTCCCGCTGGTGGTGGTGACTCACGCCTATAATCCCAGCACTTTGGGAGGCCGAGGCTGGGTGGATCACCTGAGGTCAGGAGTTCGAGACCAGCCTGACCAACATGGAGAAACCCCATTTCTACTAAAAATACAAAATTAGCCAGGTGTGGTGGCAGGTGCCTGTAATCCCAGCTACTCGGGAAAGCTTTAGGCAGAAAAATTGCTTGAACCTGGGAGGCGGAGGTTGTGGTGAACTGAGATCCCACCACTGCACTCCAGCCTGGGCAACAAGAGCAAAACTCCATCTCAAAATAAAAACAGAAAAAAAAAAAAAAAAAACCTAAGTGCCGCAAGTACCACATGCAAATCTGTGATTGTCTATGAATATTCCGTGACTCTTTTGGGTCCTTTGTGGCCCTTCAGTCAGTCTGGAAAACACATTCATGTAGCTGTTCTGCAGGCTTAGGTAAGAAACATTTGCTGTTCTTTGTCTCCTTCTTTTAATGGCAAATATTTACCTTTTATATGTGCCACTTAACTTGGGAACTGTACACCCTGAAAATGCCAAATCTCTTGCGCCTCAAGATTCTACTTCAAATTAGAAAAAAAAAAAAAGAAATCTGGCCGGGTGTGGTGGGTCACGTCTGTAATCCCAACACTTTAAGAAGCTGAGGTGGGTGGATCACTTGAGGTCAGGAGTTTGAGATCAGCCTGGCCAGCATGGCGAAACCCTGTCTCTACTAAAAATACAAAAATTAGCCAGGCGCGGTGGTACATGCCTGTAATCCCAACTACTCAGGAGGCTGAGGCAGGAGAATGGCTTCAACCTGGGAGGGGGAGGTTGCAGTGAGCTGAGATCCCACCACCACACTCCAGCCTGGGTGACAGATTGAGATACTATCTCAAAAAAAAAAAAAGAAAAAAGAAAAAAAAATCTGTAGTTGGCACTCCCCAGTCCCATTTTCACCCCGCTTCTGCAGAAGGAATTCTTGTAGATTGAGGGAGTGATGAGAAATAATTTCTTGCTTGATAAAGCAAAACCCAGAACGGTAAGGTTGGGCCTGGAAAGAGAGGATTTCCCTGTGGGAAGAGAAACTGAGCTGTGTGGGAGGGGAACTCAGTGTGTGAGGATGAGCCTCTGTCTCCGAGCCTCTCCGTTGCTGCTGCCTGCTGTGCCCATGAGGGCAGCGGCTGCCTCTCCATGGACTCTTCAGAGTGTAGCTCTGGTCCTGGCCCTCATAGGCTCACAGCATGGCAGCAGCAAGGCTGGGATGTTCCAGTGATACTCCCCTGGAGGCCAGGGTGAGAGAGCAAAAGGAGACCAAACATGGGAAGGATCTAGAAGCTGGGGGATGTGGCTCACAAGGCGTAACTCCCTCTGGAACCTCCCTCATCATGGGTCCTCCCCCCAGCACCCGGCTCCCTTCCTCCATGCCCCACAGTGGTCTCTACAGGAAGTCTACACAGAGATTCTCCTCCAAGTCTGCATGTGGCCTCCAAACCTCCTTTTCTAAAATATGGGAACCCCTTTTATACATCAAGACATTTTGCCAACTACCGTCCACCCCATAGTAGCTATCATTGTAAAATTCATTGGTGGATAGTAATGACCAAATGCGAATATACATTCAACAGCAATTTTAAGTTTAATTTGTTTTCTAACAGTATCTACATATATTAGGAAAAATAATGGTGCATATATGTGGGTGATATATTATTTAGCCTGGGAATGGTGTTTGGGGGAGTGTATTGACTTCAGGTCCCCCTGCAGGACCCCGTGTCCCCACATCTGCTCAGCCCTGATGGGTGATAGAGTGGGCTGTGTTCTCCCCCTGTCTGTGCTGGGCACAGCTCTCCTTCCCAGGGGCTGACCTGAGAGCAGCCTCTCCTGGAAGGTGAGGCCCAGCCCCCGCCTCCTCCCCACCCCAATCCATCACCATTAGCCTGACCTTGCCACAGTGACGGGCCTGTTTCCTTACGCGGGGAGCTGGGGCCTGCTTTGACAGTGCCTAAACATCTGACAAATCTTTTCAGCCTGCTTTCCACCAATGATGTGGCACGTTGCTTTAGGGTTGTGTGCAAATGGATTCACTGTGAATATCTCTGAGGTTCCCATCATCTTCTGTAAGCATCTTAGATTTGTAGAATGGTCTTTCTCCCCTGTCCTCCACCTGCCATCTCTTTATCACTCCATCTTTTCTAAGTTGTTTTTTGTTTGTTTTTATTTTTTTCAGAAACAGGGTCTCACTATGTTGCCCAGGCTGGCCTTGAAGTCCTGGGCTCAGCCAATACTTCTGCCTCATCCTCCTGAGTAGCTGGGATTCCAGGCATGAGCCACCATGCCCAGCTCTTTTTCCAAGTTATTATGTAGAGCTCAGTGCAAATGCCGCCTCCCTAAGAGGCTGTCCCTGACCACCTGACTAGACAAGGCCCTGGCAACCCCCAGCTCCTCCTTACCTACTTGCCCTACTTTTGTCAATATCTGGCATTATTTATTTGTTCATCTGTTTGCTTGTCTCCCCAACTGGACTGGGAACTCCATGAGAACAGGGGCATCCCCAGTGACAAGAGAGAGCCTGGCCCTTAGCAGAGCTCAATAAATAGAAACACAAGAAGCATTCCTGGGATAACAAAGCCAGTTAGCTGCACAGCTGGGATTTGTCCCCAGGTCTCCCACCCACTTCCCACCATGCTCTTTCCAACATACCAGGTAAGGGGTAGAGCCATGATTTGAATGCCAGACTCCAAAGACAACCTGCTTATCACAGGCCTTACTGTATCCTCCAGTACAGCCTCCTGATGCTTGGCCTGTCTGCTAGAACGTGAGTTCAAGAGCTGCACTATCCAACATGGCAGCCACCAGCCATGTGTGGCCATTAAATTTAAATTAATTAGAGTTAAATAAAATTGAAAATTCACCTCTTCAATCACGTGAGTCCCACTTCAAGTGCTCAACAGCCACATGTTACCAGTGGCTACTGTACTGGACAGCACAGATGCAGGACATTTCTGTCCTTGCAGACAGACAGGTCTATTGGACAGCATTGCTCCAGAGAGGAGGGACCTCAAATCTGTCTTGTTCACCATTTCCCTAGCACTTAGAACAGTGCTCAATTCATGCTTTTATTCAATGGATGAATTAGTTGATGCTGATGCTTCCGCTGAGAGCCTCCTGCTCTCCTCTGCTGCTGATGCTCTCTCCTTCTGCCCCTCAGGGAAGGATGAAGCCAGCAGTGTGGAGGTGACGTGGCCAGATGGCAAGATGGTGAGCCGGAACGTGGCCAGCGGGGAGATGAACTCAGTGCTGGAGATCCTCTACCCCCGGGATGAGGACACACTTCAGGACCCAGCCCCACTGGAGGTGGGCAAAGGCATCTGGGCCTCATAGCCAGAAAAGCGGGCACCACCCACAACCCCATGGGCTGAAGCTGGGTTCCCAGGAATCTGCAAACTCAGCCTCTAGAGTGATGGAAATCTTGGCAAAGCGAAGGCTTCATACTGATCCCTCCATTTGTAGTTTGCACAACACTATCACACCCACATCTCTTCTGCTTCTCAAAGAATCCCTGGTGTATTGGCAGGGCAAGCATTTTTGCACCCATTTTACAGAGGAAGAAAACTGAGGTTAAGAGAGGAAATCCACCAAGGCCCACCAAGGCTGTACAGCCAGTTGTGAGCAAAGTTTTAAAATGACCCCAGGTCTGTTGCTGCCCTCCTGGTTCTTTCTGAGTCTCTGACAAGACCTCCTATTGCCCTAGGGTGGGGCTCAGAGCCTGCACCAGGTTTTCTGGAGGCTCTTTGAGGAGCAGCTCTGGACCCATCTCAGCAGTGTCGTTCCAACTCTGATGGGGTTCACTTGGTGGCGATTAACAGGAACCCACTGAAACTGACACAAATGAAGGGGGCTTATAAGGAGGATCACTCATAAAACTCAGGGAAGCTCAGGATGAGTAGAAACTGGCAGCTTGATGGCCTCAGCCCTAGGAGCTCAAGGACCTTTGTCAGTGCACTGGCTTTGGGAGGAGAGGGGCCCCTCTTCCCCAACAATCCCCATCCACCCACCTCATTCATCAGTACGGTTGATTGACATTTTGTGTCATGTGTGTTACGTTTTTAGTCCCCTGCCCCACCCCAGGCTGCTGTCTCTGAGACCCCCATATGGGCATGGTAGAGCCTCCACAGCCTGGCAGGGCCGGCTCCCAACTCTTAAGTCTCTGAGTCAATTTGTTCAAATTCTTGCTGCAAAGCCTTGAGTCTTCCCTCCTGCTAGGATGTCCACCCATCAGCCCTGGCCAGAGAGGTGGGACACAAGCATGGCTGCAGGCACCCACCCGTGTGAGGGAGAGGTTCTTGGAGAAGTGAATGTGGGCAGTGAGCAGACACCTCAAAAAGCATCTCCCAGCCCTCATTACACTTTGCCCTGACAGACCCAGCCTCAGTCACAGGGTGATGCTACAGAAGGGACAGGTTCTGTTAGACGTCCCAGCTCGTGTGGATCCTTTGCACAGGGAAATGAGCAAGAGTCTGAACCGTATCCATTCATGGCCTTCCCGCCAGCCTTCTGTTCTCAGCGCAAAGGAAGGGTCTTACAAGGGAGGGGGCTCCCCCCAGGCCCAGAGCTCAGAGCATGCCTCACACTGTGGTTAGGGTGACAACTACTCTGTGGCTGTGACTAGGAGGGAACCTGGGATGGGACCTTCTCAACTCACTCATGTCTCTGCTTCTGCCCACCTTACAGTGTGGCCAAGGATTCTCCCAGCAGGAAAATGGCCATTGCATGGGTGAGTTGCCTTCAGTCACCAGGGCATGGGGTAGAGGCCGGAATCTCCCTGGGGAATGCCCGCCTGACTCATGCCAAGGTCCAGGGTGCAAGCAAGGGGCAGAAAGGAGGACAGGGGAGGGTGTTGTTTGTCCTGGGACTCCAGATGCCAAGACAACCACCACATGACTCACCAGGGTGGGAGTGATATTAGTGACCCACAGGCTGAATCACTGCGGTTCTGGAAACTGGCAGTGTTTTCCTGCCATGAGTACCGAGAAACTGCAGATGGGAAGGAGACACACCACCAACCTGGCACAGGGGGAATAGCCACATGCCATGGCCAGCAAGTCCATGTGGAGCAGCAAGCAAGGGGGCTGGCAGGCAAGGGTGTGCATTGCCAAGGGCATTGGGGCAAAATAGTGTATGGAGTGTGGTCACAGTGTGGAACGGAGACTGCAGCCTGGTGCAGTACTGGGGCAGGCAGGTAGCTGCAGCACTACCAGGATGGCAGCTCCTTGACGGTCCAAGAACCTTCTGAAAGTCCCCAAGAGCCTGGAATGGGAAGGGGCAGCCTAGAAGTTCAGTGTCCAGGAGACCTTCACCCCCAACACTTTCCATCCCAGTGACCAGCAAGGAGGGGTCAGGCCAAGGATCCCTCCTTCCTTGAACCCTCATCCAGCATTCTTCCCAAGTCTACTCTGCAGCTGCTCATTAACCCTTTGCTACTGAGATACAGGAGTAAACAAGACAGATACCACTCTCAGGAGCTGAAAACCAATGGAGAGCCACAAAAGTAAACAGCTGTCGACCACACAGTGTGATCAGGGCCCAGATGGGGGAGGGCAGGGGCTTGGAGATGACAAAGCAGGGGCCCTAAACCAGCCTAGGGAGGGTCCTAGAAGGTGCCCTAGAGAAAGTGAGGTCCAAGCTGGGCCCTGAGGAATGAGGAGCAGTTCGGCAGTCACAGAGAGGGGAGACATGGTTCTGGTGGGGGGCACTGTCTGAACAAAGGAGCACAGGTGGGGAGGTGGAGGAGCAGTGGTGCCAAGGGTGGCTGGAGGAGGAAATGACTCCCCTACACTCTCCACATGCCCACCCAGCCCCACTCCAAACACATAGTGCAGGTGCATAGAAATTCCAGAGTCTTCTCTGCCTGCAGGAAGGACCCTTTGAGATCAGCCTCCTCTTCCTTTTCATCGCCCAACAGGCAGTTATGTGCCTCGTACACAGCAAGTGTCATGCTGGGAGCTGGGGATGTAGGCCAAGTGCCACCCCCGCGCCTCCACAAGAGGGGCATCCATTCTAGTGGAGGGAGACAGACCCTGAACGCATGACCACACACCTGGACAAGATGATTTCAGAACCCTCTGAGCAAGGTGCTCCCTGGAGACTGTTCCAGAGAGAGTGGTCAGGGAGGGCCTCGGGGGGAAGACTCTGAGCTGAGACCTGAAGGATGAGAAGGATCTAGGCCCAGAAAGAGTTGAGGGAAGGGCAGGAGTGAAAAGCGGGAGACAGGACAAAGGCTTTGTGTGTTGAAGGAGCAGGAGGGATGCCAGTATGGCCTGGAGATGATGGAGAGTCCATGAGGCCCCTGTAGGGAGTCTGAATTTTGCTCTTAGGAGCCTTAGAAGCTAAACTGGGGAGTGACATGATGTGATTCACATTTTTAAAGGCTCCCTCCAGCTGCTGAATTGCAGAGTGGATTGGAGGGAAGAGGGGAAGCCAGGTATTCTGTGAGGAGGCAGCTGCAGAAATCCAGGCAAGAGGTCACGATGGCAGGAAATTGGGTGGTGGCAGAGGAATGAGAAAGAGGTGACAGAGAGAGGTGGACTGGTGGACTGCGGGGCAGAGTGGACAGGCTCTGCTGTGAAATTGCACAGGGGGCAAGAAAGACGGAGAAATCAGGGGTCGCTCTGATTTCCCCTTGAGCAGCTGATTGATGATGGGGGTGTTGATTGAGCTAGAGAAGACAGAACAGAGGGCCAGAATATGGGCAGGGCAGGGCAGAATCTGGAGTTCTATTTTGGACATATTAAGCATGAGGTGCATCTTAGACATCCAAGTGGAGCTGTCAAGTAGGTCATGGGTTATTGTATTCGTGAGTCTGGAGCCACGGGGAGAGGTTGTGACTGGAGATAGAACTTTCGGAATCATCCATGCATGAAGAGATCACCTAGAACGATTGTAGTAGACAGAAGAGAGGACCCAGGACCAAGCCTGAGTGCCCACCCCCTGCCCCCAGCATGTAGAGACCAAGTACAGGAGGAGCCAGCCAAGGGAACTGAAGCAGGGAAACTGAGGCTCTGCGAGGAAGGCACATTCCCAAAGCCAGACAGTGTATAGGCAGGCAGAGCCTGGGCTGGTACTTGCTGCCCCACACCTTCATGGTGAGTGGTTCCCCTCGCCTTGCAGACACCAATGAATGCATCCAGTTCCCATTCGTGTGCCCTCGAGACAAGCCCGTATGTGTCAACACCTATGGAAGCTACAGGTGCCGGACCAACAAGAAGTGCAGTCGGGGCTACGAGCCCAACGAGGATGGCACAGCCTGCGTGGGTGAGTGGGGCCCCAGCCATAGGCCAGTAGCAAAAGGATGTTGCTTTCCACTGGGGAGCTCTGGGTAGGCCCCAGATCAAGGTCCCCAGCCCCTTCCTTCTCCTGGCTGGATAGAGTCTCCTTTGACCCATATTGGGTCTCCAGGGAAGACCATGACAGAGGCTTGGAGAAGCCCCATCACTTCTACCATCACCTGAAGGGCCAGGGGATGCTGTGTCCTGGCCTGAGGCTATCATTCTTCTTACTTTTCCTAAAACAACTGTTCCTACCTTGAGGTCAGCCCGTATTTTCATAGCTGGGATATAAACTAACTCCTACTACTCATCTTTGGCTGAATTTCTAAACTGGTAATTTCTTCTTCCCAAACTCCTTCCTCCACCCCCACCCCGTCCCCACCCCCTTTCTCTTTTTCCCATTTTCTGTCTCCCCGCCGCATCGTTTTTGCAGCTCAAGTGGCCTTTTTAGGTGGGTATTCTTCAGCCGCCTCTAGAATCTCTGAGCCTCTCTCTCGGGCCTCATATCTTTCTCTAGGCCTTGGACTTTGCCTTCAGTTATATGCACTTTAAATCCCATCAATAAAGGAAAAAACAAAACAAAACTAACAGCCTTTGTGGAAAACTAAATCTCTCTCCTGCTGCTTGTCTCTCTCTCCACGCCCAGTAGGTTCTGCTGTGTGCTCCCTCTGAATGGACAACAGGGGTGGCCATCTTTGAAAAGGGAAGGTTGGGCGATACTGACACAACCTTAGTTGTTTGTGAAGACTTTCTTTGCATGTTTTCTGAGAAAACAGAAAGGAAAGTCTCCAATACCCCATCCAGTCTCCCTCACTCCTTCAGAAGAATCAAGATAGTCTTGTATCCTCCAGTGTCTCGTGAGCTCATTATTTTGCCCTTAACAAAGATGGCTCCCAGGTGGTTGCTTGCCGGTTGATCCGATAATGTACCATGTGCCTGCTGGTTTGGCCTGTGCTGTTTCTGCTTTTTGCCCCTGACTTCCTGTGCTAGAGAAAGCCTTATTGGTGTTGGTGGTGGTGATGGGAGGGAAAAGGGTGGTCCTTTGGGACTCTTGATAAAAATGTTATCATTTGAACTTGCTAAGCCTTCCAGCCTCTTTTCTGAAGAAATTATGCCAATAAACTCTCTACTAGATATTAGTGCCAAACTGATGATAAAAAGGGTCTGGGGCAAGTAGAACTGATTGGAATGCTGAATTAGGAGCAGCCCTTCCACCATGAGATGCTTTGAAAGCAGATCATAACACAAAGCAGGTGTCACCCTCAGGCACCAGCAGTGGTTTGGTTGCGTACAACAATGTTCACATTTGGGGGACCAGGGTTTGGGCCAAGTGAAGGATGTGTGATGAGTGAGGGGCAGAAATGGAGTGTGTACTCTAGGCCTTTTACCTGCAGGAAGTCACTTCTCCATGCTGTGCCTCAGTTTCCCTAATGTAGATGACAAGAGAGTTGGGCTGGTATATCCCTAAGGGCCTTTCCTTTCTAAGACTCCTCAATGTCTGGCTGGACATAGGCCTGGCTCATCTCAGGTTACTCTGATTTCTAGAAAGAACCTTGCTACTTGGTCTCTGCAATCTCCTTGGAAAATAGAATGCTCCTGTAGCCAGAACACTCTTTGGAAATGATGTAACGCCACAGAATATGCTCACGACCAGCCTCAGTAGTGAAGGCTTGTTATAAAACATAGATCTATTCTTCATGGGGAAAAAAAGTCATCCCAGGATATAATAAAATTACACTTAAGAATGCAGCAACCCTTTTAAAAACATATTCAACAAAAAAAAAGCCCCTGCCATTTTCTGATATCATGGTAATACTCCTAATAAATCACAAAATATGAATTCCTTGTAGCTAGTGCTGTTTTTACACTTAGAACAGAAGCATAAATGAAAAGTTTTTAAATTAAAACAGCTACAATTTCCCTGAAAAGCAGACACCAACTTAAAAATCATTCCACTTCTAGAAAGCCCATTCCTGTGTATTGACATAGAACTAAAGATCTGAAAGGGCTCCAGAGATGAGGCTCAGAGAGCTGAAGTGTTCAAGGTCACTGTGCCCAAGGTCATGGAGCCCACTGCTCCCCAGGCCAGGGCTGGAGCCCTTTCCCACCACACCATCTTGTCAGAGGGTAACAGGCAGCTCTGTCACTGTTCAGACTATTCCCTAGTCCTTCTGGAAGCTGCTGCCTTTTAAAAAATGAACAAAGTGGATCTAAGATAGTGAGATAAGTAAAACCCAAAACCCATGGAGGAATGGTTCCAAATGCAGTGGTAAATGACAAGATAACAGAGCCCATTGACTGTCCATACACAACAGCACAAGAAATAAGGGACAAGACAACTACAGAGATGGCCTGCCAAGGACATCAGGGGGTTCAGGGTGACAGCAGACTTCAGATGATGCCTTATAAGTGACAACCATGAATGCCTTCACAATGAGTTTTATATAACAGGGTATATCTGTGTCATGTGATCCTGTTGGGTGAGTGGGGTCCAGTGAGTTGCAAAGAGGAGTTCTAAGTTCCCACAGCTGATAAGAGCACCACTGCAGCACTCAGACTCCAGGATAAGGCTTCCATTTGATTCATTCATGAGTTCAACAGATACTGATTGAGCACCTACAATGTGCCAAATATTTGGTTAGGCTCTAGGCGTACAATGGTAAATGAAGGTAACAATGGTAAGTAAAAGTAATATGTGTTGATCCCCTACTACTATGTGCAGGTACTGAGCTAGGCTCTAGGCATACAATGGTAAGTGAAAGCAATATTTGTTGAGCCCCTACTGTGTGCCCAGTACTGAGCTAGGCTCTAGGCATACAATGGTAAGTGAAAGTAATATTTGTTGAGCACCTATTATGTGCCAGGTACTGAGCTACGCTCTAGGTATGTAATGGTAAGTGAAGGTAACATTGTTGCCACCCCTACGCTGCCTTCCCTCCAGCCAGATAGAGGAGCCAAGTGCATGGGATGGGAGTGGGACACCAAGGGGCTTTCTAAAAAGTTGAGCTGAATTCTCAGGTTGCTATACCAGAAAGCAAGCTCTCTGCATTCATTCATTTACATATTCATTCAGCAAGCATTTATTGAGAATATCCTGTATGACAAGCACTAGGTTCCTCCCATGAGGAATGTGATAGAGACCCTCTAATGAGGTGGACAAGTCCCCTGCCCCCAAGATGCTTGTGTTGCAAGAGATACAAGGCTGAAAGATACAGAGGACAGGTGGATAGTGAACCCACTCAACATTACCTACCCCCTTACCAAAAAAAAAAAAAAAAAAAAAAAAAAACAGAGCCTCCTCATTGAGCTAGCAGTACAGGCTTTTTGAACAGGTGCCTCAAATTCAATGCATCTACTGGTCTGTGCTATACCAGCCACAGATTTGCGGGTGCAAAGCCACCCCCAAGCTACCCAGGCTCAGCATTCCCATTCCCCTCTTTCTTCTAATCCCTTTCTCTGAGACCCGTGGGAGCCCAAACCGTTCCGTCCCCTCCTGCACACAGATAAGTCTGTCTTTTCCCTGTCCCTTAGCCCCACCTAGGCTCCTGACATCTTTGTTGCCTTATGCTACACTTTAATTTGTAACAAAAATAACAAATGCCTTTAGGGGCAGTCAAGTAATGAAATGGACCCGGAAGGGATTATGCAAATGGAGGAGCTGGTGCCCCACCTGCCTGCACCAGGCAGCCACAACTCACTCCAGTGGGAAGGTGGGCCAGTGCTGCCACAAAAATGCTCCCCATTTTTCAACAAAAAAGAAATAATAAGAATAATACCATTTTTATTCTGCTCAAGAATACTCCCTCTTCACAGGCACATACCCCTTAAAATGACAATAATAGCTTACATTTAGTGGGCTTGGCGTGTCTGGGTTGAATCTAAACTCTTTACAATAATCAACTCGTTTAATCCTCATAATAATCTCAAGAGGAAGGTATTGTAATTATCCCACGTTTACAGATAAGCTAAATGGTTTGTGCAGGGTCATACAGCCCAGACAGACGAAGGCAGGACTGGATCCCAGGAGTCTGGCTGTCAGCTGGCACTCTCAACTACCACTCCCTTCTTCATTTGGGATGGTGAATTGGTTTAAGCAAAAGCCACAGTCACTCATGCTGCCCAGGATCAAGAGCAGGATTGGGAGGGGAAAAATGGAGCCCCTGGAGGCCTAGTGATCTGAAATAGTCCTCCCCACGGTCACGTTCAAGTCTGCAAGAAGAGGTGGCAGTGCTTGCTAATGTCGAGAGTCCCCTCGCCAGGCGGGCTCAGCCAACCTTCACTGAGGCAGAATGGTAAACCATCCACTAGGCCTCTTCAAGCATCTACACGGTTGCCAACCCTACTCTGGGAAGGTGCCATTCTGAGGGCCAGGAGTTTGATTATGTGTCACTCTGGCTGCTATGGCCCCCTCCCAGGGTCTGGGTATCACACCCAGGCCAGTGCCACTGGACCTCGGCCGAAGCAGGAACTCCGCTCCAGACTCCAAGAGCCCCGTGTAGACAGGAAGATGAGCACTTCATTTTTGCAGGGAGCCAGCCAAGTTCTTCCAACAGATTCCAGGCTGAACCTCCACCCAGACTTCCAGCCCAGAAGGCAAACCGAGCCCCTCCCTGCCTCCCTGTGCCCAGGGCCAGTCTTCTCTGAGGCCAGAACCCCAGCCACAGGGGCCAGGAACATGCCAGAAGTTGCTGTTGTGTCTGTAGCAACAGGCATATCCTGGAAGGAAGGCAAGAGAACATGGGCTGGTTAACACCACAGATGACGCCAGCCTCTCCCACGGTGGCTTGTCCTCTAAGGAACTACTGTTGACAGTGAAGTGGTCAAAAAATAGGCCACCAGAGGGAAAATGAGACGCAAGAGAGAAGAAAAACATCCTCCAGGAAAGCAGCTAACATTTATGCAATGCCTGCCATATGCCAAGAACTTTACATCCATGTCTCCATGAATACTCACACCCATCCCAGAATATAAATGTTATGAGTCTATTTTATTACCAGAGAAACTGAGACTCAGAAACAGTAAATTACACAAAGTCACATAGCTAGCTAAAGTGGCAAGAGCTGTAATTCAACCTCATGACTAGCTCCAAAGCCTGGGTTCTTAAGCCTTATGCTGTGCGATCTCTAGGTAACTGACACTGGGGAAGTTATTTAACCAGTTGTTCATGTGATGTACAGTGACTGAACGCCTACTGTGTGCTGGATGTTGTTCTAGTGGCTTGGGATATACATCTGTGAACAACACTGGCAAAGGTCCCTGCCCTAGCAAGACGTGGCAGGCACTAAACAATACCCAGAATAAGGAAAGTCTGTAGCATGTTGGAGCATGATACGTGCTATGGAGGGCTGGAGAAGAGTAACATCAAGGCCATCCGGGAAGGCCCGGATGGAGGTGGAATGCCATTTTAAATAGCGGCGGGGGCAGGGGGGCTCCCTGAGAAAGAGGCATTGAGCAAAGACTTAAAGTAGGTAAGGTGTCTTTGAACCTCAGTTTTCCCATCTGCAAGATGGGGATAATACCTCACAGAGTTATTATATTAGACTTGACATGGTGCCTGGCACATAGAAAGCCCCCAACAAATTAGAGATACTATTATTAAGTAGCCACGTTCAGGATGGAGCCCCGGGCCCGTTCAGTGCCAAAGCTCCTGTGCTTCCCGGTACACCCTGCTGCCACCCAGGACACCTGTGGTGGGAGAGATGGGCAGGACGGGGCCACCTCTGGAGAACTGACAGATTCACCAGAAAAAGATGGCAAATGGCCATAAGGTGCAGAGCCAACCTTCCTGGGGCCTGGGCTGTGCTATGTTCTGCTGAATTCTCATGCAGTGCCATTCCCAGAAAGAATAGTCATAAAACAAAGTGAACTGAGCTAGGCGGGCATGGCATGGACTGGGCCATACAGAGCAGAGGTCACCAGGAGCTAGTGAACTGGCCTGGGAATTTGGCCCTCAACAATCACAGAATCCTAGAGCTTTAAATCCAGGAACACCTGAGAAGTCATCTAGTCCTCTTCCCTCCTTTTCAGACGTGGAAACCAAGGCCCAAAAAGGAGCTGCAACTTTCCCAAGGCATCTGCACCCCCGTCTGGTCCTTTTTCCTGCCGGGTTGCCGGCTGCTCCTCAAAAGAGCTCAGCTCCAGGCTGCTCCCAGCACCCTTCTCCAGAAAGCTCCAGGTATTCCAGAAGCCCAAGTGTATGAACAAGATCAGGAATAAGAGAGGCAGGGCTTATCCTTCCCACTTTGCTGACATGGAAACTGAGTCAGGATACGTGCCCATCAAGTAACAGAAGAACCATACTTGGTCCTTAGAACTCAGCTGGGATTAAATACAGATCTGAATGGGGGTCCCGAGTGCAGAGAGGAGCCTGTTCAGCTGTGAGGAGGGAGGCAGGGTCAGGAGAAGGGTGCGGCAGATGGAGAATCTGTATCACCCGTTCCCAGAACGTCCCGCCCAGAACCTCATGCCCTCAGCCTGCCTGCCAGCAGGAAAGCAGTCTGGGGCCAGAATAATTCCCCTAAAGCTAGCTGGTTCTCCTTCTTCATGGCCAGCCCCAGAGCAGCCAGGAAGGATCTCATCCCCTAGAGTCATTTAATGCACCCTCCCCACAAATCTAAGGGCTAACTTCCCTCCCTCCACCCCAGACCTGGCTGTAGAGCTCCTGGAACAGGAAAAAAGCACATCCTCTTTCCCCAACTGCTTATGGAGACCATGGCAGAAGGACAAGTTTAGGCCAAAGGAAGGAAAGTGAGCCAAACATACACCCTCTCTGCAGTTCAGATCCCCAGACTCAAGGTTTAGAGCCCTCGAAGGCTGACACAGAAGAAAGAGGGAGAAGGAAGCCTGGGGCTGCCCTCGTGTCACCCAGTCATTGGAAAGTCTCAGTGCCTCCTCCCACTGCAGAAGGTGTCTCACATGTGCCAAAATGCCATGTTCGTTCTTAGAGCTGTGCACAAATCCTATGGCCCTCCCCTCTCCCTTCCTTTCAACTGTCCTTAAAATTTTCCCTTCACACTGAAACTCTGGGATCAAATGGACTTGAAATCCAGACCCTCCACCCAGGCATTTGGAAGTGGCCTTAAGAAGTTGTTTCATCTCTGAGCCTCAGTTTCTTCATCCACAAAATAGAGGCAGTGATAAAATCCTCATAGAGTTGTTGTGAGGCTTCCTCGAGCCTATAAGGTACTTGCTGCAGTGCCTGACTGATGAAATGCAGATATTGTCATAAAATCTGTGCCAGGACGTTTAACCTCCTGGTTTCACTTCCAGCAATGCCTGACTTTAAAACAATCCATAAGCCATTAGCTGGGGCAATATTAGACCTATAAGGATTCTTCCCAACAAGACACATCCATCACTCAGAGTTACAAATGCGGAGTTCATCTGGGGACTGGGATAGCACGGCATCTTCCCTTTGAAGAGCTCCAGCCCTATATTTAGATCTGCACTGGGGAGCCCAGGGGCGATCGGTACCCATCCATTCACCTGCCTCTCCAGGGTCTGCGAGCATCCATCTCAAGCCAGGCAGGCCTCTCGCTCATCTCTGATCTATCAGTCATCTCTCTATACCCATCTTCTCTGTATCCATCCACTTATCCAGCCAGCCAGCCATCCAGCCAGTGATTCACTCACAGTAATTCACTCTCTAGGGCCTGAGGTCCAGATCTCTCAGGTAAAGAATTCAGCACCAGAAGGATTTTCCCCACCTCAAAATGGTGTTTGGGGAGTGTCAGGCAGGGCCGACTGGGGTGGGACACACGCTTCCTCCCCTCCTCTCCCAGGATAGGTAGAGGTCATGAGCAGAGCCACAATGTCACAGCTAGGGCAACATCACTGAGAGCTGCTGCCCAGCTCAGGGGGTAGCCTGGGGTCACTGCATCCATCCTTTAATTGAGTTATAAGGTGACCACTTGCAGGTGAATTGTATCCTTCAGTGACCACTGCCTATCTGCATGGTACTGAGCTGCTTCTCAGTGGCACCTTGCCCTAGGGGTCTGCAGATGACACATCTGTATAGGCCTGCCTCTTCCTGCCAACCTGAGATGGGCAGCATCTTCCATTCACCTGGCCAGGGCCAGGCCCTGAAACAAGCACTCAGGATAGGGGGAGGTGGGGGTGGGGGTGGGGAGTGAGTAAGACAGGCTCCCTGCCCTTGAGAAGTGTACTGATTAATTGTGGGCAGCAGGGAAAAGGACCCTCGCAATCTCTGAGGTCTTGTAAGCTGTGTGTAAGCTTGTGTGTAACATTGCCCCCTTCTTGGGGCCTCACTCAGCACTGTTCTCAGGTGATAGCTGGTTCCCAATCACTTTTCCATTACAGAAATCGATAACTTGAATTACTCCAAAATAACTAGTACCTTCATGCCCCTGCAAAGCTAATTTTTCTGGGGATGCATTTGCCCACGAGTTTCTCTCTGGTCTGGAATCTGTCTTCTATCTTTATGAGTCAATCCAGGTAGAACACTCTCTCTTCTCCCACGTCTCACTCTTGTGGCAGAGTGAGAGTGGGATCTGGAGTCAGAGACTTAGGTTCAAGTCTTTGCTCTGACACTTACTAGCCCTTGTCAAGCTACCTAACCACCTAGAACGTCAGTTTCCTCATCTGTAAAATAAGATTTCAACACCCCAGTGTTCGAGAATTAAATGGAATAATAATGTACATGAATGTTCCTGGCATTTATTCGGGAATCAGTGAACCCTTGGATAAATATCTGTTTATTCTATGCCAGAATCTGAAGCCTGCTATAAATCTACATCATGAGGCCATCGTATAACGAGGTCCTAGTATCACTTCTGCAATAACAATATCTTACATTGGAGAAACAGATGATTATTTATAAATATACACATTCTCATAATGACAAAGGTGAGACTCAGGAAAGTTAAGTGAATTGCTGGGGGTGGGAAAGGGGGCAGCTGGCACAGCCCTCTGACTCTCTTCACAGTTTCCCACTTCCTCCATTGTCCCTGATTCAAAACCCGACGCAGCTCCAGGATCCTGCATGCGAAGTTCTGCTGTCCAGCAGATGCTGAAATGACAGGCCCTTTGAACATCCTCTTGGAGGAAGAGTTGTGAGCTTGGTGCAGGCTGCCCTTGGCACTGCCAGGGGAATAAATCCTCCTAGAAGTCGCCCGAGAAGGCTCATGCGGAAACCTCCGAAGGCTGGGCTCTGAAAGGAAGGAAAGAAACCGACATTACCAAGCATCTCTTTCATGCCAAGCACATTCATGGCCAGTTTCTTACTGACTCCTCAAAACCAATTGTTCTTAACCTTTTTAGGGGGTTGCATACCCCTTTGAGAATCTGCTGAAAGCTGTAGATGCTCTCCTCAGATAACGGCACATAATATGCACCTGAATGCAGTCGGGTCGAGGTTAAGAACTCCTGGTGTGAACCTGGGCTGTTTTCAGATTTTCTTAGGCATCAGGGACCTTCCCTTTTAGAGGGCCCACCCACAGCAGAGCAGACATTACATTTTCACACACACACACACACACACACGTAACATAGAGTTGCAGTTGTCTGTTTGGCATATGTGTTACATTTCCAGATATTTAACAAAACGTTAATTTCAAGTGTGTCCTTTCTTTTCCTATTTTGTAGCCAACAGGCTTTTCTGGTGAATTTTATTGAAATATATCACCAGTACAGACAAATACACAGCTCTTAAGTATACAGCTCAGTGAATTCTCATGAAGTGAGCACCCCGTGTAACTGGCACTCTGATCAAGAAACAGAACATCCTGAGCTCCCAGAAGCCCCCCAGGTCCCCATCCATTCGCTACCCCCGACCCAGGGTAATCTTGATCCTGACTCCCAATCAAAGGCGAGTTTGGCCTGTCTTTCAGTTTCATATAAGGGGAATC